>NC_000003.12:50616060-50919090 GCF_000001405.40 Homo sapiens
TGAGTGGAACCGAGGTCCTGGTACCTGCAGTCCTGTAGATGGCCTGTAGATGACAGCAGAGGCCCATGCAGAGCCCCTGCGCTGAGCCGCACCTTCCCAGTTCCAAGTGAGCCAGCTCGCTCAGGTCCCTCAGCTTCCGGATTGGGGGAGTGATGTGATGTGCGCAAGTAGTTCAGATCTGTCCCAGAAGACAGCCACAGCCACCCTCCCTATGGCTCTAGACAAGTTGTTTTCTCCCCAGGGGTCCCAGTTTCCTCATCTGTGAAATGAGAGTTGCTTAACAGCCGGTGTTGGGAAAACTGGCTCAAAATACGTAAGGTAGTCTAAGATGGGCTTAACAGAGACTTATATGTGCAAGGCAAAACTAGAAAGCTAATGGAGAATATCTGTCACTCGGATGGGAGACAGAGACTTTTTAAACACGACGCCAAAAGCCCAAACCATAAGGTGAAATGTTGGCGGATCTGATCAAATGGCAACTCGGGATTTCTGGTCCCCAGGATGCTGTATATACCAAAGGGAAGCAGCGAGTCAAGGGCATAAGCGGGAGCTGCAAAAAGGGGGCAGTCGCCAGTGCTGGAGACTCCCAGAGCCACCAGAGACTAAAGAGTGGCGAATTCAACAACGACAAGATGCCACCTCCCTCGGCATGTTTAAAAAGTTGAGTACGCTGAGGGTTGGCCAACACTAGGCAAGTCGGAAGCCTAGCAAGCCATACTGGAGGGCCACCTGGCAGCGTGCAGAGCAAACACCCGACTCAAGGAGAGCTTTCAAGAGAAATAAGACGTCCTGCGCTGTCACGTTCTAGGTTGCGAGTAAAACCCGGGACCCGCACAGTAGCGGACTGCCAGTACAGGGGCCTCCCTGGGTGTCCCTGGAAACCGAGGAAGTAACCGCCCCCTCGGGAAGCCACGCCTCCTATTTTGTTCCGGCTCGGGGGCGGGACCCAGCCGGGGCCCGCCTGGCCCTTTAAGGCTGACCTAGCGGGGCCCCAAGTTGGGATGACGCGCAGGGAGCGGGGGGTGGAGTGGGGGAGTGGGGGAGGGGGGGGTGGGGAGGGGGGGGAGGTCACGTGGGCGCCGGCAGCGCGACTCTCGGCCCTGGGATTTCTGCGGCCGCCAGCTCCCGCGACCGCCTCTCCTGCCCCTCGCCGGTACCTCAGCAAGGTGCGTTGCCGCCAGGTACGCCCTCGCTGGGCCCCCTCTGCGGCCTCCTCCGGGGACCTCGCGGCCATTAGGCGCCCGGCCCCTTCCCTTCTTGACACGTGCCCGGGCGGTGCTCGCTTGTACCCCGCCGCGCGACCACCGCCCCTTGCTGCACGTCTGTACTCTCAGGCCGTTCGTCCCGCACTCCCAGCTTGCCCCGGGCTCGCAGCCCAGCCCAGTTCAGAGGCTCCAAGGCTGGGGTGTGTTGGAAAAGTCTGGGCGGGACTCACTCTTCCCCTTTCCCCCAGGTGCCACTAGAAGCGCCAGGCTGGGGCCGCCTCTGAGCGCCCCGCGGGGGCCATGGATGGTGAAACAGCAGAGGAGCAGGGGGGCCCTGTGCCCCCGCCAGTTGCACCCGGCGGACCCGGCTTGGGCGGTGCTCCGGGGGGGCGGCGGGAGCCCAAGAAGTACGCAGTGACCGACGACTACCAGTTGTCCAAGCAGGTGCTGGGCCTGGGTGTGAACGGCAAAGTGCTGGAGTGCTTCCATCGGCGCACTGGACAGAAGTGTGCCCTGAAGGTCAGTGAGCCCTCACTGAGGCCTGGGGTATCCTGGAGGGTCCACAGCGGAAGCCTGTGAGTGAAGCTATGTCTAGCGCCCCTGCTAAGCTTCCTATGCTCAGCAACATGTTTCATCGTCATACTGTCCTGTAAGGTCAGGCTTGTGGTCCTCCCTACTTCACAGATGGGGAAACTGAGGCGTAGCCTAGCTAAGCTTTGAGTGTCCCAGTGAGCAAGGGGTGGAGTCACTATGGCTAGAGATGCTGTATCCGGAAGCAGGGAAGGGGTGACTCCTGACTCTGGGATTCTGGCTGGACCCATGTGTTCAGGCCCAAAGGGGATCTCTTGTTCAGCTTGGCTGCCCCTTCCATGTGAAGCTCCTCTGACTGGAATGGATCTGTTTCCCTTTGCTGGAAGCTGAGACCCCACCAAGGCTTGGGTGGGACTGCTTCTTCCCTGTGGCCCCTGCCTGTCTGGGCTGGAGTGGTGTGAGCCTCCCAGGGCTGGCCAGAGGACAAGGCTGATGCCCACTGCACCTGTGGAGCCTCAGGAGGCTGCTGATAGACTCCTGACGAGTCGCTGGTCCCGTGTTGAAAGGGACAGGCCCTGGGCCAACCCACCCCTGGTTCCTGGGCAGAGGGCGGGCCAGCCATCTAGCCACCTCAGACTATAGGCTCCCTGGAGACCTGGCATGCTGATATAGGTGGCATGGTGGGGGTCAGGGGGATGCTGGGGGCGGGTACCTGGTTCCAGCTTAAGGCATACAGTTCTGGGCCTAGGGCCACACCCCATACCCAGAATCCCTTGAATCTGTCATCTCTGGGGTCTTTACTCATTTGTAGCTTGTGCCAATGGATGGGTAGAGCATGGCAGGGATAGTGGCTCCTGGAGGCTAGAAGTACAGCAAAGGCCCTTCTCATTTTACAAAAGATTTTTTTTTTTTGAGGCAGAGTCTCACTCTGTCGCCAGGCTGGAGTGCAGTGGCACAATCTCAGCTCACTGCAACCTCCACCTCCCAGGTTCAAGCGATTTTACTGCCTCAGCCTCCTGAGTAGCTGGGACTACAGGCGTGCGCCACCACGCCCAGCTAATTTTTTGTATTTTTAGTAGAGACAGGGTTTCACCATGTTGGCCAGGATGGTCTCGATCTCTTGACCTCGTGATCTGCCTGCCTTGGCCTCCCAAAGTGCTGGGATTACAGGCGTGAGCCACCGTGCCCGGCCTTTACACAAGTTTTAATTATGAGTCCAAGTGCAGAGTCCTCTAGATATGGCTAATAGCTATCCTGTGTTTGCCAGTTTCATGACCTTGGATGATATCCTAGACTCTGGAAGCCAGGTTTCTGCATCTATTCATGGGGAAAGATAAGGAGTTGTTGTGAACATGAAATGAGATTATACATTTAAAGCACTTGGTACAGGACCTGATACAGGTCTGGAGAGGTTACAGGACTTATTTAAGGCACAAGGTCTTAAAGCATCTGAGCAGGGAGCTGGACCCAGCTCTCTGTGTCTTTCCCAGGACCACTAGGGCCAACAGAGGAGGTTGTCTCCCCGGAGTACCTTGGAGGGGAACATGCGGGTGGGTCTAGGAGAGGATCAGGGTTGGGCTGGTGGGGCTGGGCCCCAGGTATAGCTTCTTTGCCCACTAACCCAGCAGTCGAATGGGGTCGGGGAGCTTTTCAGAGTATCAGGAATGGGATTCTCTGAGTCTTTTAGGGAAAAAGTGGCTCTTCTGAGGGCAGACGGGGGTAAGAGGATGAGGAATGAGAGTTTTCATCCCCCTCTGGGCACTATTTAACCTTCCACCTGTGCTAGGATTGAGGGCAGGCTGGGTGGGTGAGGGATTGAGGCCAGAGACCCACTTCTTAATACCAAGGCTTTGACCCTGTGGGCCAAGACTGAGCTCTGACCAGCCCCTGTGGTGTCCAGATGCTGTGGGTGAGTCAGGGATGGGGTGGGAGACCAGAATTTGTAGGCCCACACAGTGCCAGCTTTAAGTAAGACTGGACTTAACCCCTTCCCCATAGATGCTATGTCTGATGAGTGACTTGGGGTAACTTCTGACTGCAAGAACTTCCACAGCACCTCATCAGTGCTCTCCTTGTTCTGGACTGGGAATTGGGTCAGGCCTGGAGTGGATTTCCCTCTGTACCCCTTTATGGGTGAGCATGGCTAAGGCTACTAGCTTGGGACCTTCAGGATCTGGCCCTAAATTGGCCCTCAAAGGGGACATGGATTAGATGTGGCTCCCACTCCAGGACCTTCCTGTTCTTAGTATCACTAGTGACCAAGCCTAGAAGTCCTTACCCAGCTAAGCAGGCATTTACTATCTCCCAATATTGGGCTAAGCACAACCTCTGGTACAGTTATTTTACCTGTCTTGTGAGTGGTAGCTGTGGCCACGAGGAGGAAGGTGACATCTCCCCACTTATAGCTTCTGCCCATTGCCCAGGAAGACCAGGACCTGGGGACCTCAGTACATGGGCAGGCCTGGGCCCAGGGAGCTTAGCCAGCTCATGATGGATCACAGTCCTCTCCTTGCATCTGCCTAGCCCTCTCCCCGCAGTTGCCCCAGCTCAGCCTAGGCAACAGTCGTGGGCTCTGTGTCTTTCTGCCTCCCTGGTGATGTACTCCAGGTTAACCAGGGTGGCCTGTCCTCATCTTATAACTTGACCTTGTTCAGGCCATCTCTGCCCATTTGTCTCATGCTCATCCTCTTGGCTCTGTTGCCCAAGATGGAAGATAGTGCTTAACAGGAAGCCTGAAACTCAGCAAACACTCATAAAACAGGAAGAGCTGTGGCCACTGTCCTTGTAACTGTTGCTATTCTGTGGAGGCCCTAGAGGAGCAGGTCCCTCCCTCCCAGGGAGCTGGGCCTCTTCCGCTTTCCCTTAGCCCCTGACCACCTGCTTGGTTCATCTTGGCCTCAGTCATACTCAGTGGCTCCCTCCCAAGGCTACCTTCTGCTGCCAGTGCAGCCATTCTACTCCATTGTACCCCAAGCCCTCATTGCTGTCCTCTTGGCAGGAACTGGAGGACTGCCTTTCTTGGAGAGGGTGTATGGGCCAGGCGGTCCTCCAGTGTCTGCTTCTCCTGCTGACCTCTTGCTTGTGCCCTCTCCCAGGCTTAACTAGTTAATTAGTACCTTCAGCTTTCCCTCTAACTGGGCACAGCCCTGCAGATTTGTCACACATCAGTTACCCCACCACATCCAAGATCCAGTCCTTCAAACTTTATCACATACATGAAAATTGGGACCCAAAGTGAGTCACACGGTTTGAAGTGGGGGGTGTAGCAGAGGCCCGAATTTTCTCCCCTCCTGACATCCTGCCCAGCCCTCTTGTGGTTTTTGGCCTCTTGGCAGGCAGAAGTGACCATGGCACTTAGTATCTCTAAATAAAAGCAATAGGCTGGGTGCGGTGGCTTGTGCCTGTAATCCCAGCACTTTGGGAGGCTGAGGCAGGAGGATCATTTGAGTCCAGGAGTTTAAGACCAGTCTTGGCAACATGGTAAGACCCTTATCTCTACACAAAATTTAAAAATTAGGGCTGGGTATGATGACTTATGCCTGTAATTCCAGCACTTTGGCTGAGGCGGGAGGATCACTTGAAGTCTGGAGCTCGAGACCAACCTGGCCAACCTGGCAAAACCTTGTCTCTACTAAAAATAAAAATACAAAAATTTGCTGGACACAGTGGCGGGCGCCTGTAATCCCAGCTACTGGGGAGACTGAGGCAGGAGAATCGCTTGAACCTGGGAGGCGGAGGTTGCAGTGAGCCGAGATCACGCCACTGCACTCCAGCCTGGGTGACAGAGTGAGGCTGTGTCTCAAAAAAAAAAAAAAAAAAAAAAAGTAGCCAGGTGTGGTGGCACACACCTGTAGTTCCAGCTACTCAAGAGGCTGAGGTGGAAAGATGATTGCTCGAGCCTAGGGGTTTGAGGCTGCAGTGAGCTGTGGTCATGCCACTGTACTCCAGCCTGGGTGACAGAGTGAGACCCATCTCAAAAATTGAAAGAAAGAAAAGCAATAAAAGGCCTTATGGAGACATAATGGTGGGGTCTTCTTTCCTGCCCCTGTGTTATGGACTGTGGGGCTGGGGGCTCTTCCCCTCTGACCCCTAAAGCATTTTGGAGGCTCTTCTAGGCTCCCAGTGCCCTCTTCTTCCCTTCTTTGTTAAGGAGAGTAGAGTGGTGGGGTGGTGGATCCACATGTCCAGGAGACCTCTGCAGAGTCCTCTGGGTCAAGTCTTTGTAGCAGCCATCTTCCTTCTGGTTCCCAGGATCTGGGGAGGTTGCTGGGGCTGCTGCCTCTGGGACAGTTTCCTTCCCCTTGATGCCAGTTGGCTTCCGTGAGCCAGGCTGCTCTGCATGTGGGATCTCAGTGATGCCTCAAAGCACAACACAGAAGAGGGCATATTTCTCCTGACAGATGGGAAACTAAGCTCTGGAGACCAGGAGGAGATCTCACAGGGATTTGAGATTACACAGGGATGCTGGGACTTGGCTGTGTATGTTCTGAGCCTCTAACTGTGGCATTCAAAGTCTCTGCAGTCCAGCCCACCTCCCTTTTCTACTTTAGGTGACATCTTTCCTTCTCCAGCACTGAAGAATTTCTTCTCATCTGTCAAGACTCAGCCCCAGTGCCACCTCTTCCAGGAAGCTGCCCAGAGTTCCTGGCTTTGGGGCAATGGAACCTTCTTTGACCCCTTTGATAATACTCCCCTTTGATTCAAAGCTCTTTTATAGCACCTAGGCCCAAGGCCTGGCATATATCAGAGATTCATGAATGCTTATGAAAATGACCAGGCTCTGGCCCCTCTGAGCTTTGGAAGGAGCATCAGGAGCTGGACTTTTTCCAGGTTGCACCTTCTCCACAGGAGAGGGGTTCTTTGATTACAGCTCAGAGATAAGCCACAGAGAAATGCTATTTCTACTCTCCTAAGATCTGGGAATTCACAATGGAATCTAACAGTTCCACTGCCTCAATAGACCTCATGGAGAATTCCTGGGAGAAAGGAAATGCCCATTCATGAGGCCATTTCTGCTCCCTGCCTGCTGTCCAGGCTGCACCTCTGAGTAGACAGAGGGGCTCTGTATAACCAGAATGCCAAAAGGAAGATAGAACATGATGGATGCAGAGACTGGGAAGCAATGGATCCAGAGCCCAGTACCCTGGATGCCTCACTCTCCCTGGGGGGATGGTGCCCACTGCTCCAAGGGTGAGGCTGGCCTGTTGGGGCTGGTACTGTTGAGCTGGATTTGAAGCCAGGTGAAGCTGCCAGGCAGGCCAGGCCCTTTTTCATTTGGCAGCCATCATCCCCTCACCTACCATCTCCAGACCGGTCAGATCAGCCTCTGCAGGGCCACTTGTTAGAGTCAACAAATCAGGAGGCACATGGAGGGACTATGCAGCCGGTACAATAGAGTCCCTGGAAATAGTTTCACTGCCCCCTGGGTTCTCCCAACGCTGCTCCTTACCTAGAAGGAAAGAATCTGAGGAGCCAGAGTGTTAACTGCCAGGGATGAGCAATTTGCTTTTTCATGAAGATCCTGGGGAGGGCATCAAACCCTACAAAATGCAAATAGTGGAATTTTAGGCAGAGGTTGATTGTTCTGAGATGGTTCGTACCGTGCCTGGCTGGCCTTGCTTACTGTTTTCGAAGCTGTGCTCCCAGCCTACTCTCAGGATCACCTCTGCTGGGGCTTCTAGGATCTTTTCCCATCCCATCTAGGAACTGATGCCAGCTCTCCAGGATTCAGGCCTTGGTGCTGTGGATTCTGATACCCCCATAAACGGCTAACAGTTTTTCAGAGCATTCTGCCCAGCGGGCCCTGTCCACAGTGCACAACAAGGCACAGAATGAGTTGTCTTACCTAACTCTTATCACTCCCATTATATGGATGAGGTTCAGAGGTCAGCAGCTTGCCCAAAGTGCTCAACTAGTGGGTAGCAGGGCTGAGCTGTGAGCCTAGGCAGTTTGATGCCAGAGTCCTAGCATCTAAGTCATCTCACTCCTCATGCAAGTCTGTGGGGACACGGGAGGGTCTCTGAGACTTGGTCCTTGGAAAGATGCTGGCATTGTCCTCTCTGGCTCCACTGGGAGCCCTGGCAGCCCCAGCTGGGCCCTGAGTGATGCTGCCAGTGTCTACCTACATCTGCTCAGTCCTCCTCACTGTATGGAACTCTGTGCCAGTGATTGGACAGGTGGCAGTCCCATGAGGCCAGCACACAAGGACCATGATGACTGTGAAGGCCACCTCAGAAAGGTCGTGTGCCTTTTCCCAGGCCTTGTGAGTCTCAGACAAGTGCAGCTGGGCAGAGCCCAGAGCACCACGGGCAGGAAATCAGACTGGTGAGTGGGCGAGTGGAAACTGTATCTGGGCTGGGCCAGCTAGGAGAGGCTTCCTGGAAGAGGTTGCCAGTTTAATTCAGACCTCTGGTTTGAGAAGGATGTGGATGACAGAGGAAGGCACAGGGTGTATGTGTGTGCCTGTGTGTGTGTGCACTCACGTGTGTGTGTGTGTGTGTGTATGTGTATGTGTGTGTGCATGTGTGTGACAATATGCCTGGTTTAGACATTCAGCACCTGCTGTGGAGTACCAGTTTCCCACTCGCAGACCTGTGTTCTGGCAGGATGTGGTTGACCTCAGCAGGGCCGGTGTCAAAGTCCTGACAAAGACTGGGAAGCTGAGGGAGGACCAGAGGAATCTGTGGAGGAAGAGGCGTTTGTGTAGGGCCTTGAAGGGTAGAGCACCATTGCTGAGGGTGCTGCAGGGACTCCTGGGTCACTTGGGCTGTTGTTCAGACTATATGGGAAGGACTCAGTTTTCATTACAACAGAGGTCTGTTGTATCTCTTCTGAGCTTCACACCTGGGGAAGTGGAGTTAGATCCCTCATTTTCCTCTGCTGGGGACATCATCATGGAAGATCTCTGGGTGGAGGCAGTAGTTGGAACATCTGGCTCTGTAAGCCCGCAACCTCCCTTGGCTCCAGGCTGCCATGTCTAATGGTGAAGGCCCATGGGCAAGAGCTGAGGACATCCCTAGGTGAGAGGCATTCCAAGCATACCTGTGCCATGAGAGTGTGCACAAAGCGCTTCCTGGAGAGCTGGCTCTGCTGCTCTCAGGACAGTGAGACCATGGCTCCTGTGAGCACTGGTGTTTTCCCTGGAGAACATTAGTTCTACTGCTCTCCCTCCATCTATTGGACATCTTGTGTGGTCCCAGATGAAAGGCCCCATCTTGGGGTTGAGAGAGGAACAGTGCTCTCGGCTTAAAATGCTTTCTGTGACATTCTCCCCAAGTGACTTTGGACTAAAGGCAGTTTCATAATCTTTTGCAAAACCATCATCTTTGTGGTGCAGTTGAACCCTGGGTTTGAATATGTGGTGGGGAGTAGGATCCAGTCTCGGTGACTGTTACTATCCCTGCATTCATGCTATGAGACAACATAGGCCGGCAGACACTCAGAAGGCAGGGCTCTCATTTGGGGTGGCCTGGGTGCATTTGCTGGTGAAACATTATTGGTTTTTATGAGGACTCACTTGGGTGCGCCCTGCACCTGGGGAACCCAGCCCCTTGAGGGACAGGAAAGAATGGCGTGAAGGGAGCTCTGGGTCCTGGGCTCCTCCCCACCCTCCTGCCCGTTTGGAACTAAGTGGATTAGGCCCTGTGCAATTGTGATTAAAATCCTGCTGTGTGGGAACCGTGGAGGTTTGGCTTAGAGCAGGAACACGAGGCTCCCGTTTGGGGAACAAGGAGCCTCAGGAGGCCCTTTCAGCACTAGACAGGCCAGAGATGCTGAAAAGATTGCTTTTGTTTTTGAGGCGGGTTTGGGATTAGGGTTGCCTTTTTCTTTAGACTAGGGCTTTGTCTTTGCTGCCTTCTCCTCATGGCACTAGCGATCTTTCTGTCCTCTGCCTCCTCGTCCCTCTCATTTCTCCTTTTCCACCTGTTTCTCCTGCTATCGCTCTGTCCCCGCTCTCCCGGGCCTTGCCAGTTTGCCTGTCTCGTGTGTTTCAGGCCTCATGGCCTCTTTTCTGCAGCCTGGCAGGCTGAGGGCAGGCGGAGGACAGAGCAGGGCCAGGTCAGGTGCTAAGGACTCATCCTGGTCAGCGGGCAGCTCACTCCCCCACCCCCACCCCAGGGGAGGGTGGGGGTGGGGAAGGAAGGAGGAGTGAGTGCTGTACCCATGCCACTCACAGTGTCCCCTCCTGCTGCCCGCCTTGACCAGGTGTCAGCAGCCTTGGCAGTCAGAACAGTGGACTCAGGAGTTCTTGGGCTGAGCTGTAACCTGAGGAGGTCCCCCGCCACCCCCCCATGGCTTGTGTGAAGTCAACTTCAGCTGCAGTCTCTGCTGTTGGGTCTCCTTTTACGGCCCAATGGTCTGAGACTTTTGCTTGGGACAATTGTGTGGGACTAGGCACAGTACGACCCCCAAGGGTTCCCTAGCCACAGTGAGGTATAGACAGGGCTGAGATCTGACCTGAGTCAGAGCCTTAGAGCCAGCCAGAGGAGCTGGTGGGAGTCTGGGAGGGCTCAAGGTATGAGGTGCAACCTACCGCCATTTTTACAGAGGGCAGAGCTGAGTGTGAGCTGCACCTGCACTAGCTGGTGTGAACACTCAAGACTCTCTAGCTGGCACCCTGCACCTGACCACCCTTGCCCTGCTAAGGCTCAGAGGCTACATTCAGGGGCCTGAGGGACCAGGACCTTGAGCTGCCACACTCATTTCCCCATTCTTAAGGGTTCAGCCTCCACAAGAGACCCATAGCTCATCCACAGATGCTCACCCAACATTAACAGCCCCCTTCTCAGGATGTGGTAGAAGGACTGGCAGGTGTTCTCCGTGCTTTCTGGCAGGCAGTGGCACAGGGGGCAGGGGGATGGCAATAAGGGCACCCACTTGCTGAGTGCCTCCTACATGTCAGGCACAAACACTGCAGAATCAGAATGGATTATCACGCCCATGCCATGGATGCAGAGACAGGTTCAGAAAGGCAGAGTAACTCACCCAGGGTCACGTAGTATGGACATGGCCCTGTGCTGGAACCCAGGCCTGGCTCTCAGCCATTCCTCTCTGCGTGTGTGCTCCTCTGGGGATCAGGAGCCACAGTCTGCTCATCAGCAAAATGAGAGCCTGGGCCGGGCGCAGTGGCTCATGCCTGTAATCCCAGCACTTTGGGAGGCTGACGCGGGTGGATCACCTGAAGTCAGGAGTTCGAGATCAGCGTGGTGAAACCCCGTCTCTACTAAAAATAGAAAAATTAGCTGGGTGAGGTGGCACATGCTTGTAATACCAGCTACTTGAGAGGCTGAGGCAGGAGAATCACTTGAACCCGGGAAATGGAGGTTGCAGTGAGCTGAGATTGCGCCATTGCACTCTAGCCTGGGAGTCAAGAGTAAAACTCCATCTCAAAAAAAAAAAAAAAAAAAAAATGAGGGCCTGGGTGCTCTGCTTGGCAAAGGCCTCCCTTTTGGCTGTGAAGACATGTTAGGTGGGCAATGATCATCGGCAGTGCCAGGGAAGCAGGCAGGTCGTGGGGGCCTGCCTTGCCCACTGCTGGTGCTGATCTTGCAAGTAGACAGACAGCATAGAGACTGGTCAGAGGGTGCCCCAGGATGCCTCTCCCACACCAGTCAGCAAATGGTGTTGTCAGGGGAACATTTGGCTATGGTGATGCCACCAGCAAGGGCTATATTCTGCCAGGGTCAGGAGCTCTGAGGGTTATGACTCAGGTTTGGAGACCCCTTCCGCTGTACTTCATGGACTAATTAAGTGCTTGAGTCAGGCTGAGCCAGTACCAGGGTGTGTCCTTACCCTAGGCAGGCCCAGGAGAGGGGGAGTGAGTCACTGCCGCCTAGTCTCGTGGCAGGAACAGGCAGTGTCCCTCAGAGCTGCCAGGCCACCACCCTGGTCCCCTAGAGGGCAGGGCCTCCCCCTCTTCCTCATAGCTATGGCTCCATGGTGTGATCAGAGACTAGGAAAGCCTTCTGGGAGTAGGCTGGGTGTCGGTGCCTTGGGAGTCCTCTGGCTGAACGTGAGCAGGAGGGGAGAGGGGCCAGGGGCCAAGGGAGACTGGAAGCCTGGATGGCTAGTGCCCCTGCTACCCCTGGGAGGAGCCTGAGGAGAGCGATGGCTGCCTGTACTCACCCAGGCCTGTGTGGGGAGCTGCAGAGACATGAATGAAGCCAAAGGATGAGGGAGAGATGCTGAGCAGATATGAGATAGAAGGTCAGTGTTGGGGGTGGGGATGGAAGGTTCCCTAGGGCCTCTGTGCCATGCCTCTGGGGGTGAGCCAGTGTATCTCCCCACGCCCACTTCTGATTCCTTTGTCATCACTGTGACATCTCCTCCAGGCGAGAGAGACCAGCTGTCATTCTTCTGAAAGCTGGAGAGTTTTGGGTCCCCTCTCTCCAGAGCTGGCCAGAGGCCTGGCCTGCTGAGTGCTTCAGCAGGGGTCACCTAGGCGTGACCTCACTTGCCCTGGCCACCCCTGCTAGGGAGGGTGGTATGGCCCTTTGTTACCCTGTGTCAGCTATGTGGGCATCACTGCCACACAACTGGCCAGTTGGGGGCACATATTTCATTGCTGCTGTGGGGTCTCTTCATGAAGAGAGACCACTGATGGGACATTATTTCTGAGATTACAACAAAACACTTGTGTTTGCTAAAATGTTCCAGTCTTATGATGAAAATGTCCTATTTTTACACTGTCATAGAAGAAATAAAACCAGGGTAAAGTTTCACAGATTATGTAGCTGATTTTGATAGAAAAATCCCCTTTTCCTCTTTGAAGTTAAAGGAAGATACCAGAACCTGGATCTTCTGAGTATGTACTCAGGGGGCTCACAGGTGGTCTCTGTGGCCTCCCCCGGCCCTCTGTGGGAAGGCTGTGGGCAGAATCCTGGGATCCCACACCTGTCAGGGGCAGAGGGAGTTGTGATCCTGCCACTTTCTCACTGTAGAACCTCTGGGGGAGGGGAGGAGGCCATAGCTGTCTCAGGGCCTCTTTCCCCAGCTATAACACAGGAGCCATGTGGGAGGAGAGTGGGTGCCCAGTTCACAGATGCAAGCTGGGGCTTGGGAAGGTGAAAGGACTGGCCATGGTCACACATTTTGCAGGAGGGACATTGTTCAAAAGGATGCGCAGAGTTGTCGAGGGGTGTAAAGGTGTCTGCCACCTGGGAGAGTAGGGGGCTGCCACAAAGAAGTGAAGATGGGCCCCCTCCTATAGTTGACCAAGCTTGAGAGCTGGGTGAGTTCCCTGTTGTGGGTTTCTGTTCTTTCAGTCTTGGTTCCCATTCCCCAGGGTCGCTCCCCTAAGATCAGCCACCCTCTCTCCACCCTGGAGGGTCTTCCCCTTCCTTATTGAGCCTTTCACAGCAAAACAGGATTCGTGGACTCAAGGTTCTTGGTCCACCTTTGAAGAGCCCAGTCTGGCTGTGCCCCTCTGAGGATATGAGACCATTTCCTGTGACCTGCTGAATTGGAGAGGTTCTGCCTCCCCCAGGTCCCCAAGGCTGCACCTAGCTTTCCCTGAATTCTGGGAAACAAGGAGGGGAGGAGTGTAAGGCCATTTCAGGAAGACCCAGGGGAATCCTAAAGCCAGGGGTCCCCAAGCAAACCCAGGAACTGTTTTCACCCATACCATCATGGCCCCCAATACCTTCAGTGTGCACTGGACACCAAGTTCATCTGAGCTCTTTGTGTGTGCTCTCATTCCCTCCTTGTGGCTCCCTGGGAACAGGAGTATTAGCACTATCCCCACTTTCCAGATTGGGCCTGTGAGGCTCAGAGAGGCTGAATGGCCTGCCCAAGGCCACAGGGGAGTTGGGAATAGACCTGGACCCCTGTGGCTGCAGCTAGTCCTGCTGTGCATGGTCCCTGGTCTGGGGCACTGGGACCCTCTAGCACTCACGTTCCCACTGTTCTTCCCTCTTCCTTCCTGGGAGCCTCGCTCAGGTCCCTCTTTCTAGAAGCATTTCCCTCCACTCTTCCCATCCCCCAGACTTAGCATTTCAGCCTTTGTTTCCAGGTTGTCTGGGGCTGGTGGGAAGCAGACCAACTGAGGCCATCAAAATTTAGTAAATTGGAGGAATCTTGTCTTCCTAAGACTTGATGATTTCAAAATTTGTGTTGGCTATCCTGTCCCAGAGCTTCCTGGGAAGACACTAGGCTTGGAACCTCAGCTACTCCCTCCCCTCCCAAGAACTCTGGTGAGAAGTGGTCAGGTGGAGGTTCCCAGCCTGTCAAGCTGCCACCCTGCCCCCCATCAGGTGTCCTGGCCTTGGCCTAGAAGGGGAGTGGTTGTTTAGGGGTCCTCCTTTCTTGTGAGTTCCCTCAGAAGGGGCTGGCCTTCTCCATCTTGCCTGTTCTGCCAGGTTCTGGTTCTGGAAAGAAAGGAGAAGGGAAGGGAAGGAGCCAGGACCAGTTTCCCAGGTGTAGATGTCATCATCAAGCATCCCAGTTGGCAGTGACTCATCCATAGACCCCTAAATCCTTGAGGACAGAGTGCCCATGGCAGCATTCCCAGTCCCAGTCCAGGTCTAGCCCCCAGACAGGGCCAGTACATGTTTGCAGGAGTTGGGAGGGGATCTGTACATGGGCAGGCCTGTACAGTTGAATCCTGGTTCCCAAAGAACTCTGACTCAGTGGTGGCCATGTGCAAACCACGTGACCCAGAGAATCCACAAAGCCTCCCTGACCCTCAGTTTCCTCATCTGAAAATGGTGGCTAACAATGCAGTTGTTGAAGGGCAAGAGCTAATGGGTATGACATGCCTGGTACAGGGCGGGGCTCCGTGAACATCTGCCATTGTTGTAACAGCCACCGAGTAGCAGGGCCTGGTCCAGACCAGGGGCGTGGGCCAAGCTCTCGGAAGGAGTGGCAGGGCCTTCTCTGTTTGCTTTCCCCAGGCTGGTGTTGTGGGGATGAGTGCCTGCTCCAAGCCTTGAAGCTGCATGGAAAAGGGGTGAAGCAGCTATACATGGTCCCCAGTCTTGACTCTCACTGCCCAGCTGTGTGACTTTGGGCAAGTCACTTAACCTCCCAGAAGGACATTTCCCCACAGGTAGAAGGGCGCTGCTGATCCTTGTTGGGTTATGGTGACCACTGTGTGAGGTGGCCTCTGCACAGTACTGGCCCAGCACCAGGGACAGACTGTTGTCCTGTAGGGAGCGCTAATCCCACCTGACTCCATCATTCCCTCAGCACCTACCTGGGGCCTGGACGTTTGGGGTCAGTGGTATCATGTGAGCCGCCCTCCTTGGAACCGAGCCTCTGAGGAGGAGAGGTAAATGGACAGGGTGAGACAGAGGACAGGATGTGGTTGGAACTTAATGAAGCGAGGTCTCATCTGGCAGGAGGCCAACTCATCCATAGCTGCAAAATTGGTTCCATTACCTCCTTTAATGAGCTACGAAAGCTCGGAGAATGAGTTTGTGAGAGAATAATGGCACATGTCTGCAGCTCTGATTTGAAACTGTGGCTAAAAAGTTAGATATTACACTACCTTCCAGCTCTCCAAATAGCACCAGTGCCCTTGTCGGGAGGGAGAGGGAGGACATGGGGGGCAGGAGCGGGGTTCTGGCATTATAAGGAAGATGCTGAAGCTTTAAGAAGGAAAAGTCTGCTTCTGAACTCTGAATTCAGGGTCAATCCCATCCTGACGTCTTCCCTGCAGAGCAGAGGCTGAGGCTGTGACCCATTCTCTGAGTGGGCAAAGCAGCTCACAAGGGTCACACTGGCTGGCAGGGCCGTGTGTGTTAATAGCCCACACAGGTGCCAGCAGCACTGGCAGGGGTTTCAACAACTGGCTGTAAAATAAATTCTGCTATTCCAGTGGTGTCTCTTATATCATTTGAGATGTGATCCTCATGGGAAATAATCCCAAATAATCATACAACTGGGAGCTGGGAGAGATCTTAGAGATGGCTGAGTCGAAGACTTGTCAAGGAGGGAGTATGGTAGGTTCAAAGTGTTTTGTCTTATTCACGGCCTGCCTCTGTAAGAATAGGGGTTCCCAACAATGAAACCTAAATTTCCCTACAACATTCTCTACAGTTTTGCTGCCTGAGATTTCGTGTTGAGCACGTGCACTGAGATTTAATCTTCAGCATTCTGGCCTGCCTTTGCCTGAGGCTGGGATGAGACCCTTAGGTGGGACAGGTGTTGGAGGCCATGCTGGTCCCTGCTGCTCCTCTCCTATCTGTCCTCTGGCACAAAACAAAGCTGGAATCCCAAGAAAATAAAGGTCTGGTGATGTTACCTCAGCACTCCTGGCCCACATGCCAGGCGATAGCTGAGGCATATGTGCTGGCCTCAGTCTTCATGGAGGAATCCATATTAGATATGTTCATTTGAGTCTGTGTCTTTTGCAGAATTGCTGTTGAAGGTGTTGCCAGAAGGTTTTCTCCTATATAAGGTTTGATGTGAAATCCCTTTTAGAATTTCGTCCTAGAAAATGTTCAGTGAATATCTGTGCTCCTCTTCATGGGGGTAATAAAAGCAGCAGAGCCTAACTGGTTTCCTTCTTTGCAAGACTTCCAGGAAGCTCAGAATTATAATTTGTCCTCATTTATAGTTATGAACTTACATGGGTTTCTGGTGCATTTTGTCTTTTTCTTCATTCTAAAGAGAATCTGCTGTTTTTGTTTGGTTTGGCTTCTGTCTTGTTTTAGAATTATAAAATGTCTGAAATACTGTTGTTAATAAGCAGGGCTTGCAGAAATAATGGTGCTTGGAGGGCCTCAAGGGGTGGTGAGAGGAACTAGATCCTTGGCCTCCAGGAGGAAGTTCCCTTTGCTGTAGGGCTGATGTCTCTCATACTGTGAGTTGTCACAAAATCCAGAGCTTCAGCTTCTTAATTTATTACTGCCTCGTTGATGGGAGAGATAAGTCAGCTCTCTTACCCCGGAAACAGTGGGTGTTCTGGCAGAGGCCATACAACAGCCTGGCCGGGGCTGCAGGTTAATTGGCCAGGGGTATGGAGGTTGGGGTTTGGCTGCAAGAGGTGTTGGGGAAACTGCTTGTCCAAGCTGGTAGCCTCGGCGCTTCCTGTATGTGAGAGATGGAGATACTGTGGGCACTTTAACTTGAGAAGAGCCCAGCACTGGGGTGAGCTGGATGGGGACACCCATGTGTGGGTGGGTGGACCTGGATAGGGGGCCCTTCCTGGGCGAGGAAGTGGCTGGAGGAGGGTGTTGGGGACTGGTTCCCAAGAGTCACTGCAGACATCCCAGCTTTGTTCGATCTCTAAGAAGACAGACAGAGTGATTTTCTAGTTCTGGGCAACAAGAAATGTTAGGCCCTGCCATGGTGACCAGTGGGAGAGGAGGTCTGAATGGAGGCATCTGGGCTTGGTCACCTTCTTGCACAGGCTGTCTTAGGTTGAGTTGTAGCAATAAGACCCCCCAATGTTTCTTGGGCACCTCTCCGTGGCCAGTTCTCTGCTAGGTACTTTGGAGAAGTAGAAAATATTAGATGAACAAATGGACAGATGGATAAATCCTGTTCTCTGCGAGTTCAAAGTCAATATTGCAGAGACTGGAGACACACATATGCCCACGGGCCCACACACCCACCCCCATACTCCCCACACACCCATGCACACACCCCTACACACGATGTATGCATGCATGCACACATTCATGTTCCCATGCACACACACACACCCACATGCCCTCCTCATACCCCTACATATGCACTCACCCACGCACTGATGTACACATTTATTTCAGAACAAGCTTCCTGAGTCTTGTGCAAGCTGTGGATTTGGCCAGTGCTGCTCCAACTTGGGGCCACCCCCTCCTCTCATCTCCCCTCAGGGAGGGGTTGTCTGGGTGCTCTCTCAAAAGTCCTGTTCTCCTTCCTCCTCCAGCCTTGCCATCCTGCAGCCAGGTGGCCACAGGGCAATGACTTCATCCTCCCAAGCCCGTGTTTCCTCAATCTGTAAATTGGGGCTAATGGTTCCCACCCTGCTTGCCTCACAGGGTGGCACCAAGCATTCCCATGAGATAAGGGACAGCAGAGTGTTTTGTAAACTGCAAATTGTTTTCCAAACAGGCAAATGGTGCTGTTGTTTTCCCAGCTATGGAACTCAAGAATTCCTCCACCCACAAGTAAACCCTGTCCTTGGGTGGAAAGGGATATAGTGGTGATAGTGAGGGGCCTGGCCTGTTTTGAGGCCCCCACATTCCACCTGGTGATGCTAGAGGGGCACGGGCCCTTCTGCTCTCAAATTTTGCTGGGGCTCACTAGCTGGTGAAGTCAGTAGGGGTCTTGGCCTTCTGGCTGCTGGCTCTGGGGGCAAGAGAGAGAATTTGGCAAAGGAGGATGAGGGGAGAAGGGAAAGTGAAAACCAGTATATCAGAGCCTGAGGCCTGTGGTCACTCGCTAAAGGAAACATCATCTCAAATTCAATGCTTGTTGAGCTTCAGTGGGGACCCACACCTCAGGTGCATGGCCAGGAATCCCCTTCCTCAGGAAGAAGCCCAGTTTCCACCTCACAGGGGTGTGTGTATGTGTACGTCTGTGTGTGTGTGTGAATGTGTGTCTGTGTGTACCTATTGGGCACTAGCTGGAGCTGTGGAGCTGCCCAAGTGCCATCACAGACCCTCCAGTTCTGGTGGACCCCTGGGGAGCTCAGGGAACATAGGAGAGGAATGAGGCAAGGGTGGGGGCCCGTTGGGTTGTCAGAAATCCCCTCCTATCTTCTTCTTCTTTTTTTTTTTTTCTGAGGCAAAGTCTTATTTTCTTGCCCAGGCTGGAGTGCAATGATGCGATCTCGGCTCACTGCAACCTCCACTTCCCGGGTTCAAGCCATTCTCCTGCCTCAGCCTTCCAAGTAGCTGGGATTACAGGTGCGTACCACCACACCCAGCTAATTTTTTTGTATTTTTAGTAGAGATGGGGTTTCACCATGTTGGCCAGGTTGGTCTCAAACTCCTGACCTCAGGTGATCCTCCCGCCTCGGTCTCCCAAAATGTTAGGATTACAGGCGTAAGCCACCGTGCTTAGCCCCTTCCTATCTTCTTGTCTTCCCAGCTGTGACTGGGAACCATGACATCATTGCCCATTTCAGGTAGCCCCCAGTGGGCTCAGGCATGTGGATATGGAGGCCATGGGGACCCAGAGGCTGCTCCATGGGGGCAATGATGTGGGAGTGGTACTATGGTAGGTACTTTGCAAGGAACGCCTGTCTAGAAGTCTGCCTTGTTACCCACTTATCTCCCCCACCCTATATAGCCCAAGCCCTACAGCTTAACTTTGGGGAAACAGAGGCCCAGAGAGGAAAAGGGACTGGCCTAAGGTCATACTGAGAATAGGCATAGAACCTGGGCCTCCTGTGTCCTGGCCCTGTGCTCATTCTCATGCCTGGGAAGATGGAGCTCTTACTTTGGGACATCTTTTGTGAAGAATAGTGTGGAGTCATGTACCTATGTGAAGGAGGCCAACTTGCAGAAATGCCTTGTGGAATGGAGCAGTCATGATGGGCTCCCTGGAAGAGGAGGTAAAGCCTGGTTCAACAGAGAGGGTAGGTGAGGTACAGGCTGCCCTTGGGCAGCAGGGAGAAAGTTTGCCAGGTTGTCATGTCTCCCATTTGTTGAGCCTCACTGGGGCCTCCTCAATTTAATCTTTTTTTTTTTTTTTTTTTTTTTTTTTTTGAGATGGAGTTTCATTCTGTCATCTAGGCTGTAGTGCAGTGGCACGATCTCAGCTCACTGCAACCTCCGCCTCCTGGGTTCAAGTGATTCTTCTGCCTCAGCCTCCTGAGTAGCTGGGGTTACAGACGCACACCACCACACTAACTAATTTTTGTATTTTTAGTAGAGATGGGGTTTCACCATGTTTGTCAGGCTGGTCTCAAACTCCTGATCTCGTGATACACCTGCCTCAGCCTCCCAAAATGCTGGGATTACAGGCGTCAGCCACCACGCCTGGCCAATTTAATCTTATCTTGTCCTCATGATAGGTTGTGAGAGGTTTTCCCCCTCATCCTTACTCTATAGATTTATTAAATCTACAAATATTGATAGGCACAGTGGCTCATGCCTACAATCTCAGTGCTTCAGAAGCCAAGGCAGGAGGATCACTTGAGCCTAGGATTTCGAGACCAGCCTGGGCAACATGATAAAACCCCGTCTCTACCAAAAAAAAAAAAAAAAAAAAAAAAAACCAAAAAAAAAAAAAATTAGCCAGGTGTGGTGGCATGCACCTGTGGTCCCAGCTACTTGGGAGGCTGAGGTGGGAGAATCATTGAGCCCAGGAGATCAAGGCTGCAGTGAGCTGTGACTGTGTCACTGCACTCCAGCCTGGGTGACAGAGCAAGATTCTGTCTCAAAAAAAAAATCTACAACTATTACCTGAGTTAGTGCTCTGTGTCAGGCCCCGTATCCCAGTACTGGGACCTAGAGGTGGCCAGGCAGACTGGCCCTGCCCTGTGGGCCCACAGTCTGATGAGGGAGGCTGCTGGTGTTGGCCTGGCTGGGGGATCAGCCATGTGATTTGGGGCCAGTTACTTCCCCTCTCTGTGCCTCAATTTCTCATCCAAAAAGTGGTGATAATGAAGTCCTTTCCTCCTAATGTTTATAAAGTACTCCAAACAGAGCCAGGCACATTGAAAGTACAATATCTGTATGTGTGTTTTTGCTTAAAGAGTTATCAAAGGAACAAGCTAATTGTATGTTGTGAGCAAGTGCTGCACAGGAAGTGAAAAGGGCGATGACGTGAGAGCTTTCTGGGGAGCTAGGAATGTTTTCTGTCTTGATGGAAGTTTGGGTCCCAAGGGTGTGTGCAATCATCAAAACTCATTGAATTGGACCCTTGAGACCTGGGCATTTTACTATATGTCAATTATACCTCAATAAACAAAGCATATATTGAAAGAAAGAAAAACAAAGGATGAAGAGGGAGGGCTTCTGAGAGGAGATGACATTGAGGTGGACCACATTGAGGGGAGGCCTGGAGGAGAAGGCTCTGGCTATGGGGAAGGAAGATGAGAAAACTGAGGCTCTAGGAGGTTTTGGGCTCAGGGTCAACTCAAGGGGTCAGGAGAGACAGCTCAGGGGATTTCTTGGCAGCTGGACCTGGGCCCAGGCTGAGGGCTCTGGCTCCTGTGATGTA
Source organism: Homo sapiens (assembly GCF_000001405.40). Taxonomy (NCBI): domain Eukaryota; kingdom Metazoa; phylum Chordata; class Mammalia; order Primates; family Hominidae; genus Homo; species Homo sapiens. Next base: position 50,636,895 of record NC_000003.12, read on the forward strand.
CTCTGCAGAGAGGCCAGTGGGGCGTTTATTATATTTTCCGGGGACGGCCCTCTCCCCTGTCCCTATGCCTATTTTCAGGGCTTTGGCGTTTGTAGAGGGACTATTTTAATCCATGTGGGAAATGGGTTCCTAAATATGGACTCAGTGGGGCAGAAGCCTTGAGAGGCTCCAGCTCAGGGCAGCTCCACCTGCTCCTCTACCTCAGCAAAGCACAGGATGCAGGCCCAGGCTGGAAGGCTCTCCAGCCCCTCCTTGGCCATCTACCGCCCTCCTTCTTTCCCTCTGGCTCCTCCTATCTCCCTCCAGTCCTGGGCCCATCCTCCCATCCTTTGTTTGCTCGGAAGCCCAGTGTTTCCTGCCAGGCCCCAGCCAGGGACCCCCAAGTGAACTTGACCTGCCTCTGCCCTCAAGCTGCTCCCAGGGTGGTAGGAGGAACAGAAGCAAAACCAGTAAGAAAGGTGCTGGGAGGGGCCGGGCGTGGTGGCTCACACCTGTAATCCCAGCACTTTGGGTGGGTGGATCACGAGGTCAGGAGATCGAGACCATCTTGGCTAACACGGTGAAACCCCATCTCCACTAAAAATGCAAAAAATAGCTGGGCGTGGTGGCGGGCACCTGTAGTCCCAGCTACTCGGGAGGCTGAGGCAGAATGACGTGAACCCGGGAGGCGGAGCTTGCAGTGAGCCGAGATCGTGCCACTGCACTCCAGCCTGGGTGACAGAGCAAGACTCTGTCTCAAAAAAAAAAAAAAGAAAAGAAAAAGAAAAAAAGGTGCTGGGAGGACTTTCCAGAGAGAGAAAGAGAGAGAGAGAGAGAGAGAGAGAGAGAGATGGAGACAGAGAGAGAGAGAGATTGATCGATCTGAATTGAGCCCTGAAGTTTCCCCAAAAAGAGGGAGTTGACCCAACAGAGAGGATGAGGCAAGAATGCACATGACAGGGACCAGCACAGACCTAGACACAGAGGCCTGGGGGAGTAAGGCCTGTTTGGGAACAACATATATATTTTTCTGGCCAGAACAAAGTGGTTTTGGCCCAGAGGTGGCAGGAAGTGAGGTGGGAAAGGAAGGCAAGCCCTGCGTGCTGGGGGAGGACATTTATCTGGAAGATGTGAGGAAGTGTCTGTGGCCACAGGTGGATTAGAGTCATAAGGGGAGAGGCAGGGCTGAGGACCCTAATGAAAGCATTCCAGCTGTGAGCTTGGACTTTTAAGAGAGAAGAGGAGGACTCTGATGTGGGAGTGAGATGCCACAAGGCAGGCAGTGAGGAGGGAGTGTGGGAGCCAGCCTGGGAGGCCTGACAGGAGATGGTCAGGTCAGACTGGGGAGGAGAGAACCAGGCAGGGGGAGGGGGAGGAGGCAAAGAAGGAACCCGGTGCAGGGAGGGAGGATGGTACCTCTTGGCTCCTGTGGCTGAGGATTGGGGTACCCCTAGCTAGGGCCGCCACAGGACATGGTGGAGGCAAGTGGGGGGCACTGAGCTTTCTGGTCCCAGTGCTGAGAAAGAAGCTGGTGATTGGGAATTGTGCGGGCACTAACCTGAGGGGTGTTCTGGAAGGCAAGGGCAGCATGAGCAAGGATCCATGGTGTCCAGGCAGGAGTGTCTGCCCACAGCAGCCTTGACGCACACCCCCAGCCTGCTCTGGGTAATGGAGCAGGGGCACAGAGCTGCTAGAGGGCTTGTCCAGCCCCTGGCTCTCTGTATTCCTTGCACTGCCTGTATTCCCAGGCTAGGGTTGAGGGGAGCAGCTCCAGAAAAGGAGGGACAGCCAAGGGGCAGCAGGCTCGAGAAACCACTGCCTGCCTCTCCCCTCTCTGGGACACTGCCCTGACCCAGTTTGTCTTTACCTAGAGAGCGTGCATGGTCACAGAGCCTGCCCCTAACAGTGCCCTGTGTAAAGTGGCCTGGCTCTCCCCATCCTGCAGAGGAGGAAATTAAGGCTGGGGCAGCCCAGGGTCCTATGGCTGCTGAGCAGTGCTGATCCGAGCCCCGGTCTTGAGCATCAGCCCTGGTCCCCAGCCCTCCTCCATTAGGAAACACAGTGTCACAGATGGTCCTTGAGTGAGCAACCCTTTTTGGGGGTGGCTTGTCCCTGCTGTCCCCATTCTGGGCCATCTCCTCATGCATGCTGACTTCTTCTTCTCCCCCTACAGCAGGGCCACTGTGAGGCCTTGTTCATTTCTGGTGCTGGTTGGCAGCCACAGTCCAGGGCTGAGTTAACCCGAGCAAGGATCCTGATGCCCGCCCACTGGATGCTTGCCTTGGCTGGGATGCACCCTGTGGGGATGACTCTGCTATTATACCATTTTACAGAGTTGTGGGCTGCAGCTTGGAGCTGTGAATGTATGCCTGAGGTCACACCGAGTCATTGGAGGAATTCAATCCCAAACCCACATCTCACTCCACTCAGCTGTCATCTCCCTCAACTAGGGTCCTCCCTTCCCCCAGTCTCTACCTCTGGGTCCTTACCGGTGATCTGTAAGCATGGAATGAGGGTGGAGGCTGGGCAGCTAGGTCACCTTGAGATGGCCCCACCTCTCTCACAGTGCGATGACATTGTCGCCCTGGTACTGCATAGCAGCTCCCAGGAAGGCTATAAAGTTACCTTGGGAGCTGGGTACTGACTGGGTGGTCATGACCAAGCAACTCATTTTAGAAGCACTTTTCTTGGTAGTGAGAGTTTTGTTCTCATGCCCACTCCTGGAGAATCTGAAGTCTTAATTACTTTTACCCCTACAGGAGTGTGGCCTTGTCTCCCTCCACTCTGGGCCAGTTTCTTTGTGGGAGATAGATTGACAGACACAGGCCTCAACCTCTCCTGCAGGAAGTCTTCCTTCTCACTCCAGCACTCTCCTGATCATGCTGAGTCCTGTAGGGCAGATTTGCGTGTTAGTGCACCCTCTCCCCTCCCCAGCCTTTCCCCAGCACCTTCTGCTTCTACACTTACATTTCTCATAGATGCCCAGGGTGAGAATCACAAGGGAGGCACCAAGGGCCTACTATGTACCAGGTGCTATCCTGTACAATTTACATGTACAATTTCCAACCCTAGCCTAGGAAATGGAACAGCTGTGTCATCCTTATGGTAAAAATGAGGCTCAAGGGATGTGTGGCCCCTGGCTTGGGGTCCCATGGCTGCTGTGTGATTAGAGTGGGGTTATAAAACCCACTCAATTTCCATCTGAGAAGGGAAGCAAGGGCTTCTTTGGCCTCTGAGCCCCTCGAAGCAGTCAGCCACCTCCTACGGACTCCTTGAACTACCTGCCAAGCTGCTTGAGCCCAGGACTGACCCTCAAGTCCAGAGGCTCACTGGACCACAAGTCAGAGAAACCTAGATTCAAATTCTCATTCTGCTCCTTATAAGCTGTGTGACCTGGGGCAGGTCACAGGCCTCAGAGCTTATATGTTTTTGTCTGCAAAATGATGGTAGAGGGCTCTGAGCCTGACACTTTCTATGTGCACCCACCTACAGCTCCTGTATGACAGCCCCAAGGCCCGGCAGGAGGTAGACCATCACTGGCAGGCTTCTGGCGGCCCCCATATTGTCTGCATCCTGGATGTGTATGAGAACATGCACCATGGCAAGCGCTGTCTCCTCATCATCATGGAATGGTATGCTGGCCTGCCCTGTCTCCACACCCCCTCGGCATCCCTGTGGCCCTCAGGCTCCCTGCCACGCTTCTAGGGGCTTTCTTTGTTTTTCAGGTAGCAGATCTGGGTGCCACTGTAGCCCCTGAGGGGCAATGGAGCAGGCAGCCGCAGGCCCTGCCTGTGGATCTATGGAGTTGGCCATAAGGACATTCCCTCAAGGGTGGGCAAGAAACCACAGGGGTTAATATGGCCTCCCTGAGTGTGATTTCTACTCTGTGAGGAGGACTGGAAGAGCTGTCAGAGAAGGCTCCCAATCCCTGAATATGGATGGATGGGGGATTTGGGGAAGAACAGGACCCACGCAGTTCCCTCAGCTTTCTCTCCTTTTGACCTGGGTATGTGCTCCCATGGTCCCACCAGGAACTGGGTGCTTGGGGCCTAGAACCAGGAGCCAGTGGCCTTTTCCACCCTGGGCTTCTTCCTGTAACACCATGGCTCAGCACCAGCCATCCTTGGACCGGTTAGCCAGTTCTTCAGATTTGGGGTTCAGATCCTGCCTCTGCTACCCACTAGCTATGTGACCGTGGGCAGCTCTTAACCTCTCTGAATCTCTGTAACTCAGATGTAAGATGTGGGAAAGATCTTAATGTAGCATTTACCCTGTGCTTGACTCCATTCTAAGTGGCCCATGTGTATTGCATATTCAATCTGCATGACTATGGGGTTGGTGCTGTCATCCCTATTATACAAAAGAGATAGCTGAGGCACAGAGAGGTGAAAGAACCAGCCCAGGATCACACAACAGCGCTCATGAAACGTGGATCCCAGGGCATGGCACACAGTAGGTGCCCAGAGAACAGTGGTCATATGATGATAATTAACATCTCATCCCACATTTGGGGAAACAGAGACTTGAATGGGGTTGGGAGTACCCAAGCCCTCACAGTCAGGTAGGGGCCGTGCCACTGGGAACACACAGGCTTCTTGGCAGGGATCAGAGCCCACCACCCTCTTCTAGTTCCAAGAGTTCAGTTCAACCCACCTAAGCTGACAACCCACCATGCACCAGGTTCTACAAGGGACAGGGAGGCTGACAGTGGCTGTTCAGTAGGGGAGGAGCGGAGCAGCAGGGTCTGAAGCCTGGGCCTATGATTTGGGGCAGGGGCAAGGGTAGGATGATGTGCAGTTTCCCCCTCTCTGCTTATAGTCACCTCTTTTACAGCATGGAAGGTGGTGAGTTGTTCAGCAGGATTCAGGAGCGTGGCGACCAGGCTTTCACTGAGAGAGGTATGTGCATGTAGCTGGACCAGCAGGAGGATTCAGGGTGAGAGGTATGGACCAGAGCGTTGTGTGTGATGCTAGGCAAGACCCTGTTCCTCTCAGTCTTCCCATCTGAATAAGAAAGGGTGAGACTCAGTGTCCATCCCCACAAGGGACTCTCTGAGTCTGAGACACTTTGTCGAACTTGGACTCTCTATGGCTTTGGGATGGAGGCCTCAAAGCCTCTTGATGCTGTCTCGCAGTTGAGCTGGGGAGAGGTAGCTCAGGACTGAGGAAAGAAGTTTAGATGGGTTGGGGGTATCCTCGGAGGAAACTGGGGTGTCTGGGGTGGCGTAGACATCCCGGGATAGAGAACCTGGATAGCAGGAGTGCTGTCACTGTCTTCTTGTCTTGTGCTGGCCTGTTAGACTGTGTCCAGGAGGGATGATAGGGTGGGGGCTTGACCTTTGACTGGCATCACTGACCCCCTCCTCCTCTGTTTCTGCAGAAGCTGCAGAGATAATGCGGGATATTGGCACTGCCATCCAGTTTCTGCACAGCCATAACATTGCCCACCGAGATGTCAAGGTGAGGCTCCAGGATTCAGGTTGGGGGCCCGGGGAAGAGGATATTGTCCCACTCCACAATCCCTGATGGCATCCAGGACCCACTGGATGGAGGCCATGTTCCCTAGTCACATTCAAAGCCTCTGCTCTGTGTCCCAGACTGCTTTTCTCAGCCTCTTCTCTAGTTTCAGCATACTCATTCTGTTCTCACCAGGTGGGTCCCCTTGCTTCTTTCAAACACTGAGTAATCCAAATAGTAATAAGAATAACTGACTGCCTGCCTAAAGCCAGCGGGCCCTGACAAGCAATCTCATTTCATTCTCACCCAGCCTTGTGAGATAAGTGCCATTACCCATTTTACAGATGAGGAAAACAAGGCTCAGAAAAACATTAAGTGACTTGCCCAGGGGCTGTGTAGTTGCTGCACTGGGATTCATTCATTCATTTGTTTACTTGTTCAGCAAGAAATTTTGTGTGGATGCAATGTGCCAGGCCTCAGGCAGGGGCTGCCTGATGCTGTTGGTTTTTTTTGTTTTGTTTTATTTTGTTCTGTTTTTTTGAGACAGAGTCTCACTCTGTCACCTAGGCTGGAGTGCAGTGGCGCAATCTCGGCTCACTGCAGCTTCCGCCTCCCAGGTTTAAGCGATTCTCCTGCCTCAGCCTCCCAAGTAGCTGGGACTACAGGCGCACACCACCACACCTGGCTAATTTTTGTATTTTTCGTAGAGATGGGGTTTCACCATGTTAGGCAGGTTGGTCTTGAACTCCTGACCTTAGGTAATCCGCCCGCCTCGGCCTCGAAAAGTGCTGGGATTACAGGCGTGAGCCATTCCACCTGGCCCTGTTGCGGCTTTTGTGAAGTCACAGCCATAGCTTTGACAGATCAGGCCCCCTGATACCAGCATTTTAAGGGAAAGAAGCCATTTGCTGAGCCCTGGAGGAAGGAACAGAGGTAGTGCCAGTTGTTGGGCCACCTTCCAGTCTTGAGGCTGGAAGCTCAGCTCTCCAAATTTCCTATCCTGGGAGGACTGGGTCTTAGAGGTCATCTGGATCAGATGGATGAAATGCAAACCAAGGCAGCACACACATGCATGTGCACACAAGCATGTGTGAGCACTATCAGAGCAGAGTCTGCTCCTCCTGGGCCCTCTGCCCCAAGCCTAGAACGTTACCTTCCTTGGCTTATTTCCTCCTCAGACTGGGCAGAGGCGAGCTGAGGTTACAGCTGCTGCATAAGGTCCTCCCTCTGGCTGAGCACCCCAACCTGTAAATCCTTGCTTTATTTGGACCCTGGCTTTTTTTTCCCGAAGAGAGAAAAGCCTTCTGCAGAGGAGATTCCCTTGAATAGACTAAAACTGCTTCTCTGTTTTTATCACAATTGAGAAGGTCAGATCTTCTCAAATGGAACCTGAGAAATAGCATCCATTGGTTCTAAACCACCACCCCATCCTTCTACCAACACCCCATCCTTCTACCCCGGCTCTGCTTGGGGGTCTCTTCTGCCCCTCTCCATGGGCCTACATCCTACCTACCATTCATTAAAAACCAGTTTCAGGGACAGACCTCCCTACTGCCCTCATCTGCCAGGCCCCTGGCTACTCCTGGGACACAGGAAGATTGCCCCTGTGCAGCTCCTGGGGTCTGGGGTCTGAGCAACCAGGGCCTTCTCCCCTGAGCAACCTCAGATGGGGCTGTCCTTCTAGCCCTGTAGGATTCACTCTGGGCTGGGTATGGGACATGTGCTTGGCAATACTGACTTATGAGCAGCCTGCCTTCCCCCAGCACCCTTGCTCTAGCATTTCATGGCAATGTCACCAACTCAGGATCAGAAGTTCCTGCTCCGAGGCTTTCTATGGCACTTGGTCATTCACAGCCTTGGCTGAGCACCTGCCTTGCTTCCCCTTTTGTGAATGAAGGTAGCACCTTGGGTTTCTCTATATTTGGCCCATGTTAGTGGGCAAGGCCCGGGTCTTTTTATAAATGGACCTGGCTCCTTCTGCACTGGGATGGAGTCGGGGAGTCTGGCTGAAGATCACCTTGGGGCTCTGCTCCTGCCTGGTTCCTAACTCCAAACCAATGTTTTCTCTTTCTGGCCCAGCCTGAAAACCTACTCTACACATCTAAGGAGAAAGACGCAGTGCTTAAGCTCACCGATTTTGGCTTTGCTAAGGAGACCACCCAAAATGCCCTGCAGACACCCTGCTATACTCCCTATTATGTGGGTGAGTCCTTCGGACATGAGTTGTAACTCCTCACCCCAACTTATACAGCTGTATTATGGGGTAGCCAGTGGGTTGCAGAAACCAAAGGGTTAAAGCCCAGCAAGGAGGGAGGGGGAGAATTCTGTCTGCATGGAGGCGGGTGACGTGGGGGGCCGGAGGCTGCAAAAATATTCTCCCAAACTTCAGCTTCTGCTTTTGAAAATAGATCCAGGAAAATTCTGGCTGTGGCCTGTGAGCTGAATGACATCACAGCAGCTCTAAATATATATGTGATAAAAGGCTGCCATCAGCTTGGGACGGAGCCCAACCGCGGTTGTTTTTCTCTAGTTTTTGTCTTCCTGGGATTCATATTCAGAAAGTGGGCATGCATTTCCTCCTAACTTGGAGGGACAAAGGGTACCAGTCACCTGCCTTGTGGGAGACGGTCACTAAAGCCAGGGCTTGGAGGTGTGCACATACTCATGCTTCCTGGAAAAGTTCACTGCCCTTCTGCAAGTGGGCAACCCCCGGATCTGAAAATGTTCCTTGCCAAAACTGCCCCCTAACCTGAGAGTGGGGTGATGACAGAGGGCTTTTCTCCCTCAGAAGAGGTCTTCCTGGAGGGCTGCTGAAGGGGTGGGAAGTTCCCTGAGACAGTTGAAATGGCACTCTGTTAACTAGGATGTGTTTTGCACTAAGTATTTTAACTTAGAAATCTTCTAGCCTACCCACCTCATTGCACAGGGAAGACAAAGGCTCCATGGATTGGTAGCCAAGCTGATGATGGAATGCAGAGCCCTGTCCCTGGTTCTTCCTTGCCTGTGACCTAGGCTATGCATTCAGGGAGGCAAGGGACACAGGACAGCTGGCAGGCCAAGACCCTCTCACCTACGGTAGCTTCCCACCAAGCCCCAGACTGGCCTTCTCTTCTCTTCTTTCACCAAGGTTGAGACTGGTAGAGGGGCTCAGGCCCAAGGGAGCTAGGGGTATGTCTGAAAGTGGTTGATTTTTTTCCAGGAGCTTTCTCCTCCCCCAACTTCACACACATGCTGCCTTTCCAAAAGGTGCCAGACGCCAGTCTGCTCTGCCCTACCTCCCAGCCCAGGTACCTGCTCCCCACCTTGCCCAGGCTTTAGGCTCCTGCCTGGGCTCCAAGACCCTTGGGTCTGAGAGCCCTGCTGTCCCTCTGCCCTGGCAGCCCCTGAGGTCCTGGGTCCAGAGAAGTATGACAAGTCATGTGACATGTGGTCCCTGGGTGTCATCATGTACATCCTGTGAGTACCTTCCCCACCCCCTGCCTCCATCTCCTGCCCTTACCCCCACTGTGAGCCCTCAGGACCACTTCTGTCCCCCCACCCCCATGTCCTTGGTGAGGAGCTTGTGTGTGTCACTCCTCATGCAGGCTGCCCTTCCCTTTTGGTCATGGGACACCACTCCTTCAGGTGCCTGAGGGTCTCCCCATGCCAAGGGCTGATGGCATTCCTGGGATGTGCCTGGGAGTCCGGAGGGCTGGTATTATTGCTATGGTGTCTGGTTGTCTGTCTCCCCAGTCAGGGGCTTTTGAGGGGAAATGGGTCCACCCTGGCACTGCTCCCACCCTATGCCAAATGACTTACCCCTTCCCCCAGCCTTTGTGGCTTCCCACCCTTCTACTCCAACACGGGCCAGGCCATCTCCCCGGGGATGAAGAGGAGGATTCGCCTGGGCCAGTACGGCTTCCCCAATCCTGAGTGGTCAGAAGTCTCTGAGGATGGTGAGTGAACCTCTCTGTCCCAGCCTGACTCACCTGGCCCCTGCGGCTTTCATTCTGGGAAACATCACTTTGGTGTCAAACTGACCTGTGTTCAAATCTTGGCTCCCCCTCTTTCCAGCTATGGGACCCTAGGCAAGTCCCCTAACCTTCTTGAGCCTCAGTTTCTACATCTGCCAAACAGGCTCAAAACTTGCCTCCTCAAAACTCCCTCTAACTCCTATTCCTCATTCATATTTTCCCCTTTGAGGACCACAAACAAGGCTGCCCTGTATGAGTTATCTACTGCTGCTTAACCAATTATCCTGAACACTTAGTGTTTCAAAACAAGAAATAGTTGTTAGCTCACTCTTTCTGTGGGTTGGGAATTTGGGAGCACATGCAGCCCCTGCCCCAGCAGAGCTTGTGGTCTGTGGGGAAGGGTGGAGGGGCTGGCTCTGCAATCTCATCTCTCCCCTCTCTTCCCTGGCCCCCCTAGCCAAGCAGCTGATCCGCCTCCTGTTGAAGACAGACCCCACAGAGAGGCTGACCATCACTCAGTTCATGAACCACCCCTGGATCAACGTGAGCCCCTCCTCCTCCCATGGCAGGCAGGGTGTCCAACAGGAGTGGGGCTGCCGGGCAGGAGGGTGGTGGCTCTGCTTTGAGGCCCCAGTGCAGGGCTGGAATGGGCCCATGCACACAGGTAGATACTAGGGCCTCACCTACAACCTGGCTTTGTCACTGCCCTAGTGAGGCTCCTTCCCCACCCTGAGCCTTGGTTTTTCCATCTGAGTCTGGGAGAAGAGGATGGAGTAGGGGGAACCAGTGCTGTCCCAGGTGCCTCCAGTTTCTAATCCACGGGCGTGGGGCTCCTTCCAGCAATCGATGGTAGTGCCACAGACCCCACTCCACACGGCCCGAGTGCTGCAGGAGGACAAAGACCACTGGGACGAAGTCAAGGTGGGTGGGCTCTGCCTCAGTCTCAATACAGGTGCCAGGATTTGGGCAAAAGGGACTTCAGGGGGGTGGCTACCCAGGGTCTGGGGTCTTTGGCCCCTTTCTATACCTGGAGCACAGGGTGTCAGTGACTGTCGCAGTGGTCCAACCATGGCACTCCAAGGATTGGGCCTCACTACGCCATTCAGTGTGGTGCTCCTGGCTCACTTCCTCAATGAAACGGGGCTTTGGTACCAAGCTTGGATGATGACCTCTCTTATAACCAACAACATTTGGGAGGGTGGTCAGCCTGGTTTAGACCCAGCAGAGGCCACGTTTGAACATATGGAGTAGCAGCTCCAGTGGCACAATCTCCAGGCCCCAGTGCGCTGGTTGCCCAGCGAGATGGCATTCTCTGCAGGTCTTGTGGTTCTGTGGTGGAACTGGTTTAGTTCACTATCCCACTTACCCTTGGTGTGGTCCGAGGGAGTAACTCTCCTTTTGTGCCTTAGTGAATAAGCTCAGTGTCTACCACAGAGGACGGTAGTGAGGATCATGTGATGCAAAGGGCTTGGCCCAGTGCTGGGCACACAGTGGGCACAGAGGCAGCACAGGCTGTCACTGACATTAAGGGGCTGCCCAGGCAGGGGGGTGATGGTTCCTAAGGTCAGTACATCCTGACCTCTTAGTGCCCACCATCCTGTCTGTCCCCAGGAGGAGATGACCAGTGCCTTGGCCACTATGCGGGTAGACTACGACCAGGTGAAGATCAAGGACCTGAAGACCTCTAACAACCGGCTCCTCAACAAGAGGAGAAAAAAGCAGGCAGGCAGCTCCTCTGCCTCACAGGGCTGCAACAACCAGTAGCTCATGGGGCCTTGGAGGAGCCTGGCCTCTCAGCCTGCATAACAGACTGAAATGTGCTCAGGCCCTGGCCAGGAGGGCCCAGGGTCATTCTTTTAACAAAAGGATTATTTTGTTGTGTTTTAATTTGTCACTCGGAACTTCAGGATGGAGGACCCTGACCCTAAACCTCCTTCAGATCTCTGGCCCAGGCTCAAGCCCTAGAGATGGGCAGGGCCTAGGGGCTGGGAGCTGCCTGCTGCCATAGCAGCACCTTTAGCTAGGTTGGCCCGAGTGAGGCCTCTGTGCTGTCCTGCCCTGGTGCATGGCCTTAGCTTTCTAGGCCACTGGGAGTTGTGGCTGGGCTTCCCATCTTCCACAGAGACATCTCCCTGTGGGATGGGCAGATGGGCCTGGCCTTGAGAAAGGCATTGGCCATTGGTTGCCATGGTGACCAGGGACCACGTTGCTGCCTGTGAATGCTGAGTGAGCGAGTAAGGGAGGAGGGGCGATTGAGGGTTCACCTCTGCCTTGGGGAGGCTGATTTCTCACACACTGGCTGGCCCTCTCATTCTCACTCCTCCTTGGGCCCTGAGGCTGCTGGATCCGGTCTGCCTGCCTCCCTGTGCAGTCCAGCCCTGCCTTGCTGCAGCCCCAGCCCAGATGGCACTCAGCGCTCTCCCCTGAGGGAGTCCCTGGGCCTAGCCATCCCCTCACTATTCCCGACCCAAAGGGTGACTTTTCATCTGAACTTAAGGTGGGAGATATTTTTAACTTTTTTCCACTTTGGAAAATGTCACTGTGACAAAAGCCAGCATACTTTCCCTGCACCCATCTGCTCACCAGATCTCAGGCAGGAAAGCCCCTCTCTGTTGAAGTCAGGGGCTATCTTTTGGTATACTTGTGTGAAAGTGGCTGGTTGGGAGCAGAGCTAAGTGGCTTCCCATTAACCTGAGGTCTCTTTCTTTACTCTGGGTCAGACCTGAGGTTGGGGAAGGCGACTGAGCCATGCTCAGAATGTCTGGTCCTGGCTTGGGCCTGAGTAGGGCAGAGAGGGCCTTTCCTGGCTGATCAGAGCTTACCAGCCCCACCCCACCATGGTAGCCTTAGGGTGCTGAGTGCCTGATACTGCCTGACAAGTGCCTGACACGCAGCCTAGTTCCTTCCTGGCCCCTCTCTCACTGGCTGGGAAACCCTAGACCATGTCAGATAGGACAACACTGCTGGGTTTTACATCCAGATAGTAATAAACACCATTTCATCATTTTCTCTTGGCTCCTGGGTTTACTCTTTGTCTACAGGGGTGGACAAAGGTGGCCCAAGGGCAGCTTCTCAGACCCACTAGTGATTTCACCCCAGCTGGAGGGGGTGCCTCAGGCCTGATAAGCATGCCATGCTAACTCCAAGGCCAGAGTCCTCGCCAGGCCTAGAAAGGTCAGAAGAGCTGAGGGATGGCAGCTGCCACATGCCCCCAGCTCTGTGCTGCCCCTGTGCAGTGTGTGTGACACCTACCCCCGGTCCTGTGTGTGCCAGCATCTGCCCAGAGTGGCCACCCCCAGCTGTGTGCCAGCCTGCTGAAGGGCGGGCAGAGTGCCTGCTGCAGCGCTGAGCTATTTTCAGAAACTGCCAGATTTCATTTGGCAGTGAGAATATCGAGGAGGGGAGGGGGCGGCATGCTGCAAGACTGTCTTTTGACTACTCCAGTAAGAGAGCACTCTCACCCCTCCGGAGCCCTTGTGGGTAGCTTCAAGGAGGGCCCTAACTGTGGCATTTCTCTCCCAGCTCCTATCTTGAGAAACCTCCCAGTTTTCCAAGAGCTCATCTGCTGCCTGCAGCGCTCTCTCCTCCACCCCCACTTCCTTCAGGGCGTGGGGGAGGGTGCAGAGATGCTGGAAGGCAGGGGACAGGCAAACACGCCTGAGATGTTCTGCTGCTTCCCAGCCTGGTGACCTTGGGAGCTTTCTTGGCCTCAGTTTCCTCAGCTGTGTCCTGGCGATGATAATGCCCATCTCATGGAGTCATGTGGGGGATTTGAGCAGATGATGTGTGTGAAGTACTTAGTGAGGTGCCAGGTGCGTGGCTCATGCCCCACACTCATTAGCTACTCTAACATCCTTAGTCATCAGGAAGGAGAGAAGTATCTAGAGTTATATCTAGAGTATCTAGAAGTCTCTAGAAGAAAAAGCAGCCCCAAGTCTGCCTCAGGAAGGAGAGAATATCTAGAGTATCTAGAAGTCTCTAGAAGAAAAAGCAACCCCAAATCTACCTCAGGAACTTTCTATCCAGACAATCAGGGCTTCCTCACCCATGGGGTTTCATTTCCAAGGGCCTGCTCCCCAGAGCAGCATCATGTGGGCCTCCTGGGCTTTGTTTCCAGTACTGGGCTTCCAGGAGGGTAGCCAGATAAATTCAAGAGACTCCATGGAGCCTGTGGTTCAGCCCAGCCTTCCTAGTATACCCTACATTTGGAGGAATGCTGGCCAGATGCAAAGGTAGATGTAGTCCATCTAGTCTCAAAGCTGTGGAGGCACAGATGGCCTTCCTTGCTTGGCTGCCAAGCATCCAGTGTACCTGAGATGCTGTGCTGGGTGCAAGGAAGGCTGCAGTGAGAACTTCAGACAGGGAGTTCACCTCAAGGTGTTTACATTCATGCGGGAGAAGGTGAAAACATCACATGTTGAAAAATGTTAAATTGGCCGGGCGTGGTGACTCACGCCTGTAATCCCAGCACTTTGGGAGGCCGAGGCGGGCAGATCACAGAGTCAGGAGATCAAGACCATCCTGGCCAACATGGTGAAACCCCATCTCCACTAAAATATAAAAAGTTAGCTGGGCGTTGTGGCAGGTGCCTGTAATCCCAGCTACTCGCGAGGCTGAGGCATGAGAATCACTTGAACCTGGGAGGCGGAGGTTGCAGTGAGCCGAGATTACGCCACTGCACTCCAGCCTGGCGACAGAGCAAAAGTCCATCTCAAAAAAAAAAAAAAAGTTTAATCAAGGTCTTGATATGATCTGTGATGGAAGAACATGGTTCCAGGAGAAGGAGGTGTCATGGGACAGTTTGAGCCAAAGAGAGAATATATGCATCCCAGTGCTGGGAAAGGTGCCTGATAGGATACAGGGTTGCAGGCAGAAGTGCAGGGACCAGGGCCTCAGGGACAGAGGGTCTCCCTGCTCTAGGACTCCCGTCTGCCACTCTGCTCTGCCAGTCTGTGCTTCTTCCTGGGGCTGTCCTTGATCCTTTGCCTGCACTGGGTTTTTTTTTTTGCCTTCTCCATAGCTCTGGCAAAACTAGAGCTGCAGAAGTTCTAGCTGGGGAGGTCATCTGCTCAGGTGTCCACATGTCAGTTTCAGGGGAGGGTTCTTGTTGGTCACATTTGGCCCCTTGCTGTTGTTGGGGAGAGGGTAGGGCCCCTCCTGTAACTAGGTGGGGAGGGGTGCCCTAGAAGCAGTTAGCAGAAGAGCAGATGGAAAGATTGCCCCATTATCTCCCACATCTGGCTACTTCCAAGAGCCCATGAGGAGTCTGGGCCAGCCGCTAGCCCAGCCCAGGGCCTGGCTCCGTGATCTCCAGCATCGGGTGTCGCTCTTACAAGCCAGGACTGGGAGGCTGGATGCCTGGCCAAGTCACATTCCTTTTTGGGCCTCAGTGTGGCTGTCCGTGAAATGGGAGCAAATCTCTGACAATCAGCTAGTATTAGGTGAGCTAAGAAGCCAAGTGGCCACTTGTTCTCATCAGCGAGTCCAGACGCACAGGCATTTGCATGAGCTCTATGATAACTTCCCTGGCAGCTTTTGGTAAGGAATTCCGTAAGAAGCTACTTGGGAGGCTGAGGCAGGTTGAGCCCAGGAGCTTGAAGTTACAGTGAGCCATGATTGTGCCACTGCATTCCAGCCTGGGCAACAGAGCGAGACTCTGTCTCTTAAAAAAAAAAATTCCATAAAAGTTATATACACACGTGTGCACATGCGTGTGTGTGTGTGACATCTCTTCCTAGTGATGTTCCCCCTGACCTGGCCAACAGCCCTGATTCTGTCCTCCAAACCTGATGCTGGCTGGCTTCCAATAGCCTGGCTCATTGCTATTCTACACCAGCCCCTCTCTGCCCTCAATTCAGCCCCTCCACTGCAGTGTCAGAATTGAGCCTCAAAATGCAGCCTGCTACAGCCTCTGCAGGGGTCTCCATGCTTCCAAGCCTGCTTGAAACTTTCTTTATGGCAGGCATGGGGAGGGGGGAGGGCAGGCCGTGTGTGGCTGTCACCAGACCTGGCTGCCTTGGGCCTGGCTGCTTTGGGCCGAGCCTTTGCATCCCTAGTGGGTCCTCACGGCTGCCCATAAACCCAGCAGGGTAAAATTCTTCGTTTTGTCATACTGAGCAGCCAGCATGCTTAACCAGCAGGCAGGGAAGGGTCTGGCAAGCCCACCTCCCCTGCTGTGTGTGGGATGGAGTGGGGTTGTCTAGAGCCAGGAGACCTGAGCTTTGGTTTACATGAGGCCTTGAGCAAAGCAGTTCTTATTTTTGAGGTTGCCCATCAGTAAAATGAGAGGCTGAATTAACAGGACCAGACTATTCCAGCACCCTTGACAGACACATCACCACCAGTTGATGGATTGTGAGGAATGCTCTATGTTCAGGCAGATCATGCATTTTTCCAAGCCTCAGTTTTCTTATCTGTTAGCATGATCCTCACAAGGATGGGGCAGGGCTGCAATGAAGACAGGGACAGGGATGGCCGAGCCCAAAGGCCTTGGTCACCAGCATAGCCCAAGCGTCTGCTAGGTGATGCACTAAGCTGCCCAGCACTCTGCCAGTTCTACCCTCTCTGTGTCCCCTGACCAGGAGAAGGCAGCTGTTGACTCAAGGGAACAAGTTCCCTGGGGCTCAGAGGAGCTGGCAGAGAGGTTAATTGGGGTGTGGGGCCACCTGCTGGTCACCTGGGTGAGTATTCAGTGGGCACCTACTGTGTGCCATAGCCTGAAGGAGCTGTGGGGCAGGGGAGAGACCACAGCACCATAATGAATAGCTGACACTTATTGAGTGCCTACTGTGTGCCAGGACTGTGCTAAAGCTTTACATGGATCATCTCACTTAGTCCTCACTTTCTCATCTTACAGGTAGAGAAACTGAGTCCCAAGCTCTTAGCCGCTGCTCTCTGTGCTAGAGGAGGTCAAAGGAAGGAAATGCTGTTTTTGGCTAGGGGCAATCACAGAAGACTTCCAAAAGGTGGTGACAATATGAACTCAAAGGGAAAGCCAGATTTGGATAGACAAACATTTAGGGACTTAGCTGGCAGGTACACGGGGAGGCAAGGCATTTTGTGTGAAGAATGGAAAACAAGTCTATTTACTGGGTGAGAGGCAGCCATGGCACAGGGGTCTCTCATTTCCTTGTCCCATCTCCTGTAGGAAGTCAGAATGGGGTGCTCAGGGATGAGACAATGGGCCCCTGGTAATAGCTCCTCTCTCTTAGAGCCCCCAGGGTTCTCCCATGGGTAGTGCATTCCCCCTCCACATGTGCACCTCTGGCTCCTCTGGAGATACACTCAACCAATGTGTCAGACAATCTATCCATCCCCTCTTACTGCTCCAGCATTTCTGGTTGATTTCAGAGTTGGCTGTTAGAGTTGGGGCCAGATCTTTTCACATTGGACTCCCTGAACCCCCCAGGATTTGGTGAAGGAGTCCTAGGACCCTCCACTTTTGCTTCCAACACAGCTATTTTATAGATTGGTGTGCTGAGATTTAATTTGAACAAGTTTACATGCATTAAAAAAGTTTATGGAGCACTGAGCTAGACATTAACAAAACTGATCTCAAATTTTGCAAGGCAGGCATTAAGATCTCCATTTTACAGATGGGAAACCAAGACTCGGAGTAACTAAGTGGCTTCCCAAGGTTCATGGCTGGTGAGGACAGGAGGCAGGGCTCTGACATGGCAAAATGGCTACAAGATTGTCCTTTCTCCTATGGTTCCTGCCCTCAGAGAGTCCATACTTCATGGGCACAGGCACCTGCTGGCATTGTCTGGTGGGGCGTCACTGGTGCTGACAAAGGGAGCAGAGATGACTGGGTGGTCGTGGGTGTCTTAGGCAGGCTTGCTTTCCCCTTTCTGGAGAGTTCACTCTGGACAGAGACAGTTGGGGCAAAGAGTGGGTGGTGGCAGCAGGGGAGGCACTGGGAAGCCTGCCTTAGCCTATAAACCCTGCCCCAGTGTAGAGGCTGTGTAGATAAAGCAGATGACACCCCCATTCCCATTCCTGATCTTGATCTGTGTTCACAGCAAGCCACGGAGTAATCAACCCTCAGACCTGGCAGAGATGCTCTGTGTGGGAATGAGGCAGGCCCCTCAGCCACCTCTTGAAGCAGCACCCCTAGTGCAGGGACTCTCCCCCAACCAGTCTCCCTTCCAGGTGATGGGACCTTGACTCATGGGTCATGTTTCCCCCACATGAGCTACTAGGGCTGGATGGAGGGTCTCAGGGCCCACTGAAAAGGCCCAGGGGCTGAGGGGCTGGGCTCTTAGCTGTGGGCCTGGCCTGTTTGAGCCATGCCTTGGAGCTCATGTTTTAGCACCTAGCGTGTGCCAGACATATCTCGTACTTGACTTTGTTTACTTTTCTGTTCTTCCAGTAGCCCTCCCAGGCAGAGATTATGCCCACTTTGCAGATGAAGTCACTGAAACTTGAATAGTAGCAGAAGAAACTTCCCAGGTTCCTATGAGTGGTGTGTGGCAGGACCAGGGTCTGAAGCTAGGGGCATGGAGCCTCACAATCCCCTTCCTAATGGGAAGGCTATCCCTGCCCAAAGAGTTCCAGTGTCATCTGACCCCTTCCCTGATCTGGTCTAGCTGGAGGAGATGTCATAAACCCATTCCTCCTCTGCCCTGATCTTCTATGCCCCTGGATGCCAGAGGAAGGATTCTTGGGTGTGACCTTCTATGGCCTCTGGTCCCTGAACTTGGGCAAGGAGTGCCTGGCACCTCTCAGGATGCTTTAAAGTCAGAGTGCTTCCCTGCAGAGGAGACAGATGTTGGGTCTGAGTCACACAGCTTGGGATCCCCTTCTGACTCCACTCTGTGACCTTGGACAACTCTCTTAATCTCTCTGAGCCCATTTCCTCATTAGAACATATGGATAGCAATGCCTGCCCCCCAGACTGTGAGACTGGGAGAGGTAAGGCATGACAGTTTGCTGAGCTCCCAGCATGTCATAGGTCCTGAAAAAATTCACGTCACATATGAGACCGTGTGGGGCATGATGGTGTTTAAGGAAGTATTGAGTCACAGGTTAAAGCCTTTAGAAAGGAGGCTGACTTCCTGGGAGAAGCTGCAGTCAGAGCTCCTGTCTAACTGAGCCACCCACCTGCCCTTGAGGCCTCTCTCTCTCTCTCTGAAGGTTCCTGCCAGGCCAGGCCCTAGTAGGCTGTGCAGTGGGACTCGCCAGGGCTGCTATGAAAGACAGGTGAAGCAGGGGAGGCTCTGCCCAGTGCCATTAGGCAGGTCCAGAGAACCCCTCCTTACAGGATCAGGAAGGGAGCCAGAGACTGTGGCTCCCTTTGTACCAGCTGGTGAGGGGATGGACTGGCCCAGTGTGCCTCCTGTGGGCAGGTGTCTCTGTGCTGTTGGCTGAGCCAAGTTAAGCAGACAGGACTCCTTCTACAATGATGGAACCTACAGCCAAACAGTGGAGTGACAGACAGGGACAGAAGGGTTGGGGGGTGGGGAGTATCTCTGAGAAGGGGACACTCAGCCAAGGATGAATGACAAGAAGTTGATTATAAGAAAAGAGAGGCTGGGCATGGTGTCTCTTGCCTGTAATCCCAGCACTTTGGGAGGCCGAGGTGGGCGGATTACCTGAGGTCAGGAGTTCAAGACCAGCCTGGCCAACATGGTGAAACCCTGTCTCTACTAAAAATACAAAAATTAGCCGGGTGTGGTGGCATGCGCCTGTAATCCCAGCTACTTGGGAAGCTGAGGCAGGAGAATTGCTTGAACCTGGGAGGCGAGGTTGCAGTGAGCCGAGATCACACCACTGCACTCCAGCCTGGATGAAACAGCGAGACTCTGTCTCAAAAAAAGAAAAGAAAAAAAGGAAAAAAAAAAAAGAAAAGAGAAGAAGGGCATCCCAGGAAAGAGAATAGCAAACGCAAAGGCCTTATAGTGGAAACAGCCTTTGAGAATCTGAGGAGCAGAAAAGAACACAATATAGAGAGTGCTGGTCTTGTTCAGCCTCCCCAGGACAGAAGTGAGCATATGGGCACACTTATGTGACCCAAGGAAGTCAAGATTTTTGAAGACACCTTTCTCTAGGTTCTGCCACTGACCACCCAGGACAGAATGAGTCCAGGGCTCAGGATGGGTTGGCCAGATGTGAATCAGCCCCCACCTGGCCCTTTACTTTACAGATGGAACACCAGCTCCTAAGATGGCTTTGATATCTAATTGCTGGCAATAAATTAAACCCACAAAACGGTGGATGCAAAGCTCATTGGGGCTGTTAACATCAGCAAAGCCAGTGGCTGTGCCTGTTTTCACACCAAGATGCCGTAAGATACAACTCACCTCTGGAGATAGATTACATGGAGATAGGGCTCTGCCCTTTGGGCCTGGAAGCGAGAGGGTCGATTCCTGTTACTGAGCTCCTGTAACTAGGCTTGATCTTATCACAGTTATATGAATGCTTGGGAGGGAGATCCTGGAGTAGGGGTGAGCAGAGATTTTCAGCAATAGTCATATACTCTAATCTCAGCCAGCAAGAGACAAGCCCCTCCTCCCTCTAGCCCGTGAGTGAGTGCAGGCTAGGGGCCTGGCTAGGAGCACTGCCAAGGGATGAGGGGATCCCAAGGTGTTCTTCCTGGGACAGCCATCCTCCTCCTATGGCCACCTTTCCCAGCCTGCCCTGAGAAGGTTTTCTTCCTTCTGTTGCTCTGGAAGTCAGGTGGGTTTCCTGAGAGAGTTAGTTCCATGGAATAAATACTTCCCACCTGAAGCTGGGAGGGCTGCCTGGAGGAGGTTAGGATGCCGTGCATGTGTGAAAGGGGGTTTAGGGAAGGAGCAGGCGGCCAGTTTCCACGCTCTGGAGGGAAGATAGTCAGAGGTCAGCTGAATTGTCCAAGGTTGCCCAGAAGGTTAGTAGCTGGACCTATGAACAAAAGAAGGCTCCCTGGAGATGGTCTGAAATGTAGGGGCAGAGGAAGATGGCATCAGGACTGGAGGGACTTAGAAGAGCTTGTGGCTCTAGCTTCAGGACTTCCGATGATTCCTCCTTAGAGTATGATCACCCTTAGAAAAAGATGGTACCTCTTGGGCCTCTGCACTTTCTTGCCTCCATGTTTGTCCTCTTGGACTGGCCAAACCCAGTCTTCCAAGGATGGAAGTGGATCCAGGAAAAATGAAAGTTGACACAGGCATGGTTCAGAAACAGCTTGAGAGCTGGAATGGACAGGCAGTTCTAAATAGACTCTAAGACGGTCAGAGCTGGAAAGTACCATTTGATTCTCATTTTATAAATGAGAAAACTGAGGCTCAGAAGCCAGCTACCCAGCTTCGACTGTCTCGCCCAACATGTGCACCCCCTGTCCCCTGGCTGGGCCACCTTGCCTTCCCTGGCCTTAGAGTTCCCTCTCAGGTCTTTCTGGCTCTCACCTTTTCCTGCAGAGCTGTTTTCCATTTTTGCTTATTCCTGAAGGGGACTTTATCGATGACCGGTTTTGTGGCATCCATGGCTCTTAATTAGGCTTCCTTAGGCCTCCTTTCAGAAGGCTTTGAGTGAAAAGACCATCAGTATTTGGCACTGGCATCAGTGTAAAGGGCTCTGCCCATAGCACGGAGAGAAGGGCAGATGTGCAGGGAGACTGGTGCTGAATTACTGGGGCCTAGAGAGCCTGGAGGCCTGAAGAGGGTTTTTCAGACCCCATCCCATGCATGTTCTGCTGGAAGCCAGAGGCCCTTCAAGCCTGAGAGCCCTGGCTTCTGGGCTGGCTGCTGACGTCCCCCTCCCTACCACTCTCAGGACAACTGCCCAAAGGCTGGACACACACAGGGATTTCCTGGCTGCATCCTGTGAATGGAGTGGGGCTGAGGAGATGTTGGAAGCCATAGCCTGGCTGAGTTGAAGTCCCTACTCTCCAGCTGGAAATATAGCCACTGCCTATAGGCTCTTCAGCATAACGATGTCTTTCAGAGAATCAGGGCTATGGAGATCACGAGAGGAGAGTAGTAGTTTTGCTTGGCTTTGGAACTTGAGGTGGGTTTGGAAGGAAGATGGAAGGTCAAAGCAGAGAGGGCACAGCATGGCTCTGGGAATGGTCTTGCTGATTTGGGTGTGGGGAGTGTGGATAGGAAAGGGCGGGCCTCTCTTAAGCTTTAAGTGCCCAGCCTGGGGTGGAAAAAGAAATGCCAGGCTGAGTATGGACACCACTCTGGAGGCAACAGGGAGCCATTAGGGACCCTTGGACTGAAGAGAAGTGACAAGCGAGTGGTTTGGGGCAGCTTCGCCTGGGAATTGGCAATGATGAAGCCAGAGTGGAGGAACTCTCCTCACAATTTCTCCCAGATTCAAGTAGCACGGCCTCAGGGCAGACGTTCCTCTCCAAGGGTGACTGGGACTGTGGCTGGATGCTCAGAGACAGCCCAGGATGATTCCCATGCGAATCACCATCAACCCCTGGCTCATGCCCACCCTTGGTTAGAGTCTTCCTTGACAAGCTCTCCCTGGGGCATTCTTAAGCCAGCACCAGTTGTGTTTTCCAGGTGAGCCGAGCAGTTCTCATGTTGCCAGACCTGAGGTTCCTCACTGCCTGGGACCTCCTGTCCAATGGAAGGAAAAAGGAAAACTTGCATTATTGACAGATGGATCCTGAACCCCTCAGCTCATGTAACCCTTGCAGCAGTCACAGGCAGGTGCCATTCGCACCCATTTTATACCTAACACCTCCTGATGAGCCAAGTCTTCTCAGACTCCACAGTCCCTGCTGGTCCCTGGACTCTGGGGTTACCCCGGCTCTGGGCCCCATCAGAACCTCCCTGGGGCCTCCACCTTGAAAACCTGCCTGAGCGTGGATGGTGCATGCATTTACTGCAGGCTCCTTGAGTGATACTGCTCCACAACTGGGTCTGGGGAGGTTGGCCCCAGGTGGCCACCTCTAGTGGTCTCTTTCTGGCTGGTGGTTGCCAGCATCAAGAACCACCATCACTTCTCACACCATTCAAGAAGCCCTCAGGGTTTTCTCTGCATTTAGAAAAGAGCACAAAAACATAGGCTATATCCTGGAAGTGGGCAGGGGATAGGGGAAAGCCTCTCCCACTTTCCTCTTCCCCAAAGTATCTTCCACAGCTTCCAGACTTGTCACTATGGAGTGTCACAGTCTTAGGTTTGGTAATGCTCACTCCAGGTTCTGCAAAAGTTTGAAGGTCAGCCTCTTAAAGATTGTGGTCGCTGGCCAGGCGCGGTAGCTCACGCCTGTAATCCCAGCACTTTGGGAGGCCAAGGCAGGCGGATCACGAGGTCAGGAGATTGAGACCATCCTGGCTAACATGGTGAAACCCTGTCTCTATTAAAAATACAAAAAAATTAGCCAGGCATGGTGGCGGGTGCCTGTAGTCCCAGCTACTCAGGAGGCTGAGGCAGGAGAATGGTGTGAACTTGGGAGGTAGAGGTTACAGGGAGCCAAGATCGCGCTACTGCACTCCAGCCTGGGCGACAGAGTGAGACTCCATCTCAAAAAAAAAAAAAAAAAAAAAAAAAGATTGTGGTTGCTGCTTTCCCTGGATATAGAGAAGGGGTTTTGGTGTCAGGAAGTCCTCGGAACTCTGGGGCTGGCTGCTACGGCTGATCTTGGACAAGTCTCTTCTGTTCTTTGCAATCTCAGTTCCCTTGACTGTAAAATGGCCAAAATTATGCTCACAGGATTATTGGGAGGATTTGACGTGAGAATACATGAGAAAATACCATAATTACAGAGTCTGGTGCTCCAAGAGTAGAATTACTTCAGGTTAGAGGGAGTTGGGGGGCCCTGGACCAGCTCTACAGAATGGAGAGATGAAAGGGGCTGGAGGGCGGGTAGCATCTGATCTGACAGAGAGGGCCAGAGCAATTATATTCATCCAGGGGCTCCTATGCCATGCGGAGGTCTCTGCTGTACTATTCCTGCCCTGCAGACATTAAGGGTAGTCTGCTGTTTACCTAGAAGAGTTTATATAGACAATAGTCAAAAGCCTGGGGTCCAGGGAGCCAGTATTGGGAGGCCAGTGGCCAGCCTGGAGGAAGAAGAGAGTAGGTGGAGAGAGCTGGAGACATAGTGCTCTTTTCCAAAGGCCACACCTATGCTCACGAACTTGGGTTATGCCTCAGGCCTTGGGTGCTGGGGGACAGCCCAACAGGAACGAGAACGTTTCCTAAGCAAAAGATAAACTCTGAGGGCACTACCTGGTTCCAGGCCCAAGGAAGGCGTGTTTTTAGCCCCCTGTTCCAGCCTCGTACCCTGGCAGTCCTGGTCCATCTTACTGAGCACATATCCGCACGCCTCATGCTCCCCAGGGCCAGTTTTGTAAGCCCAGAAGTCAAGGCCTAACTTGAACCTGATGAATGAATCAGATCAAATACATGCTGTATGCTCCCAGGCCTGATTTCTCCAACTCCTCCAGGCCACATCCAAGGGGGAGCTGCCGAAATGTCCATGCCTCAGTTTCCATGAGGAATAGCATTCAGCAGTTCAGGTCTGTGATGGACTCTAAGAACAGCGCCAGGGCCAGGCGCGGTGGCTCACACCTGTAATCACAGCACTTTGGGATGCCGAGGTGGGTGGATCACAAGGTCAGGATCACAAGGTCAGGAGTTCAAGACCAGCCTGACCAAAATGGTGAAACCCCGTCTCTACTAAAAATAGAAAAATTAGTTGGGTGTGGTGGTGTGCGCCCGTAATCCCAGCTACTCAGGAGGCTGAGGCAGGAGAATCGCTTGAACCCAGGAGGCGGAGGTTGCAGTGAGCCA
Organism: Homo sapiens; assembly: GCF_000001405.40. Taxonomy (NCBI): domain Eukaryota; kingdom Metazoa; phylum Chordata; class Mammalia; order Primates; family Hominidae; genus Homo; species Homo sapiens. Next base: position 50,661,013 of record NC_000003.12, read on the forward strand.
AGATTGCAACACTGCACTCCAGCCTAGGTGACAGAGTGAGACTCCATCTCAAAAAAAAAAAAAAAAAAAAAAAAAAAAGAACAGTGCCATAGGTTTGTCATGCTCAAACAAGTAGCTTCCAAAAGGAGCCAGCATGTCACTTGGCAAGAGTGGAAACAAGACAGAGAAGGGGGAGGTGTCATACACCGTTTTGTTTGTTTGTTTGTTTGTTTGTTTTTTGAGATAGAGTCTCACTCTGTTGCCTAGGCTGTAGTGCAATGGCACCATCTCGACTCACTGCAACCTCCCAGGTTCAAGCCTCCCAGGTTCAAGCTATTCTCATGTCTCAGCCTCAAAGTAGCTGGGATTACAGGCATGCACCACCTCACCTGGCTAATTTTTATATTTTTAGTAGAGACAGGGTTTCACCATGTTGGCCAGGTTGGTCCAGAACCCCTGACCTCAAGTGATCCGCCTGCCTCGGCCTCCTAAGGTGCTGGGATCACAGGCGTGAACCACTGTGCCTGGCCTTCATACACTTTTAAATAACCAGATCTCAGGTAAACTCACTTATCACCAAGGGGATGGCACTAAGCCATTCATGAGGGATCGGCCCCCCGTGATCCAAACACCTCCCACCAGGCCCTACTTCCAACGTTGGGGATTACATTTCAACATGAGATTTGGCAGGGACAAATGTCAAAACCATTCAGTCATAGATGGACATGTAAGAGGGAGAGAGGCACCAAGGTGACTGCTAGAGTGTTGCCTTGGGCTGCTAGAGAGATGGAGGTGCTGTCTCTTAAGATGAGGAGACTGTATGTGGAGGGGATGGTTTGCAGCATTGGCCACTCTCATTTCAAGATACTATTAGACATTCAAGGTGTCACGAAGGCAGTTGAAATGATGAATCTTGTGGCACAGCTTTGGGAGACATCATGATTTATATGGGGTCCAAAGCCACAAGATCAGACAAGAGGAGAGAATGTGCAGAGAGATGAAAAGGGGACTCAATCCTGTGGCAGAGGTTGGGGAGACATGAAGGATCCAGAAAAGTAGACTGAGAGGGAGCAGCCGGCTAAGAGAAAAAACAAGAGGTATAGTTTATTGGAAGCTTCTAAAAGCAAGTATCATAAGAAAGGGATGGTCACGGCTGGGCGGGTGGCTCAGGCCTGTAATCCCAGCACTTTGGGAGGCTGAGGTGGGCGGATCACGAGGTCAGGAGATTGAGACCGTCCTGGCTAACACGGTGAAACCCCGTCTCTACGAAAAATACAAAAAATTAGCCAGGTGTGGTGGCACATGCCTGTAGTCCCAGCTAATCAGGAGTCCCGAGGCAGGAGAATCGCTTGAACCCGGGAGGCAGAGGTTGCAGTGAGCTGAGATCGTGCCACTGCACTCCAGCCTGGGAGACAGAGTGAGACTCTGTCTCAGAAAAAAAAAAAAGGGATGGTCACTGTGTTGAATGCTGTTGCACAGGAAAAGTAGGATGAAGACAGAGAAGCAATAATCAGATTTGCCACCACAGACATCCTTGGTGGCCTTGGCATGGACGTTTCAGTGGAACAACAGGGCTGGAAGCCCAAATGGGGAGAAATGGGAGCTGTAGATATGGAGGTAGAGACAGTGAGTGCAGTGAAGGGGAGTGGCAGCCTTTTTCCAGGCACCCCACGAGGAGCCTTGAGCTCTGGGCTTCTCCTCTGGCTGACCAGAGCCCTCAGGGGCCATAGAGAAAGATAAAAATGGGTCCTATGTTCTGGAAGTCAGGGCCTGGGTTGGCCAGAGTGGATGAGTAGATGAGCTAGGCTAGGAAGGATGAATCAGGTACAAGAATCCATGTTCAGTCCTGTCACAGCTCTCTATCACAAGAGCCTAGCTTTGAAAACTACTCCCTGCTCATTAGCAGGAAGGATGAGCTCCAAAGAGGGTGGGCTCCAGAGTACAGGGTTGCCAGTGCTGCCCAGCTCCATGTCCCGTCTCTGTGTATTATTCTCTGAGAAAGTGATACGGCTGTACACAGGTAAATGTGTCAGAGAAGCAACACATAATCATTGGGAAATTGCAGAAAGGAGGAAAGGGTCTCTTCTTGGTATATTTTACTCTGGTTTGTATCTGCACGTGATTGTTCTTGCATAATTATAACCACACTGTGAACAGAGTTTTGGGCCTGATTGTTTTTTGCTGAATGTGACACACTAGACATTCTTTTTGTTGATAGATTGATTTCATGGTTGTTATTGGTTGCATACAATTGCATGGGGTAATGTCCCATGTTCAATAACTTCATCCCCTACTGGTAGTCATTTGGATTATTTCCAATATTTATAGACAATGTTACATTGGATATCTATAGAAATGAAACTTATCTCAATCCATTTTCACAGAACTAACATTTTTTGGGGGAAGTTCTTGATACCCACTTGCCACAGTGCTGGTGGGAGGGTCACCTGGACCCACCCTACTTCAAATAAGTAGCCTACTATTACACTAACTGCTTGCACACAGTCATTAATTTTTTTTTTTTTTTTTGAGATAGAGTCTCGCTCTGTCGCCCAGGCTGGAATGCAGTGGCGCAATCTTGGCTCACTGCAAGCTCCGCCTCCTGGATTCATGCCATTCTCCTGCTTCAGCCTTCTGAGTAGCTGGGACTACAGGCGCCCGCCACCACGCCCGACTAACTTTTTGTATTTTTAGTAGAGACTGGGTTTCACCGTGTTAGCAAGGATGGTCTTGATCTCCTGACCTCGTGATCTGCCCACCTTGGTCTCCCAAAGTGCTGTGATTACGGGCTTGAGCCATCGTGCCCGGCCCATTAAAATTTTTTTATTTGGGCCAGGCACGGTGGCTCACGCCTATAATCCCAGCACTTTGGGAGGCCGAGGCGGGTGAATCACTTGAGGTGAGGAGTTCGAGACCAGCCTGGCCAACATGGTGAAGCCCTGTCTCTACTAAGTAAATAGAAAAATTAGCCAGGTGTGGTGGCACGTGCCTGTAATCCCAGGTGCTCAGGAGGCTGAGGCAGAGAATTGCCTGAACCTGGGAGGCAGACACTGCAGTGAGCTGACATCGCACCACTGCATCCATCCTGGGCGACAGAGTGAGACTCCATCTCAAAAAAAAAAAAAAAAAAAAAAAGGCCAGGTGTGGTGGCTCACGCCTGTAATCCTAGCACTTTGGGAGGCAGAGGCAGGTGGATCACGAGTTCAGGAGATCGAGACCAACCTGGCTAACATGATGAAACTTCGTCTCTACTAAAAAAAAAAAAATACAAAAAATTAGCCGGGTGTGGTGGCAGGCGCCTGTAGAGCTACTTGGGAGGCTGAGGCAGGAGAATGGCATGAACCCAGGAGGCGGAGCTTGCAGTGAGCACCAACACGGTGAAACTCTATCTCTACTAAAAAAAAATACAAAAAATTAGCCGGGCATGGTGGCAGGCGCCTGTAGTCCCAGCTTCTTGGGAGGCTGAGGCAGGAGAATGGCATGAACCCAGGAGGCGGAGCTTGCAGTGAGCTGAGATTGCGCCACTGCACTCCAGCCTGGGTGACAGGGTGACAGAGTGAGACTCTGTCTAAAAAAAAAAAAAAGAAAAATTTTTTATATGATAGGCCAAAGAAGGGGTCTTCTTGGCCTGGCGTGGTGGCTCAAGCCTGTAATCCCAGCACTTTGGGAGGCAGAGGCAGGTGGATCATGAGGTCAGGTTTGGGACCAGTCTGGCCAACATAGTGAAGGCCTGTCTCTACTAAAAATACAAAAAATTAGCCAGGTTTGGTGGTGTGTCCCTGTAATCCCAGCTACTTGGGAGGCTGTGGCAGGAAAATTGCGTGAACCCGGGAGGCAGAGGTTGCAATGAGCTGAGATTGTGCCACTACACTCCAGCCTGGTGACAGAGCGAGACTCCATCTTAAAAAAAAAGAAAAGAAAAGAAAAGAAAAGAGAAGGGGTCTTCTTGTGGCTTCAATTTGTCTTTCTTTGGTAGTTAAAGAAGATGTTCATTTTCCTATCTTTTCATTTACTATTCTATTTCTCCTCACGGGAGGAAGCAGTTTCCATCAGGTGACCCAAATTTGTACCTTTCCCCGTGGGCTCTCTGAATGGCTCATCAGCCCTGCTAGGGCTGTTCTCACCAGCTAGAATGATGCAAGGTCAAATCTCTGTGTCCTCCTACATTGTCTCCACGCCTTCAGCCGGTCTTCATGGTTGCACTCTTCCTTCTAAATGCCTCATAGCAGCCTCCTGGCCTGCCCCACAGACTCCTCTAAGCCAACATTGACTATCCCCAGCCACTTCCCCTGGACCCTGAAGAGCCTTCAGAAAATATACTTTGACCCACTGACTAGTTTAGTCTCTACTGACTACTCAGAATTCTTCATAGTCTGCCTCCACCCACCTGCCACCCTGCCCCCACCCCCAAGGAAGTCTTGGGCTCTGGTCACACTGGCCTCGTCATTGCATCCCACTCATCTTGCTCTTCCTGCCTCTGTGCTTTGGTTCATGATACCACCCCCGAGAGTCATATCCACTTAAACTCATCCTCTGAGACCTTGCCTCCTCAGCCGAGCCTTCCCAGATTTTTCCAATCCACTCAGCCTCCCCTGCCTCTGAACAGCTGAAGCATTTATAGTCTATAGGGGCTCTCTGACAGGGTCACCAATAAGTAGTCCTCTTTCCCTCATCCAAGTTCTGAACAATGGAGAGATAAAAACTCAGATGGAGGCCAAAGCATTATCTTCTTTATTGAAGAAGGCTTAAAGGAGGAAGTGGCTTAGTGTGAAGTCACATGGGTCTGTGCTGGGCTGACTTTCCCCCTTCCCCTAGTCTCACTTGTTTTGGGTAAGTGAGGCCCCACACATCCCGGCCAGTGGAGACCGACACATAGAAGAAAGCATCGGAATGGGAAATCTGCCCCCCTCCTCACAGTTCATACCCCAGGAGCAAATGCTAAATACTGTCTTGAATTAACAGAGTTACTATGGGTTGGCCGGGCACGGTGGCTCATGCCTCTAATCCCAGCACTTTAGGAGGCCGAGGCGGGTGGATCATGAGGTCAGGAGATCAAGACCATCCTGGCTAACACGCTGAAACCCCGTCTCCACTAAAAAATACAAAAAACAGCTGGGCATGGTGGCGGGCGCCTGTAGTCCCAGCCACTTGGGAGGCTGAGACAGGAGAATGGTGTGAACCTGGGAGGCGGGACTTACAGTAAGCTGAGATCGTGCCACTGCGCTCCAGCCTGGGTGACAGAGCTAAACTCCGTCTCAAAAAAAAAAAAAAAAAAATAGAGTTACTATGGGTTTTGTTGCTTCAACTATGCTGGACCAACTATATGAGGTCCTTAAAGCCCAAGGTATGTGCAGCTTCTTATCTTCAAAGTGCCTTGGAGTAGGTGAAGAGGACTCCCTCTTAGCAAGCCCTTCCTTCTCCATGCACACTCACCCCAGTTAAGTCTAAAATTCTGTTCTGAGGACCTCATTTCCCTATGGACGCTGGTCTGAGTGTGCAGGCAGAACCATGGGAGCAAGCAGGGATATAACCAGTAATATTCACTCAGGTCTCAGTCAGGAGGGTGGCAGGGCCTTTCCCGAGGGCAGTCTTCCATGGGGGTGCAGGGCATGAAGGCACAATTGCCTTTGGTGCCTCTGTACTAAGATCAAGGAGAGAGTCAAACAAGAGGTTGGGATGGCATAGACATGTTTTGCTTAACTCACAATTGTGTCACAAGCCTCCTTTGGGCTTTTACTGGACTGATGATAAGTGATTGGATTATCCAAGACATGGGGATTAATTATTTTGGGCTGGACAGAAGAGTCCATGGACAGAGCTAGGTTACAAACTCCACTGCTCCACTGGCTGTTGCTTTCTGGAGGAATGTGAACTCTCATACAATTTGGAACCCACCTGGTAATGCCTGGATTCCAGAGCTGTGGGTGCACACACATCATTGCACCGTGTAGAATTAGAAAAAGATTTATCTAAAAATAACTACTGAGGAATATCTAATTTGATAGCAAGACTATGACTAATCCATGAAACAGACAGTCTGTGTGACAAGACACAGTACAATAATGGGGAGAAATTCATGTTTGACCTTTAAGCAAGTGCAAAATGAAACAGATCTATGCCTTGGCAGCTGAGGACCCTGTGGCTCTAGGGAGAGTGGCTGTGAGCAGGGGGTTTGATGGTCATGGAGGAGAACTGATGCAATATGTAGTTCTCAGGGGTGCTGCATCATGGAAATAGCTTAGGGAAATCAATTTCTTTTGGTGTTAAATAGAGAGAAGAGGCTCATGCTGAGTTAAGTGCTGGCTGGTAAGAGGCAGACGCAGGAGGCCAGCCCAGCTGCGCAGGGGTGACCAAACCAGCTCTCGCAGGCTAGCTTGGAGGAGAAGCAGATTCCACAAATGCAAGGAGACCCAGCATTTCTGGGAAGCAATTTGAGCTGGTAGGAGGGGAGCAAGGTTCCAAAGTTTAGTGAGCATTTACCTTGTGCCGGGCTCTGTGTTGAGAACTTTGCAGGCATTATCCTCAGAAGCATCCCTGATGTAGAAGCCATTCTGATTCCCACCTGACAGGAAGAAACTCGGTTCAGAGGGATTAAGCTACTTGCCTGGGGTCACCCAGCTAGGAAGTATCTATCTGGAGCTGGATGTGAACCCAGCTCTGACTCCAGAGCTCTCAAGTTCTATTCCCTGTTGCTAGGTCACCTGAAACTTGAAAAAGCCTGAGGCTGTCAGTGGGCTGGAGTGACAGACTGGGGCTGGGACAGGCTGGGTGCAAGTGAGGTTTTGGCAGGGGCCACCCCATGATGAGTTCTCATGAAAAATTGCCATGGCTCCTGGAATGGCAGGTTTCTGAATCAGGATCACTTCTCTGATTGTTCCATAACTCATAACTGCATATTATAAATTCTGATCCATCACCCTCAATGCTAATTGGAGAACAGAATAGTCCCCATTTCTTAGAGTTGCTCTTCTTCAGTGGTGACAGAGTGAGTACTATTCCTGCTGCTCCCTGGGTCAGGGCCCTGCATGTTCCGAGTACAAGTCCTAAGGTGTGATCTTGTGAGAGAATTCTCTAAAGATTTCTCTTTTTTGGCATCCTGTATTAAATGTTCCTCAAGGAAGAGATTAGCAGTAATCCTTGATCAGATTCAGGGCCAATTGCTTGTTGGTGCCCCTGGCAACATTCTTTCCCTGGACCCTTAGCATGGGCAGGGGTGTGAGGGACAAGCAAGGTGTTGAGACCACAGCTAAAGCAGTGGGTCACAGAACCTGGAGAGTGGGCTGTGTAGGGAGGTAAGCTGTGCTTCCCCTCCAAACCCGGGAGATGAGCGCTGGAGCCTGGCACAGATGTGCCATCTTGAGAACAAAGGAAAGATTGGCTCAAGGAGGAGAAAGAAGCCTGGAGTGGTCCTGTGTGAGCAGTGGTCCTAGATGCTTCTGCACAGACTTTGTTGGTGCTCAGAGAATTGGGGAATGTGCAGTGGTGCCTCTGAGCCCAGGACTCAAGAGGATAGGCCTTTTCCTAGGCTGTTCCCTCAACAAGCCCAGGATCTCCTTGAGGGGAGATCATGTTCTTATTCATGTCTCTTATCTCTGCTTCTGACCCAAGGTCTGTCAATGGCTGGTTCCCTAATGTCATGGGACGTGGCAAGGCCCCAGCGGCTGCCCCTATCTTCCACTCTAGTCCGCACATTTCTCCCCACTCCCCACTTGCTCGCTCACACATCATGTCCTGGTCACACTGGCCTTTCCATTCCTTGGATACGTTAAGCTCCTTCTTCACCAGATTCACCTTTCCCAAATGCTGCTTGCTCTGTCTAGAACACTTTTCTCTTCTTTACTTGGCTAATTTGTATGTATTGTCAGCCTCCAGTTTAAATATCATTTCCTCCAGGAAGTCTTCCCTATTTGCAAACTAGGTCAGAATCCCTGGCTGAGGCTCCCTCTGTACATGTACCCTTTCTCTTTCTCTTCTTTCCTAGTACTTGTATCTCTCTTCGTTTTTTTTTTTTTTTTTTTTTTTTTTTGATGGTGTTTTGCTCTGTCACTCACGCTGGAGTGCAGTGGTGGTGCAGTCTTTGCTCACTGCAACCTCTGCCTCTGTCTCCCGGGTTCAAGTGATTCTACTGCTTCAGTCTACCGAGTAGCTGGGACTACAGGCACCCACCACCACACCTGGCTAATTTTTGTATTTTTAGTAGAGACAGGGTTTCGCCATGTTGGCCAGGCTGGTCTCGACCTCTTGGCCTCAAATGATCTGCCCGCCTCAGCCTCCCAAAGTGCTGGGATTTACAGGCGTGAGCCACTGCACCTGTCCTTGTGTCTCTCATTAGATATTTGCTTGTGTGATTATTGGTTCAGTGTCTCTTCTCCCAACTAGATGCTAAACTCCATGAAGAGAGGCTGGGTGCAGTGGCTCGCTGTTTTTTTTTTTTTTTTTTTTTTTTGCTCTGGACCTGGCCCATAATAGGTGCTCAATAAATTTTTGGTAAATAAATGATTCAAACTTTTTACACTTCAAGATAAAAAGTATGAAAAGCTGGTGGGGATAAAGTCTCGGTTCTTTTCCTAGCCCCAGTCCCATAGCATTTCAGAGATGGGGTAGGTGGTGCTACACTACTCAACAGGCTTTTGTTTTTTAACTCATTTAACTCAAGTGAGTTGGTGAAGGCATTCAATTGGTGGTTTTTTATGTATAGAGAAATTACCTCTGTCCTGATTTGGAATATCTGTGCTATTTTGGGCTGTTTTTCTCTTTTGGGCCTGTTTGTATTGTAGCAATAATTTCACCATTTGGCTATGCAGAGGCCCAATTAATATTACAAATGTGGTCCTATAAAATGTGCTTTTTGACATCAGAACGTTTTGTTGCTAATTACTCTCCAAGGTTTTTAATTTCAAGCCCTCCTTGGTGACTTAGTGCAGAAATTTAAGGACATAATTATTTCCCCCCAAGGGAAAAGAGATCTAGGTAATGCCAAGTTTCTATCTATTTGCCCTTCCTTCCAGGGGGTATCTTGTTTTTGATTCTATCTCCGCCCTTTTTCCTGGACAGAAAATAAACATGCAAACAAAAACCCTATTGGAACAAAAATATAAATTTCTGGAAAACATTAAAAGCACTCATTTACTAATGTATTAATTAAAACAATATTTACTGAGCACCTACTATGTGTCAGATGCTGCATGCTAGGCACTAAAAATAAAAAAGAATATAGCATGGTGCTGTCTCCAGGTAGCTCACAGTCAAGTGGGCAGCAAGCAAGTGCTGGGAATTCTCTGACACATCTGGAAACATCTGGGGGTGCTTCTCATGGTGGGGCTTATTCATTAGAGCCCATCCAGAAGTGCCACATCAGTCTCCACGAATTAAAATCAGGAGAGCTTTGGCCATTTCTCATTTGAAGACCTTGGCTAACTGAAAGAAATCCACATTTTAATAACATTTTGAATGGGTTGATAAAATAGGAACAGATGGTTAAAGTTTGTCATTTTAGGGAAAATAATGAAATATTGTACTGCTTAATCTGTCTTCCTGTCACACTCTTCCCTATCCCCTCCCTACTGAAAATATATTCAGATGCAACAAAACTTAAAGCAAAATACTAATATCTTCTTAGACACTTTAGGTCTCTTCACCTGAAAGTGCTCTAATTGTGTCAGCCATCTCTGTGTTAACTTTATCTTTTTTTTTTTTTCAGACACATTCTCACTTTGTCACCAGGCTGGAGTGCAGTGGAGCAATCTTGGTTCGCTGCAATCTCTGCTTCCTGGGTTCAAGTGATTCTCCTGTCTCAGCCTCCTAAGTAGCTGGGACTCCAGGCGCATACCACCATGACTGGCTAATTTTTGTATTTTTAGTAGAGACGGGGTTTCACCATGTTGGCCAGGCTGGTCTTGAACTTCTGGCCCCAAGTCATCTGCCTGCCTCAGCCTCCCAAAGTGCTGGGATTACAAGTGTGAGCCACTGTGTACAGCCTTTGTGTTAACTTACTTTGAATTAGCCCCTTATTCCAAAGCTGCCTCCTGAAAGGAGGCTTCCTAAAAGGTGTTGCTTTGGGGTAAATAAGAGGTGCTGGTGAAGTGAGACTAGCTTGCGCATCTCTCTGCCATGAAGGAAACTAGCTCCGCAGACGTTTTACTAACCACAGCAGACCCCCTCCTTGAGGAACCCAGAAGGGCAGAGGTAAGTTGGGTAACGTGTTCTTAAGTCTTCCATTTACCTGACCCTGGGGTTCATATGGGGATAAGCTCCAGCTGCTGACACCTTCTGATCAAGAGAAGGCAGAATGTCACCACTATCACCTGCACTTTGTTTGGATTTGCCTCTATACCCACTGCATTTCTCTGATGTTTTTTTCTACCATTCTGTTTGGACAGAGCATCAGATGAAATCAACTGCTGAGAGAGGGAAGTGAGTGCTGTGTTGGCACCGCTGCCAGAAACTCTTGAGAATGAGCATCGTGTGCCACTTATCCACTGCTTGCCGACTTCAGTAGCAAGAGCCTCCAGAATGCTCATGGATAAACATCATCTTTGTGGCCACACATTGTTTTATGAGCTGAGTCATCAGACTGGCTGGCTCCTTAAATGCTGCTGTGTGATTCTCTAGGCAGCAGAAAACAAGGAGAGAAGATATGAAGTGTATCTCATCGAGCTTTGTAGAGGGCCAGTATCATTCACCAAAGGTGATGGGGGATTTACCATTATGGAGTTTGCTTGTGATAAAAAATTATTGATCAACTTAAACTCTAAGAGAAAAAGATGATGCTGTCTGCATTTCTTGTAAATTATTTATAAAATTTGTTTGGGTATCGGCTATTTTTAACAGCCACCAGTCTTAACGAATTTCCTGCAGAAAACTTGATTCCTTCCTTGCTCATCGAGTTGCAATTTATCATCTAAGGTAATGAGTTAAACCCAAAAGTAACAGTGACATGATAAGTGAAACTGTTTGCATACTTTGTTTTTTAAATTGCTCTATCATGTTTATCTTTTTTATAGCTACTCAATAAGACATTGCAATGAATTTTTAATTAAAACCAATATGTCTATAACAAAGAAATTTAATTAATTAGAGTTTCTGAGTTTGCCGATTTGTGACTTGCTGAGGTAAACATCTCAGTTCTCTCTTCCAACCTATTTCATTATGGTCTCAGAAAACGTACAGGGAGATTATTCACCCAAGAGTGTATGTTAAATTCATGTTAGGTGGTAGGCACTATGTTAGTCTCTGTGTAAGGTAAAAATAATTGAAGAACAATCCTTGTCACTGAAGAAAAAAACAGATGTTTGCCAATGTGAGAAGCAGACCCATTTGATCTCTTGGAGAAGGGTGGAATGAGTAAGTGCTACAGAAAAGGTCATAATGGGTGCAAAAAATCCAGCTGAACTGAGGGCAGTTGGGGAAGCCTTCTTCAGGAAAGTGGCCCTGAGACAGCTCTTGAAGCATGATGCAGATGTGTGGGTTTCAAGAGTAGAGGACACAAGCTGAGGGACACTCTATGCAAAAACCCAGCCAGAACAAGGCAATGGTCTGAAGTTGGGATGGCCCTGGGGAATTCTGGGAAAGTAGTTTCCAGGAGGTGACAGGGTCAGAACGCAGACCTTCAGGTGGTGAGAATCAAATGAATTACATTGAAATAAAAGGATTTGGAATGGATGATTCTCCTCTGTAGTCAGATGGAGAGAGGAGGAAGAGAGAGGGAATGGGGGGATGAGGGTACCAACAGGGCAGGTCTTCCTGGGACCGCAGGAGTCTGTGGAGCAGGTCAGGGTGAAAATGGGAGACAGGGCAATGATAGTTGGGGATCCTGAGAAGTAGCAGGCAGTGAGCCTGGTGGTGGCGAGAACACAAAGAAGAGCAGTTGGAGAGGAGGGGAGGTTACTGTGCTGAGGGTCTCGATTTTCAGAGGCAAGCTGGAAGGCAGCTCATATGCTGAGAGAGTGTGTGTGTGGTGTGTTGAGTGGACTGGGAGCCTGAGGAAGGAAAGGATCAGAGCAGATGCTAGGGGGATAAGAGAGCAGGTGCATGGTCCTGCTGAAGGCCAATGTGTGCTATGCCCTTTTGCTTCAACTCACAAAAACAATCTAAATTTATACAAACAGCAAGAGTGTAGGAGTCCAGGCTTACTAAGTCCCTTCCTTCTCACTTTGGTCCCTTCTTTTCCCTTCCCTGGTTGGGTTTAATGCCCTTCCACCCTGGAGCTGAGGTGTGCAATCATGGAGAATTTTCTTCATCTGGGAAAGCCATAATCTAAGATGGATTCAGACTGGGAACAAGAGTATAAACTTTGGAAAAACTGGCCCTTAGGCTCTGTGACTGTCATCACATACAGCAGACAAGGGAGTGAACTTAGAGGATGAAATAAGAGCTTTAAGGTTGTTCCCTGAAGGCCTGCGTAGCTCAGCCCCACTTGTTGAATAGCTACCTGGAGAGTTTTGTAAGAATGTGGCTTCATTCCATAGAATACTTCCATGGTGGCCACCGGGGAGGGGTCTATCTTCTTGGAACAGTTAGCTCTTTCGTTATGTTCTTGGACACCCCTGCTACCCCTAAAAAGAAGTGTACCTGGCTATTGAGAAATTCTATCATTCACAGAACAGACATTTTTCTGGGCGGGAGTGGGCAGCTATGATTAGTGAGAGGAGGAGCCTAAAGGTCCGAAGGTGGGAAGGGGTGGCCATAACCCAGGGGAGCACAGTCAGGCCTGGGAGGAGTTACCAATCATGACACTTTGAACGAAGAATCAACAAGATCTGTTGATTGCAAGATATTCTTCTATTAGTCTGGCTTCCCATGCAACAACTATACAACAGGTGCTGGGTTGGTGGTGAGGGTTTAGAAAGTTGATTTTAGCCTGGAGCTTGCCTTCTGGGAGCTGACAGTCTTATAAGGGAAATAAGACAAACCGAACATAGCTCCAATTCCAGACAAAGAAGGAAAGGAGACTATGGGTCAGGGCAGGCTTCCTGGAGGTGAGGGGCTGAGCTGGGCTTTGAAGAGTGGTGGTGTCTGAGAGTGCTAGTGAAGGATGACACCAGGGTTTTGACTTAGTAGTGCTAGTGACAGAGATGGGCAAATCTGCTGGGATTAGAGCATGTGGTCCAAATGTAGGTGGAAAGGAGAAGTCCTGCAGTTCCTGTTCTTTGGTAAGTGGTTGACTTGGGGGTCACAAGGTGACATTTACAGGCATCAGAATGAATGGATTCTTAGGGAGGAGAGAGAGGAGGAAAGTTTCCGGTAGGAGCCAGTTCTTAGGGCTCCAAGGGAGGCAGACACCCAGGAGCAGCAGATGCCGTGTCCTGGGTAGGAACACGAAGGGCCCAATGAAGCTCTTCCTTACTAGCAAGGCGGCTGTTGATTGTTCTGGCCCCAAACATTCACCACTCAGGCCATCTCAGAGAAGCAAGAACCCAGGAGGTGTCAGCGGCCTCAGCCCACAGGGGATCCAGGAGAGAGGGGCACGAGTGCACCCCACCTGGTTCCCTCGTGGCGACTCCATCCTGCGGGCCCTGGGAATGCACAGGGTGGCTCCGGGGACCTTTCCGACAGCACTGTGGGTGACACTGGGATGGGTCTGAAAATGGTGTCGTGTCCTCCTTTTCTGGATCTCCCCTCTCCGACCAGGAGGCCTGTGGCCATCTCGGGGCGCAGGCAGGAGGCACTGGAAGCGGAAGCGAGTGGGGAGTCCGGGTAGAGGGAGTCGCCCACCTGACCGGCTTCGCCCCCTCCGGGGTTTGCTGCAGCTGAGGGCCCCGGACCAGCGATTCTAGAAGCCGGTCCGGGGCCGGGCAGTCCAATAGCTTCTCGCGGATTTCCCTCCGCTGGCGCGCAGCAGCGGCGCGTGGATTCGCGCGCGGGCTCGGGACGGCGCGAGCCCGGGCAGCGCGAGCCCCTGCGCGGCAGGGAGTGGCGCATGCGCGGGCGTCCTGCGAGCCCGCTGGGGCGAGCCGAGCCGCGGCGGCGCCGGGAGCCGGGCGGCGGAGCTGTGAAGAAGCAAGCGGCGGCACGGGAGCAGCGGCGACGGACAGGTGGCGAGCCTTCGCCCGCGCCGCCAGGGGCTGCTGGGCCACCCGCGGAGCCTCGCGGTCCAGACGTGGCGGGGGTGGCGGCGGCATCCCGGACGGCCTGTGAGGGATGCGCCGCCCACTGCCCCGCGCCGCCTGACCGTCCCCGCCTCGACTCGCGGTGCGCCACAGCCGGGCCCGCGGCCGTCCCCGCCGCGTTGTCGCCCGGTCGCCGCGCCCGCGGGGCCGCGCCCGGCACGGCCATGTGGACCCCCACGGAGGAGGAGAAATACGGCGTAGGTAGGTGAGGCTCAGGCCTGGCCGTGGCGGGGGTTCTGGGGGACGCGCCCAGCTCCCGGCCCCGCCTGGATTCGCATCCTCGTGCCCCCGCCACTGCCCGCAGGCTGCGCGGCCTCGGCGCGGGGCGAGCGCGGGGTGGGGGCAGGTGCGGGTGCGGGTGCGGGTGCGGGGGTGGGCGCGGGTCTCTGTGCAGAGAGGGCGGCAGGGGGCGCTGGCGGTGCGGCCTTGGCAGGTGCGGCCCGCGGGAGGGGTGGGCAAGGCCCGGGCAGTTGCCCGAGGTTTCTGGTGTGGGCCACGGGGCAATTTTACCCGATAAACCAAATTCTGGGAATATGTTTTCTCCCCTCCAAAAGCTCGATTTTAATGAGTTTCCGCACCTGAATTGATGAGCCCGATGGCTGTTTATTTTTGATCTGGAACCTTACAAGAAAACGGATGAAAAACGTTGACATCATTTTCCCAGTTCAAAAATTTGGACATTTGACTGCAAATGTTTGATCTGTTTTAATTTGTTTTGCCTTTAGTATTAGAAATAATACCTTACGATGGGAAATGTTTTTGGACATGTATCAATGTTTATACGGTTTTTTTTTTAAACCCTGTTTTCAGATGAGACCTTATTCCTCTTAGAAACCTTTTTTTAATGTTGTAAGTGTTAAACTCCAGAAGCTAAATAATTCTTACAATATTCAACTTCTTTAAAAAGAATATTCAGTAATTTAAAGTATTGAATGTTTTACAATGTTAGTGTTTTGTGGCAATTACATGATAGAGTTAAGCCTCATTGCATCACCTATCATCTTGTTCAGTTAGAAACAGATTTAAAATGTTGAGTGTACAGGTTTTGTTTTTCCTAAGCTCGTAATGGAAAATTTTAGATAGGAAACCTGTCTAAACATAGATTTTTGTTTCCCATCTTTACCGCAATTTAATCAAGATTTAGTTCACAATTCACTACAAAATAACTTGAAACTGCAGTGGTAACGAATGTTTTGGAATGCTATCAGGCAGGTTATCGTGTGAAAATTGAATTTATTTAAATTCGAGGACCAGCAGAGAGGTCTTCTATTCTGGTAGAAGATCTTGTTTTAAAAGGTAACTTTCTGAAACAATTAGGTATGTTAGGATGGAGGTGATAAAGGGAGCTCTGGTCCTAGAGTCTCTATTGAGAAGGAATTGAGAAATGATGCGAAGAGCTGGGATTCACCTCTAGGGACATTTTACCCCTTCTCTTAGAGTATTCCCTGAATACTGAGTTGATTCTGTGAAGTGAGGAGTTGGTGGTTTATCTTCTCCATAACTCGCTCCCAGAACTGCTGAACTAGAATAACAAATAATTGATGTGAGTGGTCAACTCTCCAGTGGCACCCCATGATTGATTTTTTTGGAGGGGGGAGGAGCCCTATTTTGGCGGGGGTGGGGGCGTGGGGGGAGGAGCCCTTGAATAGTGGACAAAGTGGAATTCAGAGTCCTAGCTTCTCTTTACTGGTGGTGTGGGCAAGTAATTTAACATCATTTAACGTCATTTTATTAATGTATAAATTGGGGATAATGTTTACCTATCTTACAGGATTGTGAAAGTGAAATGAGAACGTGCTGAATGCTTAATAGTTTCTTCTTTTCCCTTAGTATTTAGACTAATAACACTAAGTGTGTTCTGAGACAGAGCCAGTGCAAGGTAATCAAGATAGGTACATGTGAATCTCAAAGCACTAGGATTTGGTGTGTGATTTTCCCAGCAAGATGCAACGAAATTCTTGCATTCCTAGGATTGTGTTTTTAGCTTTAGAAAAATTGTTATTCCCTTTGGAGGGCCACAGCATTGGGCTCAGGGCAGAGCTTAATGCTTGCTAAATGAGAGAGACAGTTACACTGAAGACATTTTCATAGCAGCTGTGGTTTAGCATAACTTAGATGCCTTTTCTACCAAACCAAGCAACTCTCTATTTATCTCACAGTCTTCCACTGTCCCTTCCTTAGTTATGATCTAAAAGTTTTTGTGTAAATTGTTTAAAACTCAGGACACATTTTTTTTCATAAGGATGTTAGGGCTACACTTCTAGAACTTTTCATAAAATCCACTTTATAAAGTAGCTTATACATTATACTTATGAGAAAAATAGTCAATTAAAACGGCATTTTTGCTGCATCATTTGATTGCTATGAGGGCTAGCTTGAAAATATAACCATTATCATTTTCCTGTGAGAAAATGTTTGAGTTTCAGCTTTGATTTTTATGACTAACTTGGAGCACAGATTTGTGTCTTTGTTTGTCAACCTATAATCACATAGCAAGGAGGGAAACCCCTTACACTTACTTCCTACCAATTTGGAGAAATTTGTGGAGGAGGGCCTCGAGGGCCTCCTTTTGCCCTGATGTTAGTGAGGGAAGGAGTCCCCTGTTGCAGCAGTACAAAGGGTTTTTTCCACTGCAGCTGTTCATTTGTATTTGACATTGATAAGGCTTTGAGATCCTGTAGTAATACTTATTAAATTTTTTATAATATAGGAATTCTGTACAGGTTATAACATGACTGAATTGTTTGGTTTATTCATTTAGGATGAGGTGATGACTGAGCCCCCCTTTCCATTGTAATATTCTGTGAGTGATTTTAGGCAGTGGGGAGGACATTATCCTTTCTGAGGGTCAGTGATAGGCCTGTCAGTGTGCCTGGGACTCTCACTTAGGTAACCCCATGTCGATTCCCAGAGTAGTCTTAATGTTATCATTATTACACAGATAAAGAAACTGGATCCCAAAGGTTGTTAATTTTTTTTTTTTTGTCCTTCAACGATTGTATATTTTTCTTAATTTTCTTCTTGGCAGTGGGCAGTATTTTGTGAAATACTTGACTGTCTTGCTTTCTTTTTGTGGTACTGTAAGGTACTGTTCTTTACTGTACCCGTTCGCCCGTGTTTTGACTTCTTATGTCCCTTTCCCTCTTAGAGAATCTCTGCTTTCCTTTCTGTTGCCATGAATGCTTGGAAAGTCCTGCATCCTTCCATTCTTTATTCTACCTTTCCAAGAAGCTTCCTGCTCTAAAGTGTATTAGGTGAGAAAAATCCAGCTATTTTTGTGAAACACCTGTCTTTCCCTATACTGACTGTACCCAGAGTACCAAATATAGAATACAAAAACCAAGAAAATGCTTTTCTCACCCTCTAACAGGAGCAACAGCAGGAGCAGCAAGCACCAACAGTTTTTAAAACAAAAATGTTTGTAATTACACTCCTTGAATAGAAAAGTGGTAAAGGTTTGAGTACATAGGTATTAGTTTGACGTCTTAGAAGTGGAAGCTGCTTCAGAAGGTCATCTTGTTTATTCTGCTGCTGTCATTAGGCAATTTTTTTTTTTTGAGAGGTGGGGTCCTGCTCTTGTCATCCAGGCTGGAGTGCAGCGGCATGATCATAGCTTACTGCAGCCTTGAACTCCTGGGCTCAAGCGATCCCCCTGCAGCAGTCTCCCAAGTAGCTGGGACTACA
This sequence comes from Homo sapiens, assembly GCF_000001405.40. Lineage (NCBI taxonomy): Eukaryota > Metazoa > Chordata > Mammalia > Primates > Hominidae > Homo > Homo sapiens. Next base: position 50,678,784 of record NC_000003.12, read on the forward strand.
GGTGTTTACTACCTTGCCTGCCTAATTTTTTTTTTTCTTTTTTTGAGACGGAGTCTTGCTCTGTCGTCCAGGCTGGAGTGCAGTGGCGTGATCTCGGCTCACTGCAAGCTCTGCCTCCCAGGTTCATGCCATTCTCCTGCCTCAGCCTCCCGAGTAGCTGGGACTACAGGTGCCCGCCACCATGCCCGGCTAATTTTGTTTTTGTATTTTTAGTAGAGATGAGGTTTCACCATGTTAGCCAGGAGGGCCTCAATCTCCTGACCTTGTGATCCGCTCGCCTCGGCCTCCCGAAGTGCTGGGATTACAGGCATGAACCACTGCGCCCAGCCTTGCCTGGCTAATTTTTAAATTTTAATTAAAAAAAATTTTTTTTAGTGACATGGTCTTGCTATGTTGCCCAGGCTTGTCTCAAACTGCTGGCTTCAAGCTATCCTCCCACCTCAGCCTCCCAAGTCACTGGGATTATACCTGTGAGCCACTGTGCCCAGCTAAGGCAAATTTTTGAGTAATTTAGGGCATTTATTGCTTATTTTTTATTAATCCCTCTTAGTAGAACATGAAAAATTTTTCTCATTACCAATCTGAAGACCTTACATTTTAGTTTTGTAATGTTATATTTATTTTTTCCTATTTAAAAAGTAATGCGTATTTTATGCATTATTTTTACCTAACTTCCTTTTGGTTAGGTTTCTCCAGATAGGGAAGAAAAGCACTTAAAAACAAACAAACAAACAAACAAACAAATCCTGAGTCCTTAAAAGAAACTTGTAAAGATCCTGTGGTGCAGGAAAAGAATCTGAAGGTGGGGAGGAAATAGATCCTTGAAACCAGATCTGGAAGAATTAGTGTTCACAAAATTTGAGTAAATCTGTTGGTAAATGGACTAGAACTCACCAAAATAGTCTGAAGACAGTGTGCTCTTTAGTTATTTATTCAGTGAGGGAAGCCCAACCTTTGCAACCTCTGGAAGGGCCCCAATACCCCTTTAGAGGTAAAGACATCATCCACTAGGGGTAGGAAAGATTTCATAGACCTATGACTTTATTTTGTTCTGAAAAGTGAGGATGTGCTTGATGTCTTGTTTAGTGTTTATGGGGAACTTCCTTATTCATGATTCTACTTGAGCTTTACACTATATCACCACCTCTCCCCTCTTTTTTAAACAGATGAGAAAGAAGCTTTAGCTGAGAGAAATTAAGTAACTGATCTAAGATACTTTAGATAGTAAGTGCTGAGTTGAGATTTGAACCTAGGACTTTGAGATTCTAAGCCACAGATTGTATTATTACACCGTGTCCTCTGAAAGGAATTGTCAGTAGTATATGACTGTGGCTTGAAAGATAAGACATACTCTGCAGTTTTCAATTTAAACTGGATAGTTATATTTAAGGAATTTTATTTCTGTATTGGACTATTTTTTTCTTTTTCTTTCTTTTTTTTTTTTTTTAGACAGAGTCTTGCCGTGATGCCCAGGTTGGAGTGCAATGGGGTGATCTCGGCTCACTGCAACCTTCGCTTCCTGGGTTCAAGCGATTCTTCTGTCTCAGCCTTCTGAGTAGCTGGGATTACAGGTGTGCGCCGCCACACCTGGCTAATTCTTTTCTATTTTTAGTAGAGACGGGGTTTCACCATATTGGCCAGGCCGGTCTCGAGCTCCTGACCTCAAGTGATCTGCCCGTCTTGACCTCTCAAAGTGCTGGGATTACAGGCATGAGCCACCGTGCCCTGCTTTTTTTTTTTTTTTTTTTTTTTTAAGACGAGGTCTTGCTATGTCACCCAGGCTTGTGTGCTATGGCATGATCGTAGCTCATGGTAACCTTGAACTCCTGGGCTCAAGCCATCCTCTCCAGTAGCTAGGACAACAGGTCCATGCCACCATGCCCAGCGAATTTTTAATTTTTTTTTTTTATAGAGACTGGGTCTTGCTATTTTACTCAGGCTGGTCTTGAGCTCCTGGCCTCAAGAGACCCTCCCTCCTGGGGAGTGGCGGGTTTACAGGTATGAGCCACTGTGCCCAGCCTGTTGCCTACTTTTTAATGGGATTATTTGGTTTTGCTGCTGAGTTCCTTGTATATTCTGTATATTAGTCCCTTATCAGATAAATAGTTTGCAAATATTTTCTCCCATTCTGTAGATTGTCTCTTTACTCTTTTTCCTTTGCTGTGCAGAAGCTTTTAGTTTAATGTAGCCCCATTTGTCTATTTTTGTTTTTGTGGCCTGTGCTTTTGAGGTCTTAGTCATAAAATCTTTGCCTAGACCAATGTCCTGAAGCATTTTCCCTATGTTTTCTTTTAGTAGGTTTATAGTTTTGGGTCTTATGTTTAAGTTTTTAATCATCTTAAGTCTATTCAGTAGACTTCAGATTTCTAGTTCGTTTTATCATGCAGTATTAGAATATGATTTAGAAACATTAAGCTAAATTGTAAACATGGCACCTATTTCTGTGTAGTATTAGATGCATTCTGAAGCAGGGCAGTCTCAAAAGAATGGTCATTGAGGTTGAAAGTACTTTAACCTTCATAGCATATTTTTACATTGGTGCTAAATTTTAATTTTTAATAGTTTGTATTTTGAATTTTTTAAAATTTTTGTGTCTTTATTCTTTAAGAATGATCTGAAATTATTCCCAACATGTAAGCATTATTGGGTATGCTATATTAGGATTTTAATTCCAATGTTATGCTTTTATTGTAATGAACAAGCCAAACCTGTTTATGATTATGCATTTAATTGTTTTGCATACCCCCTTTTGACAGCTTTTGCAGGGAGAAGCAAGCATTTTTTTCACATAAAGGCTCTTAAAACCTTAAATTTTTTTTATACATCACCAAATTATTTTAGCTAAGTACTTGCAGTTGATTTGCTATATCACACCTTAGGGATACTCTAGTAAAGATAATTACTATGTTGGGAAATGTCATTCAGAAGCTTCCCATTTTCCTGCTTATCTACAATGGAATAAAATCCCATCCTCCTACTTTAATATGATTCTCCCTCTCCCTTCGGAACTCATTCATGAGCTCTTGCTAATAAGTGAGAACCAACATGATAGAAGAATTAGAGTGTGATAAACACAGAACTTGATAGTACTGATTTAGTACCATACCTTCAACAGATATGTATTTGGCCTATATTCAAACATATCTATTGCCAATGCCCTCACCACTTTTTGGGACAGCCCATTTTATTGTTAGCTGTAATGAGAACATTCTTCCTTATTGAGTAGACTAATGACTCCCTGTAGTTTCTTATAAGTCCTTGTTCTGTGCCTTCATATAAATAACTTGCATCATAGCTCTTCAGTAAGTCATAAACTTTAGAACTCTAAGAAATCTTAGAGATAATATGGTTTAAGGCCCCAGAGCTAAGACTAGTTGGAACAGCTAGCATTCATGGTTTATCATGTATCCAGCACTTTCATGTTATGGTTCAAATTTGCATGTTCAGCCTCATCCACTGACTTGTTAATACTTTACACTTTAGCCAAACTGAACTTTCTCCAGGTTCTTCTGTTTGTACTTAACTCATAACTAGTGCCGCCATGTCCCAGGACCATTAAACACATATTTGCTGCATCATGTCTTTGTTCATATTGTTCCTTCTACACAGAGTGCCTTTCCCCCATGTCTTCATTTCTTAAATTATTTCCAGCCTGCCAAGACTTCTCTCATATATTGTTATCTCTGTAAATCCTTTCCTAGATTCTTGGCCCTACCCCTCTCTTTCTCCAACCAGATATATTTTATTCTGTTAAATCCTGTTATACTTTGTATTTTGTAGTGGTATATTTACTTTATCCTCTTCATTAGACTAATGTCTTTCCAACTTTTGACTATGACCTACAATAAAAAATACATTTAAAATTCTTATTTGGGCCAGGCACAGTGGCTTATGTCGGTATTCCCAACACTTTGGGAGGCCTAGGTGGGTGGATCACTTGAGGTCAGGAGTTTGAGACCAGCCTGGTCAACATAGTGAAACCCTGCCTCTACTAAAAATATAAAAATTAGCCGGGCATGGTGGCGCACGCCTGTAATTCCAGCTGCTCGGAAGGCTGAGGCAGGAGAATTGCTTGAACCTGGGAGGCGGAGGTTGTAGTGAGCTGAGATCGCGCCATTGCGCTCCAGCCTGGGTGACAGAGTAAGACTCTGTGATCCTCCCAAAGTGTTGGGATTACAGGCGTGAGCCACCGCGCCTGGTCTATCTTTGCATTCTTGGCAGACGCACCTCAGAACCAGGCATGCAGAAGGTTTTACACACGTATTTGTAGCATTGAATTGGACATTTTTATTAATGTGGTATAAAGACTGCTTTTTGGAGACTTCTGAGGTGCCATTTCACACTAATTGCTCATACTGAATTTATAACAACTCTAGGTTTTATTTTATATGAACTGAAGTCAAGCTATATCCCCTCCATCCTGAACTTGTGTGATTGATATTAAACAGAAATGTAAAATTTTAGTTTCATTTAAAAAGTATTTTATATTTCCGTTAACATTAACACTGTATTTAGCTCATGAGTACAACCTGTCAAATCTTTTTGAAGCTTAAGTTTGTGATCCAAGATATTACTATATTTTCTTTGGACCTTTACGCAATTGATAAGCCTGTCTTCTATGTTTTTCCAAGTGGCTAATAAAAATGTTGGACAGGAGAGGAAGAAAATTTTATTGTCCTAGAGGGGAATTATGTCTAGTGTATAAACAAGTAGTGTCTGCAGTGTTGTGATTTGAATGCAGATTATCTGTATGAACATTTTATGATAGTGCCAGCCGTACCACCTTTGTGAACTTGATAATGTTTGGGGTTAGGATGGGCTCCTTAGCCTTAGTTCATGGCTATGGTGTTTTAACAAGGGGGAAAGATGCTGCTAAAAAGTCTGTATGGACTTACTAAAGCATGGGGAGTGAGAAAGAAATATCAGCATTGAAAAGATGTTAACTTCATTTTCATCTTCCTGTACAGGAGGAAGGGTGGCACTAAACTTTTCTCAGAGTTTTGTTTCTGACATTCTCTCCACATTTTTTCTCCCCTCCCCTCCCCGCTCTCCTCCCCCCCCCCCACCCACTCCCTCTCCCCTCTCCTCTTGGCTGGTCTTGAACTCCTGACCTCAAGTGATCTGCCTGCCTTGACCTCCCAAAGTGTTGGGATTACAGGCGTGAGCCACCATGCCGGGTCTCTCTCCACATTTTCTATACTCTAGATATGCTGGACAACTCACCCTTTTCCAGACAGGACTATAATGTTCTTACCTTTATTGCTTTACTCAGGGTGTTGTTATATCATTGGAATCCCATGATTCCCTTTCTCTGCTTGGGGAATGTTAACTGAAAAAGCTCAAATGTCATCTCTTTTTTATGCCTTTCCCTACTCTGCCTGATATAAATAAGCATTGCTGCTTCTACTGCAGTTGGTACCAACCTCTAGTATGTCATTTATCCTTCTAGATCATGCTTAATTTCATCTCTGCCTCAGGGACTGAGTTTCTTGAGGATAAGGAACTTTGTCTTCATGTTTGTATCATCAGGACCTAGTTCATGGTGAGTGACTGGTGAATGCTTAATTAAGATTCCAACCTAGTGAAGAATTTTATTTTGTTTTATTAATCCTGATGGTATTTTAAAAGGCAGGCTGTAAACCTAATAATATTTGATTGTTAGAAATTTGTGACATCATGAGTGTACTTTTTTTCCCTTGGCCTTTCTCTTTCTTGAGCCTGTTAGAGAGGCTTAGTGCCTGTGGCTAAGTTCAGATGACAGATTTTGAGTGGGAGCCTTAGGATTCCAGTATGAATCCCTCTCTCTCACCTACAGTTTCACAGTCATCACAACAGTGATCCACAAATCTTACAGCAGGTAACTGGGATGCAGTTTGAACTTATCCCGACAATACTTCTTTTGTTTGACATCTTTGGGGAATGCTGTGTTTTGGATGAGTGACTTTTCCAGGGAACTCAAGGTTAAACCTTTAAGAGCACCAAGAAGAGATTTTGTCTATTTCTGTTAGAATTTTTTCTAAAATATGACTTATCTAGTCTTTTCTATATTGTGAATTCAGTATCTTGAATACATTTGAGCTTTTTATTTTCCTATGTAACATTTCCTTCTGATTACATAACGTATATATCATTACAGAAATGTCAGTAAATACAAAAAAAATACAAAAAAGAACATAAAGGTGATGTCTTATTTTCATTACCCAGACAACCCCTTTCAACATATTGTCATATCTTTTTAGTTTTTTTTTTATTGTATATACATTTAAGTAGGCATTTAAAATAAATTTGGAACCATACTGCTTATATTGTCTTATAATCTACTTTTATTTTAAATCTATTATACTTTGAACATGTTCTAATATCTGGATTCTTCACTCTTTTAAGACTGCCGTTCTGTAATACAGATATACTATCCTTTACTTTCCTACTTTTGAGCAGTTGGTTGTTTGAAATTAGCTGTTGCCAGATTGTCCTCCAGGACAGTGAGGGTACTTGTTTTCTGCATTTTTGTTATAATAGGGCATTATTTCCTCCACAGACTTGCATTTTGAAAAATTTCAAAATTGATACATGCTTGAGAGCAATAAATCCTCTCTTTACAAAAGTAAAAGGTCCCCTACTACCAGTTCCACTTCTTGAGTATCAGTTGTTTAACTGAGTTTCTAGTGATTTGACATTATTAATACAAAAAAGTGATTATGACGGTTATGATGTTAATACAGGGATATTTGTTTCTTCCTCACTGACATCTATAGGAAAATTGCTAGTTCCAGTGAGTGTATGCTTCAGGATGAAGTTCTCATCAGATCTCCTTGTAGCTGGACTTGCCACACCATTATGGCATGTTAAGTCACCACTCTGACACAAAAACCCTGGAATAATTATATGAAAGCTGGAACCCTTATTATCAAATCCTTTTTCTCCAGTGGTTAGAGCATGGAAGTTTTCTGCTGTCTTTGGAACTTTGTCTGCAAACAGCTCAAAGGAGACGTGGCTCAAGGGCTGTCCATGGCCTAGAACATGGTGGGGTTGACGGTGGCTGGTGGCAGGGAGCTTTGGGGGGCAGTGGTGTCTCCAAAGCCTTGCCCATTTTCTAATTGAGTTGTTTGGTTTTTTGTTGTTTTGTAGGAGTTCTTTATATTTTTTGGATATTAATCCTTTATACAGCAGTCTCTAAGCTTTTCGACACCAGGGACTGGTTTTGTGGAAGGTAGTTTTTCCATGGACAGGATGAGGGGATGGTTTCAGGATGATTCAAGTGCATTACATTTATTGTGTACTTTATTTCTATTTTTATTACATTGTAATATATAATGAAATAATTATACAACTCACCATGATGTAGAATCAATGGGAGCCCTGAACTTGTTTTCCTGCAACTAGATGGTCCCATCTGGGGGTGACGGAAGGCAGTGACACCAGAAGTGTGTTGCTTATGTCCAGTCAATGCCTTAATCTCGCTTTGGTTGCCATCACTGCAGAAAACTCTGCTGCACAAAAATAGGATGTTGGAAATGGAAGCAGGCTTTTCAGTGCTTTTGTGGCAATCTCAGGATATTCCGCCTTGACTCTAATCCAGAATGTATGGAGATTTGAAGTTGTCCCAAACATACCATTAAGGCTGTTGTCATTTGTGATCTCAAGCAGTTGATCCTCTTCTAGCATGCACAAAGTCAATTCACCTGGTTTATTCACAGATTGGTCGTGGATCTATTCCTTCCCAGTTTGGGGGTCTTTTGTGGTTTGGAAGTAATGCTCAGACTCTTTTGAAAGCTGAGATACGTGATCATGCACCAGCTGGGAGAAAGAAGGCCCTGGCTCAGTCTCTTGTAAAATCTCTGCTCGCCAAGCATGGTGGCTCACACCTATAATCTCAGCACTTTCGGAGGCTGAGGCAGGTGGATCACCTGAGGTCAGGAGTTTGAGACTAGCCTGGCCATCATGGTGAAACCCCATCTCTACTAAAAATACAAAAATTAGCTGGGCGTGGTGGCACGCACCTATAATCCCAGCTACTGGGGAGGCTGAGGCAGGAGAATCGTTTGAACCTGGGAGGTGGAGGTTGCAGTGAGCCAAAATCACACCACTACACTCTAGCCTGGGCAACAGAGCAAGACTCCATCTCAAAAAAAAAAAAAAAAAAATGCCGGGCACAGTGGCTCACTCCTGTAATCCCAGCACTTTGGGAGGCCAAGGTGGGAGGATCACTTGAGGTTAGGAGTTTGAGACCAGCCTGGCCAACATGGTGAAACCCCATCGCTACTAAAAATACAGAAATTAGCTGGGCATGGTGGCAGATGCCTGTAATCCCAGCTACTCGGGAGGCTGAGGCTGAGGCAAGAGAATCACTTGAACCCGGGAGGTGGAGGTTGCAGTGGGCTGAGATCATGCCACTGCACTCCAGCCTGGGCAACAGGGTGAGAGTCCATCACAGAAAAAAAAAAAGAAAAAAAAATCTCTGCTAAATCCCAGTGTTGACTCATCGCCCTCATTATTCCAGTTTGGCTTCGAATGCAGCCACTTTATCTGGTGATTTGAACACAGTTGTTGTTCTCCCTTGAAGTGACAGATTGAGCAGGTTGAATATGTCACACAAGTAAGCAGTTTGTGACCCATTCTGCGTCACTGAAATGTGCTGCCAGTAGTGACTGACTGTTTTTCTAAAAGAAATCACTGGAGCTGCTTTCATAACTCAAAAACTCTGGCCAGTGATCTACCTTTAGAAAGTCATCTCACTTCTGTGTGTAAGAGAAGACATGTATGCTCTGCGTCCATTTCCTCACAGAGCTGTGCAAATAGAATGAGCTAAGGGCATGTACTTTAATGTGGTTGATAATTTTAATCACATCCTGTAAAATGTTGTTAAGTTCAGGCGACATTTTTTGTCATTTTTTGACACCGTGCATAGACTTACATTCTGAAGTGACCTCTTTGACCTGAGTAGTGAAATTAGAAAGCTGTCCAGTCATGGCAGCCATTCCATCTATGCATATACTGACACAAAATGACCAGTTTAGTTTTCCTGATATGTAATCATTCAAAGACTTGAATAGTTCTGCAGCTGTGGTGCTAGTTGGCAACAAAGGTGCACACAACATATCCTCATGTGCATCCTCCTGAAAATATATCGCACAAAAGCAAGCACTGTTGCCTTGTCAACATTGCTGGACTTGTCAACCTGGATTGCATACTACAGTGACTCAATCCTCTCTTACAATTGTACCTCAATATCTTCTGCTATTTTATTTATTTGTCTAATTATAGTACTAGCCGAAAGAGGAACATGTGCCACATTTTGAACTGCAGCCTCTCCTAAAAGTTCATGACAAATGTCCTCAGCAGCAGGCAGGATCAACTCTTCACCAATAGTAAAGGGCTTCTTAGTTTTAGCGATGTGGTTAGCCACTAAGAATGTGTCTCAAGTGCAGACACATTTGATGAAGTGGTGGCCTTCAATAATTGCTTCTGTTCTTAGTGTTTCATTTTTTTTCTTTTGAAAAACTCCAAAGGCTTGTCTTTTAATGCAGGGTGCTTGGTCTCCATGTGGTGAGACAGTTTTGAAGGTTTCATGGCTTTGTTGGATAACCGGTTGCCACATTTTATACAAAGCACTTGGAGAATGTGAATCATTTGTTGCAATGAACCCGTAATTTAAGTAGGACTCTTGGTATTTTCATTAATTAATTAATTATTTTGTGAGATGGAGTCTTGCTCTGTTGCCCAGGCTGGCGTGCAGTGGTGCAATCTCGGCTCGCTGCAACCTCTGCCTCCTGGGTTCAAGCGATTCTCCTGGCTCAGCCTCCTGAGTAGCTGGGATTATAGGCGCATGCCACCAAGCCTGACTAATTTTTGTATTTTTAGTAGAGACAGAGTTTCACCATGTTGGCTAGGCTGGTCTCAAACTCCTGACCTCAGGTGATCCCACCCACCTTGGCCTCTTAAAGTGCTGGGATTACAGGTATGAGCCACCATGCCTGGCCGGTATTTTCTTTTAAATGCAGCTTTCTTTATTGTTGGCATTCTTAGAATGTCTTAGAGTCTTCTGCTGTCTCATCATTGAGTCTTCCCCCCTTTTCAAAGAAGCTCTCCAGTGATGTTTGTTTTTTACTCATTTTGCCTAGAGCTAGCTTGTGGGCTTACCAAAACTGTGACTGAGACAAGTGCACCATGTGGGAAAGAGGCATGGACTGTAAATAAAATAATGCGTGGGCTATTCGAGGAGTAAATTAAGTGTCGGATTGTGACTTAAAGCCTGCCACCAGATACAGCTGTGTTAAGTACATTAACTCACTTGCCACTGTAAAGCGTGCCATCTGATGCAGCTTAATTGTCACTTGCCACTCACTGATAGGGTTTCAGATGAGTCTGCAAGCAATTGATTGTCAAACCTCTCTGCTAATGTTAATCTGTATTTGCAGCTGCTTCCCAGTACCAGCATCATTGCCTCAGCTTCACCTCGGATCATCAGTGTATTAGTCTGTACTCACGGTGCTAATAAAGACATACCTGAGACTGGATGATTTATAAAGGAAAGAGGTTTAATTGACTTATAGTTCAACATGCCTGGGGAGGCCTCAGGAAACTTACAATCATGGCAGAAGGGGAAGCAAACATGTCCTTCTTCACATGGCAACAGCAAGGAGAAGTGCCAAGCAAAAGGGGGAAAAGCCCCTTGTGAAACCATGAGATCTTGTGAGAACTCACCATCACATCTTCATGAGAATGGCAGCATGGGGGTAACCAGTCCCATGATTCAATTACCTCCCACCAGGTCCCTCCCACGACACATGGGGGATTATGGAAGATATAATTCAAGATACGATTTGGGTAGGGACACAGCCAAACCATATCAGCCAGGCATTAGATTCTCATAAGGAGCATGCAACCTAGATCCCTTGCATGCACAGTTCACAACAGGGTTCGTCTAATGCTGCTGCTGATCTGACAGGAGGCGGAGCTCAGGTGGTAATGTGAGCAGTGGGGAGTGGCTGTAAATACATATCGTTGAAGCTTTGCTTCTTTACCCACTGCTCACCTCCTGCTGTGTGGCCTGGTTCCTAACGGGGATAAAGCAGGGTTGGGGAGCCCTGCTTTATCAGATAGGTGACTTGGAAATATTTCTCCCATTCTGTGGTTGTCTTTTCACTCACTTGGTGGTGTCTCTAGATGTACAAAAATTTTAAATTTTGATGAAGTCCAATTTATCTGTTTTTTTTCTTTTGTTTGTACTTGTGGTGTCATGCTACGAAACTGTTGCCAAAGTCAGGATCATGAAGCTTTTCCCCTATGGTTGTTTATAATTTATTTTTATTGTGGCAAAACGTACGTAACATAAAATTTGCTATTTTTACCTTTTTTTTTTTTTTTGGAGACAAGGTCTTGCTCTCTCTCCCAGGCTGGAGTGCAGTGATGCAGTTATAGTTCACTGTAGTCTCAAACTCTTGGGCTCAAGTGATCCTCTGCCTCAGCCTCACCAGTAGCTAGTACTATAGGCATGTGCCACCATGCCTGGCTGATTTTTTAAATTTTTTGTATGGATGGGGTCTTGCCATGTTGCCTAGGCTGGTCTCAAACCCTTGGCCTCAAGAGACCCTTCTACCTTGGCCTCCCAGAAAGCTGGAGTTACAGGCATGAGCCATTGTGCCCTGCCCATTTTGAAGTATATAGTTCCATGGCATTAAGTATGTTCACATTGTTGTGTAACTGTCATCCACTGTCTATCTCTGGAATTTTTTCGTCATCCCATACTGAAATTCTACACCAGTTAAATGAAAACTCTTTATTCCCCCTCACCCCCAACCCCTGGCAACTACTGTTCTACATTCATTCATTCGTTCGTTCGTTCATTCATTCATTCATTCATTCATTCATTATTTTGAGACAGAATCTCGCTGTGTTGCCCAGGCTGGAGTGCAGTGGTGTGATCTCGGCTCACTGCAACCTCTGCCTCCTGGGTTCAAGTGATTCTCCTGCCTCAGCCTCCCGAGTAGCTGGGACTACAGGCAGGCACCACCATGCCTGGCTAATTTTTGTATTCTTAGTAGAGATGGGGTTTCACTATGTTCGCCAAGCTGGTCTCAAACTCCTGACTTCGTGATCCACCCACCTCGGCTTCCCAAAGTGCTGGGATTACATGTATGAGCCACTGTGCCTGGCCTCTACTTCCTATCTCCGTGATTTTGACTATTCTAGATAACTCATATAAATGTAATCATATGGCCGGGCGCGGTGGCTCATGCCTGTAATCCCAGCACTTTGGGAGGCTGAGGCAGGTGGATCACGAGGTCAGGAGATCGAGACCATCCTGGCTAACACGGTGAAACCTCGTCTCTACTAAAAATACAAAAAAAATTAGCCAGGTGTGGTGGCGGGCACCTGTAGTCCCAGCTACTTGGGAGGCTGAGGCAGGAGAATGGAATGAAACCAGGAGGCGGAGCTTGCAGTGAGCCGAGATCGCATCACTGCACTCCAGCCTGGGTGACAGAGCGAGACTCTGTCTCAAAAAAAAAAAAAAAAAAGTAATCATACAATGTTTGTCCTTTTGTGTCTGGCATATTTCACTTAGCATGAGGTCTTCAGGGTTTATCCATGGTGTAGTCTATGTTAGAACTTCGTTCCTTCTTATGTCTGAATGATGTTTCAGTGTATGGGTATACCACATTTTGTTTATTCCTTCTTCTGCTGATGGACACTTGGGTTGTTTCTACCTTTTAGCTATTGTAAATAATGCTGCAGTGAACACTGGCATGCTAGTACTTGTTAAGCTCCCTGTTTTCTATTTCTTTGGGTATATACCAAGAAGTGGAATTGCTGAACAATATGATAATTCTGTCTTTAGTGTTTTTAGGAGCTAGTGTACTGTTTTCTGTAGTGGCTGTGCTATACATTCCCACCAGCAGTGCACAAGGATTCTAGTTCCTCTGCATCCTCCCCAATACTTGTTGTTTTCTGATTTTTGATCATAGCCTTTCAAATAGATGTGAAGTGGTGTCTCATTGTGGTTTTGATTTGTATTTCCCTAATGATTAGTGATGTTGAGAATCTTCTCATGTGCTTATTGGCCATTTGTATGTCTTTTTTGGAAAAATGTCTGTTCGAATCCTTTGCCCATTTTAAAAGTCAATCTAAAAAGTTTTTTTTTTTTTTTTTTGAGACAGAGTCTTGCTCTGTCGCCAGGCTGGAGTGCAGTGGCACGATCATAGCTCACTGCAGTTTCAAACTCCTGAGCTCAGGGGATTCTCCCACCTCAGCCTCCTGGGTAGCTGGGACTACAGCTGTGTGCCACTGTGCCTAGCTAATTTATTTTTTATTTTTTAGAGGTAATAGTCTTGCTATGTTGCCCAGACTGGTTTTGAACTTCTATCTTCTAGAGATCCTCCTGCCTCGGGGTTCCAAAACATTGAGATTACAGGCATGAGCCACTGTGCCTGGCCTCAATTTTGTTTTTGTTTTTGTTTTTGTTGTTGAAGTGTAGGAGTTCTTTATATCAGCAGTCTTCAACATTTTTGGCACCAGGGACTGGTTTCGTGGAAGACAATTTTTCCATGGACCGCAGAAGGGATGGTTTTGGGATGAAACTCTTCCACCTCAAGATCATCAGGTATTAGATTCTCATAAGGAGCGTGCAACCTAGATCCTTCACATGCACAGTTCACAATAGGGTTCATACTCCTATGAGAATCTAATGCCACTGCTGATCTGACTGGAGGCAGAGCTCAGGAGATAATGCTTGTTCACCCACTGCTCACCTTGTGCTTTTGCGGCTTGGTTCTTAACAGGCCACAGATTGATATTAATTTGTGGCCCAGGGGTTAGGGACCCCTGCTTTATATATTCTGGATATTAATTTCTTATCAGATATATGGTTTGCAAATATTTTCTCTTATTCTGTAGCTGTTTGCCTTTTCACTGTGTTGATGGTGTCCTTCGATGCATGAAAGTTTTAAGTTTGATGAAGCTGATTTATCTTTTTTTGTTTTTTTTGTTGCCTGTGTCTTTGGTGACATATCTAAGAAATTATGGACAAATCCAGTGTCATGAACCTTTCCCTGTATGTTTTCTTCTAAGAGTTTTTTAACTTTAGATTTTATGTTTAAGGCTTTGATCCATTTTGAGTCAATTTTCGTATGTGTTATTACAAGGGTCCAATTTTATTCTTTGTGGATATCCAGTTTTCCCAGCACCATTTGTTGAAGAGACTGTCCTTTTCTCATTAAATGGTCTTGGCACCATGGTCGAGTATCATTTGACAATATATGTGAGGGTTTATTCTGGGCTCTGTATTCTGTTTCATTGGTCTATATAGTTCTGTCTTTATGCCAGTATCACACTGTTTTGATACTGTAGGTTTGTACTAAGTTTAAAAGTCAGAAGTGTGAGTCCTCCAACTTTGTTCTAATTTTCCAGATTATTTTTGCTATTAGAGGGCCCTTGAGATTCCATATGAATTTCAGGATGAATTTTTAAATATTTCTGCAAAGAATACAGTTGGGATTTTGGTAGGGACTGAATTGAATCTGTAGATTGCTTTGGGCAGGATTGTCATCTTAACAATGTTAAGTCTTCCAATCAGTTAACATAGGCTATCTTTATTTAGGTCTTTAATTTCTTTTGGCAGTGTTTTGTAATTTTCAATATACAAATTTTTCATTTTTTGGTTAAATTTATACCTAAGCATTGTATTTCTTGATGCTAGTATAAGTGGAATTGTTTTCTTCCTTTTCATATTGTTCATTAATTTCCTTTCCTTTTTTTTTTTTTTTTTTTTTTTAAGACAGAGTCTCACTCTGTCGCCCAGGCTAGTGTGCAGTGGCATGATCTCGGCTCACTGCAACCTCTACCTCCTGTGTTCAAGCCATTCTCATGCCTCAGCCTCCCAGGTAGCTGGGACTGCAGGCACCTGCCACCACACCTGGCTAGTTTTTTGTATTTTTGGTAGAGATGGGGTTTCACCATGTTGGCCAGGCTATTTTCAAACTCCTGACCTCAGGTGATCCTCCCACCTTGGCCTCCCAAAGTGCTGGGATTACAGGTGTGAGCCACCGCACCTGGCCTTCCTTTTCATATCATTCTCATGTTGTTCGTATACAGAAATACAACTGGTTTTTGCATGTTGATTTTATGTCCTGCAACTGCTGAATTCATTTATTAGCTCTAATAGGCCTTAAACAAATACTTTAAGGTTTGCTACATACAAAATTGTTGGCCAAGTGTGGTGGCTCACGCCTGTAATCCCAGCACTTTGGGAGTCTGAGGCAGGAGGATCACCTGAGGTCAGGAGTTTCAGACCAGCCTGGCCAACATGGCAAAACCCTGTCTCTACTAAAAATACAAAAAATTAGCCAGGCGTGGTGGCGGGCGCCTGTAATCCCAGCTACTGGGGAGGCTGAGGCATGAGAATCGCTTGAACCCAGGAGGTGGAGGTTGCAGTGAGCTGAGATTGCGCCACTGCACACCAGCCTGGGGGATAGAGCGAGACTTTGTCTCCAAAAAAACTAAAAAAAAAATAAAAATAAAAAGAATGGTAAGAGTTTCTAATACTTAGAGGCAGATATCCTTAAAAATGGAGATTTCCTTTATAGATTTAGATTTCTTTTACAAAAGAGTTTCAGGATAGCCAATTAAATTCCAGAAAAGTGTATTTTAGTTCAATAGGGTATTCTTTTTAACATAGCTACTGTTTCTTAGCTAAAATTACTGAGTTCAGAGTAATGGGTGGAGCGCATTAAAGAATGGGGCCAACAGGCTGGGTGCAGTGGCTCACGCCTGTAATCCCAGCACTTTGGGAGGCCAAAGCGGGCAGATCACTTAAGGCCAGGAGTTTGAGACTAGCCTTGCCTGCATGGTGAAACTCTGTCTCTACTAAAAAAATACAAAAATTTGCTGGGCGTGGTGGTGCATGCCTGTAATCCCAGCTACTTGGGAGGCTGAGGTATGAGAATCACTTGAACCGGGGAGGTGGAGGTTACAGTGAGGCTGAGATCACTCCACTGCACTCCAGCCTGGGCGGCAGAGCCAGACTCTGTCTCAAAACAAACAAACAAAAAAACAAATGAAAAACAAAAAAACAAACAAAAAGAACTCAGTATAAATAGATCTGAAAAAGAAGCAAGCCTATTTTACTTGAGGGCCTACCTTCATAAATACCTTATATAGGATAGCTTTCTTTTTCCCTTTGGGGCAGGCTAGTAACTAAGCCGAAAGGTTAGCAGATTTAATTTTGTTTTAAATCAATTAGTCACTTAAGGTTTTTATTTGCCTTTGATAACGTCTTTAGATAAAAATAATGCAATCTTTTTAGAAGCTTCTACATATCAGTAGGCATCCCTAGATAAGACTAATTTGGGAGCCCCCAATCACATGCACTTCTGTTCAGTGTTGTTCATTCGGATAAGCACTGTAACTTATCTTTAGTAAGATTTCACCATTTCTGTAAGACTTTGCTGCCTCCAGGGCTTAATACTTATGCATGTATAAGCCAGAAGGAACTCAGTTCTTCACAAATTAAGGAGCCTGTTTTTACCTCAAATACTGGCTTTGCTCTCAGGTTCCCCTGATCAACTTAGCTAGTGATTTTTTTTCTATCTAAGTGCACAAGAAAAATGAAACAAAGAGGGTAGAATGCACAAATCCCTGTGAATTTCCAAAAGCCAAATTTTATACCCCCTCCAATATTGCCATTTACTACTGGTTTCTTTCTGACCCAGTCAGATGTAAGAGGCCTCTAACTGGATCCAGCCCAATTAATATCAGATGTAATCTGATCCTAGACCTAGTCCAGTTTCTGTCATGACCTCCAAACCCAGTTTGGATCAGAAATTTGCTCAAAGAGACTCAAAGAGCGCTAAGCACAAATCTGTGGAACTTTGGAATGCGAGAGAGAACTTTCCACAATCCTCAGCTGTTCTGAGAGAGGAATGGACACAATGGGCCTGGTGGGTATCTCGCTTGGTCACTCAGTGCTCCTGGGGGTCGCTAGAAGCTCTACTTCGGATCCCACTTCTGACACCATCTGTTAAAAGAAAAACTTCAGCTGAATTCAATTTAAAAGACTGTAATTGAGCAAAGAATGATTCACAAATTGGGCAGCCTTCTGAGCCAGAGTAGGCTCAGTGACTCCAGCACAGCCATGTGGTAGAGGAGGATTTATGGACAGAAAAAGGAAAGTGATGTACAGAAAATGAAGTGAGGTACAGAAATAGCCAGATTGGTTATAGCCTGGGGTTTGTCTTACTTGAACACGGTTTGAACAGAATCAGGTCCTTAAGGCATCAAGACCTCTGTGTCTCCATTTGATATCTCTGTGTCTATGTGTTGCATTCTTTCTTGCAGTCATTAACTTTTAAAAATTTACTCCTTTTATAATTGGGGACCATAGCTCCTACAGTTCTGGGTACATGTTTACACAGCATGATGGAATAGGAAAGAGCTGTTTCCAGTCAGAAAAACTTCAGGGAATGAATGGTATGGCCCAATCTACTTCATATGCCCAGTTATTGAAGGGGTCCGATTGACAGCCCCACTGAAATCACTAGAGTGGGGGAGTTTTTGTAAAAGGTGAGAGTTAAGGATGCTGGACACAGAACAGTAAGGAGATAAGACTACCTGATGCACATCGAGTTCACAAAGGTATTGTAAATGTCAAACATGTACAATGGATAGAAGTAGGATGTGCTGTAGGAGTTCAGAGCCTGGGGGCGTGCAAGGCAATATCCCTAAGAGTGAAAGTAGAACTGAGTGTTGATGAGTGAATAGGATTTTGTGAGTGAAGAAGAAGCATGAGAGCAAATTCAGGTCACAGGGGACAGTAAGGCATGAAAGATTTGTGCAAGGTGTTTTGGGAGGACCATGTTATTTGCAGCTACCATCTTCCCTTTAATTTAGTGATACTTTTTTGGGGGTGGGGTGGGGTAGGTGTCAATTCCATTTTGAAGATCTGTTAAGTGCTATGGGAAACCCGCATATGCACAAGTAAAATTTTACTAGTCGTGTCAGAATGTTTATGGACTTCTTGTTGCTTGTCTTTGGACTCAGGTTAAGAATCTCTACTTTAAACATTTCAACTTGTCTTTTTTCTCTACATTGTGTGTATACTTTTTAAAGCCTACCTTTAAAGCTCCTGATTTTCTGACACATAGCACTGAATTTTTTTTTTTTTTTTTAAGAGAGAGTCTCACTAACTCTGTTGCTCAGGCTGGCATGCAGTGGCGCTATGTAGGCTCACTGTAACCTCCACCTCCTGGGTTAAAGCAATCCTCCCCCTTCAGCCTCCCGAGTAGCTGGGATTACAGATGTGCACCACCATGCCTGGCTAATTTTTGTATTTTTAGTAGAGACAGGGTGTCACCATGTTGGCCAGGCTGGTCTCAAATTCCTGACCTCAAGTGATCCACCCGCCTCAGCCTCCCAAAGTGCTGGAATTATAGGCGTGAGCCACTGTGCCTGCCCATAGCACTGAATGCTAGTTTCAGAATTTATTTCTGTCGTTTACTTAATTGAAATGAAGAGTTTAAAGGAAAATGCAAGTCTGGGCATGGTGACTCATGCCTGTAATCCCAGCATTTTGGGAGGCCGAGGTGGGTGGATCACCTGAAGTCAGGAGTTCGAGGCCAGCCTGGCCAAAATGGTGAAACCCCGTCTTTACTAAAAATACAAAAAATTAGCTGGGTGTGGTGGCGGGTGCCTGTAATCCCAGCTACTTGGGAGGCTGAGGCAGGAGAATCACCTAAGCCCAGGAGGCGGAGGTTGCAGTGAGCCGAGATCGTGCCACTGCACTCCAGCCTGGGCAATAAGAGCAAAACTCCGTCTCAAAAACAAACCAACCAACCAACAAACCAACCCCAAAAATGAGCCGGGCACAACCTTAGCCTCTAGAAGATTGCTTTTGTGTCTTGTTTTGCCATTTCTTCTTTTATTATTGTTATGGACTCATGGGTTTTTGTTTATTCAGTGTGACTCAGCTCATCATTATGATTATAATTCTCAAATTATTCTAATGCTTTTAAATTTCTTCTGTGATGGTTTCCTGTGACTGGAGAGACACCTGTTTTTGTCTGCTGCTTTGTTGTGATAATTGATTATATTTGGTCTTAGGTCCTAAAGTCTGTGCTATTTTAATTTTTTTGAGGTAAAAATCAGTTATATAAAATTTATTCTCATAGTAAGTTTTCTTCCATGATGTTTATCATCTTTTGCTTACTATTTTTCTTTTTTTATCTTTTAAAAATAGCAGGGGTGTCGAGGTATAATTCACATACCATATAGTTAAGTCTTTAAAGTGTACTATCCCATTATTTTTAGTATATTTGTAGAGTTGTGCCTCCATCACCAGTATCTAATTCCAGAACAGTTTCATTACCCCCAAAAGAAATCCTATACCCATTAGCAGTCACTACTCATTCTCTCTCCCCCACCCGGGCACCCCCTAATTGGCTTTTTGTCTCTAAGGATTTGCCTATTCTAGGCATTTCATATAAATGGAATCATGTATTATGTGACCTTTTGTGTTTGGCTGCTTTCACTGAGTATGTTTTTAAGGCTTATCCATGTTTTAGCATATATCAATACGTCATTCCTTTTTATGGCTGAATAATATTCTATTATATGGATATACTATATTTGTCCATTTACCAGAATGGATAGTTGGATTGTTTCTACTTTTTCATTTTTCATCGTTATGAATAATTATGCTATGGACATTCATGTACAAGTTTCTCTGTGGATGTATGTTTTTGGTTTTTTTTTTTTTTTTTTTTTTTTTGCTATATACCCAGGTGTGGAATTGCTGGATCATATGGTAATTTTTTAATTGTTTGAAGAACTGTTATACCTTTTTCAGTAGAGGCTGCACTCTTTTTCATATGTGCCCACTAGCTGTGCACAAGGGTTCCAGTTTCTTCATATCCTCACCCATACTAATTGTTTTCTGTCTTTTAAGAAGTGGCATCTCATTGTGGTTTTAATTTGCATTTCCCTGATGGCTGATGATGTTGAGTCTCTTTTTGTGTGCTTATTGGCCATTTGTATCTCTTCACTGTTCAGTTCCTTTGCCCATTTTTGAATTGGGTCTGTTCTTTTGTTGTTGAGTGTTAGGGGTTCTCTATATATTCTAGATATCAATCCTTTATCAGATAAGTGATTTACAGATTTTTTTCCCATCTTATAGGTTGCTTTTTCACTTCGTTGGTAGTTTGCTTTGATGAAGTCCAATTTGTGAATTTTTCTTTTGTTGTCAGTGCCGTTGGCGTATCAAGGAAATCAGGGCTAAATCCATTTTAGGTCTTTTATCCATTTCGAGTTAATTTTTCTATGTGATAGTAGAGAAGGGTCCAACTTCATTCTTTTGTATGTGGATATTGTTTTTTCAGCACCATTTGTTGAAGAGGCTGTCCTTTTCCCATCAAATGAAATCTTGGCACGCTTGTCAAAAATCATTTGACCATATATGTGGGGATTTATTTATGGGTTTTCTATTCTGTTTCACTGGTCTATTTGTCTGTCATTATACATGTATCATGCTGCTTTGATACTGTAGCTTTGTCATAAGATTTAAAATCAGGAAGTTGAGCCTTCCAACTTTGTGCTTATTTTTCAATATTATTTTGGCTATTTGGATTCCATGTGTATTTTCAGATGGATTTTTTCTATTTCTGCAAAGAATGTTGTTGGGCATTTTTTTTTTTTTTTTTGAGATGGATTCTTGCTCTGTTGCCCAGGCTGGAGTGCAGTGGCACGATCTCTGCTTGCTGCAACCTCTGCCTCCTGGGTTCAGGCAGTTCTCTTGCCTCAGCCTCCTGAGTAGCTGGTATGGGAATATCTCCCTTTTTAAGACTCTGTGTGTATTCCTTTGTTCTGCTTAAGTGTATGCACCATATGGCAACTGGTCAGCTTTGTTACTATATCTGTCTTCTGCAGAGAGGGGACAAGGTTCTTTTACTGCAGCGCAAGAGGCTTGCAGTCAAGCCTGTTGACCTGTGTCAGCTATCAGGAAGGATCCACTAGCCATGGGAGACAAAAGTCTACTACTGAAGCTGATCTTGCTCTATTTTTTCTTTTTCTTTTTTATTGATACATAATAATCGTACATATTTTTGGAATACATGTGATATTTTGATACATGCATACAATGTTTACTGAGCAAATTAGGATATGTAAGATATTCATCACTCCAAACATTGATCATTTCTTTGTGCTGGAAACATTTCAAATATCCTTTTCTGGAAGGGAGTGGTGGCTCACACCCGTAATCCCAGCAGGAGGCTGAGGCAGGCAAGATCACCTGAGGTCATGAGTTCGAGACCAGTCTGGCCAACATGGTGAAACCCCCGTCTCTACTAAAAATATGAAATCAGCCAGATGTAGTGGTGCGTGCCTCTAATCCCAGCTACTTGGGAGGCTGAGGCAGGAGAATCACTTGAACCCAGGAGGTGGAGGTTGCAATGAGCGGAGATCGCACCATTGCACTCCAGCCTGGGCGAAAAGAGTGAAACTCTGTGTCAAAAAAGACAAAGCAAATATTATCTTCTAGCTTTTCTGAAATATACAATAAGTTGTATATTACTACTATGCTGTCCAACTGTCCAGTGCTAGAACTTATTTCTTCCGTCTAGCTATATGTTTGTACCCATTGACCAACTGCCCCTTTGTTCCTCCCTACCTTTTCCAGCCTTTGGTAACCATCATTCTACTCTCTACATCCATGAGATCCATTTTTTTTTAAAAGCTCCCACATATGGGTGAGAACATGTAATATTTGTCTTCTGTTCCTGACTTAGTTCACTTCACATAATGACCTCTAGTTCCAATTGTGTTGCTGCAAATGGCAGGATTTCATTATTTTTTTATGGTTGAATAGTATTCTATTGTGTGTACATACCACATTATCTTTATCCATATCCATTGGCAGACACTTAGGTTGATTCCGTATCTTGGCTATTGTGAATAGTGCTGTGATAAACATGAGAGTGCCAGCATCCCTTTGATATATACTGATTTCCTTTCTTTTGGATAGATACTCGGTAGTGAGATTGCTAGACCATATGGAAGTTCTGTTTTTAGTTCTATATAGTATAGTATAGTAGTCTCTATACTGTTTTCCATAATGGCCATACTAATTTAGATTCCTACCAACTGTGTATAAGAGTTCCCTTTTCTCTGCATCTTTGCCAGCATTTGTTATTTTTTGTCTTTTTGATAATAGCCATTCTAACTGGGGTGAGATAATAGCTAGTGGTTTTGATTTGCATTTCCCTGATGGTTAGTGATGTTGAGCATTTTTTCATACGCCAACTGGCCATTTGTATGTTTTCTTTGGAGAATGTCTATACAGATCCTTTGTGGCCCTTGTTTTTTTTTTTTTTTTTTTTTAAGACAGGTTCTCACTTTGTCACCCAGGCTGGAGTGCCGTGGCAGGATCATGGCTCACTGCAGCCTCGAATTCCTGGGCTCAAGCCATTCTCTTGAGTAGCTAGGACAACAGGTCCACGCCACCACACCCAGCTAATTTTTAAATTTTTTGTAGAGACTGGGTCTTGCTCTGTTGCTCAGGTTGGTCTTGAACCTGTGGCCTCAAGTGATCTTCCCGCCTTGGCCTCCCAAAGTGATGGGATTACAGGCATGAGCTTGCTGTTGCCCAGCTTGCTGCCTACTTTTTAATGGGATTATTTGGTTTTGCTGTTGAGTTCCTTGTATATTCTGTATGTTAGTCACTTATCAGATAAATAGTTTGCAAATATTTTCTCCCATTCTGTGTGTTGTCTCTTTACTCTGTTTATTGTTTTCTTTGCTGTGCAGAAGCTTTTAATTTAATGTAGCCCCATTTGTCTATTTTTGTTTTTGTTGCCTGTGCTTTTGAGGTCTTAGTCATAAAATCTTTGTGTAGACCAATGTTTTCTTTTAGTAGTTTTGTAGTTTTGGGTCTTATGTTTACCTCCTTAATCCATTTTGAGTTGATTTTTGCGTATGGTGAGAGACAGGTGTCTAGTTTCATTCTTCTACATATTGATACCCAGTTTTCTCAGCACCATTTATGGAAGAAAGTGTCCTATCCCCAGTGTATATTTTTGGCACCTTTGTTGAAAATCAGTTGGCTGTAAATAGGTGGATTTATTTCTGGTTTTCTCTGTTCTGTTCCAGTGGTTTATGTGTCTGTTTTTAATGCCAGTACCATGTTGCTTTGGTTACTGTAGCTTTGTAGTATATTTTGAAGTCCGATATTGTGATGCCTCTAGCTTTGTTCTTTTTGTACAAGATTACTTTGGCTATTCACAGTCTTTTGTGGTTCCATACAAATTTTAGATTGTTTATTCTATTTCTGTGAAGAATATAATTGGTACTTTAATGAGGATTGCATTGAATCTGTAGATTTCTTTGGGTAGTATGGTCATTTTAACACTGTTAGTTCTTTGGATCCATGAGCATGGGATTTCTTTCCGTTTCTTTGTGTCCTCTTCAAATCTCCCTTCAGTGTTTTGTCATTTTTGTCGTAGAGGTCTTTCATCTCTTTGATTAAATTTATTCCTAGGTGTTTTATTTTTCTGTATGTGTTTTAGCTGGTTCATTAGTGGCATATAGAAATGCTACTGATTTTTTCTTTTTTTTTAGATAGAGTCTTGCTCTGTCACCCAGGCTGGAGTGCAGTGGCGCAATCTCGGCACACTGCAACCTCCGCCTGCTGAGTTCAAGCGATTCTCCTGCCTCAGCCTCCCGAGTAGCTTGGATTATAGGTGTACATCACCACACCCAGCTAATTTTTTTTTGGTATTTTTAGTAGAGATGGGGTTTCACCATGTTGGTCAGGCTGGTCTCGATCTCCTGACCTCAAGCTATCTGCCTGTCTTGTCCTCCCAAATGGCTGGGATTACAGATGTGAGCCACTGTGCCCAGTCTGATTGTTGTATGTTCGTTTTGTATCCTGTAACTTTGCCAAATGCATTTATCTGTTCTAAGACTTTTTTTTTTTTCCTGTAGTTTCCAGCTTTTTCTGTGTATAAGATCATACTGTTTTCAGATGAGGGACAGTTTGACTTCCTTTTTCTCAGTTTGAATGCCTTTTATTTCTCTTGCCTGATTGCTCTAGCTAGGATCTCCAGTACTGTGTTGAATAAGAGTAGTGAAAGTGGGCATCCTTGTCTTGGTCCAGATTTTAAGGAAAAGCTTTCAACTTTTCCCCATTCCGTATGGTGTCAGCTGTGGGTTTGTCATAGGTGGCTTTTATTATGTTGAGTTTTATTCCTTCTATGCCTGATTTGTTGAGAGTTTCTATCATGAAGGATGCCGAATTTTATTGAGTGTTTTTTTCTGCATCCATTGATTTGATCATATGCTTTTTATTCTTCATTTTGTCGATGTGATATATCACATTTATTGACTTGCATATGTTGAACAATCCTTGCAATCCCTGTTATAGATCCCACTTGATCATGGTGTGTTATCTTTTTGATGTGTTATTATATTTGGTTTGCAAGTATTTTGTTGAGGATTTTTGCATCTATGTTTATCAAGGATGTTGGCCTGTAGTTTTCTCTTTTTTTTCTTGTGTCTTTGTATGGTTTTAGTATCAGAGTATTGCTTGCCCTGTTGAATGAATTGGGAAGAATTCAGTTTTTGGAATAGTTTGAGAAGAACTGGTGTTAGTTCCTCTTCATAAGTTTGGTAGAATTTAGCAGTAAAGCCATTGGTCCTTTTTCTTTTTGGGAGACTTTTTATTATTGATTCAATGTCATTACTTACTATTGGTCTGTTCAGGTTTTGTTTTTTTCTTGGTTCAGTCTTGGTGGGTTTTATGTGTCCAAGAATTTAGATATTTTCGTTAGGGTTTCCAATTTGTTAGCATATAGTTGTTCATAAGAGTCTAATGATTCTTTTATGTATCTGTGGTATCAGTTGTGATGTCTTCTGTTTATGAACTTATTTGGGTTTTCTCGGTTACTGTAGTTAACTGTTTATTGATTTTGTTTATCTTTTTAAGAAAACAAGTTTTCATTTGTTGATTCTTTGTATATTTTGGTCTCTTGCATTTAGTCCTGCTCTGATATTTATTGTTTTTTTCATCTGTAATTTTTTTATTCTTTTCTAGTTCCTTGGAGGTACATTGGTAGGTTAACTTCTACTTTTTTAATATAGGTGTTTATTTCTATAAACTTTTTCCTTAGCTTTGCTTTTTCCATATCCCATAGATTTAGGTATTTTATTTTTCCATTTTCATTTGTCTCAGGGAAGTTTTTGATTTTCTTCCTAATTTCTTTATTGACCCAGTGATCATTCAGGAACATGTTGTTTAATTTTCATTTATTTGTACAGTTTCCAAAATTCCTCTAGTTACTAATTTCTGATTTGTTTTATTGTGGTCTGAGAAGATACTTGATATCATTTTGATTTTTAAGAATATGTTGAGGCTTTATGGCCTAACGTATGGTCTATCCTGGGAAAACTTTTATGTGCTGATGTGAAGAATGTGTATTCTGCAGCAGTTGGATAAAATATTCTGTAAATATCTGTTAGGTCCATTTGTTCTATAGTGCAGGTTAAGTCTGATGTTTCTTTGTTTATTTTCTCTCTAGGTGGTCTGTCCAGTGCTAAAAGTGGGTGTTAAATTCCCCAGCTATTATTGTATTGGTATCTCTCTTTTTAGTTCTATTATTTGCTTTATGTTTTTCTGGGTATTCCAGTGTTGGATGCATTTTATTTATGGTTGTTATAGTCTCATTATATAAGTATAAAGTAACCATATAATGACTTTGTTACTATAATTACTCCAGTATGCGTGGAAACATGTTTTTTCCATCTCTTCACTTTCAGTCTATGTGCGTCTTTATAGGTGAAGTGCATTTCTTGTAGGCAGCATTTTTTTTTTTTTTTTTTGAGACGGAGTCTCACTCTGTCACCCAGGCTGGAGTGCAGTGGCTCAATCTCGGATCACTGAAACCTCCCCTTCCTGGGTTCAGGCTATTCTCCTGCTTCAGCCTCCTGAGTAAGTGGGATTACAGGCATGTGCCATGACGCTCAGCTAATTTTTTTTGTATTTTTAGTAGAGACAGGGTTTTGTCATGTTGGCCAGGCTGGTCTCGAACTCCTGACATCAAGCGATCCATCTGCCTTGGCCTCCCAAAGCGCTGGGATTACAGATGTGAGTCACCACGCCCGGCCTCTATATCTTTTAATTGGAGAATTTAAACTGTTTACATTCAAGGTTGTCACTGATAGTTGAGGACTTATTCCTCTCCATTTGCTACTTGCTACTTGTTTTCTGATTTTTTTTTTTTTTTTAATCTATTCCTTGTTCCTTTCTTCTTCTCCTATTGTTGGCCTTTACAATTTGATGGTTTTCTGTAGTGGTAACGTTTGACTCTTTTTCTTTTTTGTGTACTACTGTTCTCACTGTTCTACCAGTGAGTTTCATACTTTCATGTGTTTTCATGATGGTATGTATCACCTTTTGCTTTGAGATGTTGATATGGTTTAGCTCTGTGTCCCCACCCAAATCTCATCTTGAACTGTAATCCCCACGTGTTGAGGGAGGGACCTGTAATCCCCATGTGTTGAGGGAGGGAGGTGATTGGATCCTGGGGCAGTTCCCCCTGTGCTGTTCCCTTGATAGTGAGTGAATTCTTATGAGATCTGCTGGTTTTTTTCATTTTTATTTTTATTTTTTGAGACAGAGTCTCACTCTGTTGCCCAGGCTGGAGTGCAGTGGCGTGATCTTGGCTCACTGCAACCTCCGCCTGCTGGGTTCAAGCAGTTCTCCTGCCTCAGCCTCCCAAGTAGCTGAGACTACAGGCACGCACCACCAGGCCCAGCTAATTTTTTGTATTTTTAGTAGAGATGGGGTTTCACCATGCTGGCCAGGCTGGTGTTGATCTCCTGACCTCTTGATCTGCCTACCTCAGCCTCCCAAAATGCTGGGATTACAGGCATGAGCTACCCTGCCCAGTCGAGATCTGATGGTTTTGAAAGTGGCAGTTTTCTGGCTGGGCATGGTGGCTCACACCTGTAATCCCAGCACTTTAGCAGGCTGAGGCAGGTGGATCACTTGAGGCCAGGAGTTTAAGACCAGCCTGGCCAACATGGTGACACCTCATCTTCACTAAAAAATACAAACATTAGCTGGGTGTGTTAGTGCACACTTGTAATCCGAGCTACTCAGGAGGCTGAGGCATGAGACTTGCTTGAACCTGGGAGGCAGAGGTTGCAGTAAGCCAAGATCGTACCACTGCACTCCAACCTGAGCGACAGAGTGAGACTCTGTCTCAAAAAAAAAAAAAGTGGCAGTTTTCTCCTGTACGCTCACTTCTCCCTCCTGCCACCTTATGAAGAAGGCGCCTGCTTCTCCTTTGCCTTCTGCCATGATTGTGTTTCCTGAGGCCTCCCCATCCATATGGAATTGTGAGTCAATTAAACCCTTTCCTTTATAAACTACCCGATCTCAGGGAAGTTCTTTATAGCAGTGTGAAAAAGGACTAATACAGATGTGGGACTCCCTTATGCATTTCTTTAGGGCCAGTATAGTCGTTAATGAATTGTCTCAGTTTTTGCTTGTCTGGGAAAGACTTTTATTTCTATTTTGAAGGATAGCTTTGCTGAATATAGTATTGTTGCCTAGCAGGTTTTTTCTTTCAGTACTTTGAATATATCATTCTATTCTCTCCAGGCCTGTGAGGTTTTTGCTGAGGAAGATGCTATCAGTCTGATGAAGTTTCCCTTATATGTTATTCGATGCTTTTTTCTTGCTGTTTTTAGAACTCTCTTTGTCTTTGACTTTTTACTGTTTGGGTAAAATGTGCCTTGGAGAAAACCTTATGGGATTGAATCTATATGGAGACCTTTAAGTTTCCTGTGTCTGGATGTGTTTGTCTTTCGCAAGACTTGGAAAGTTTTCAGTTATTATCTTGTTAGGCAAGTTTTCTATACTTTTGCCCATCTCTTCTCTGGAACTCTCAAAATTCAATTATTTATTTGCTTTATGATGGTGTCTTGTGTGTCTCATAGGCTTTATCTATTCTTTTATATTCTTTTTTTTTTGATCTGACTTGGTTATTTGAAAAGAGACAAGTTCTGAATTTTTTCTGTGTCCCCAGCAAATCTCATGTTGAATTGTAATTCCCAGTATTGGAGGTAGGGCCTGATAGGAAGTGATTGGATCATGGGGGTGGTCCTTTATGAATGGCTTAGCACCATCCCCTCAGTGCTGTTTTTATGATAGTGAGTGAGTGAGTTGTTGTGAGATCTGGTTGTTTAAAAATGTGTAGTGTGCATCTCTTCCCTCTGTCTCTTCTTCCTGCTTTGGCCATGTGAAGATGCCTGCTCTGGCTTTGCCTTCTGCCGTGAGTAAAAGCTCCCTGAGGCCTCACCAGAAGCAGATGTTGCCATGCTTCCTGTACTACCTGTGGAACTGTGAGCCAGTTTGAAACTTCTTTTCAAAATTACCCAGTCTTGGCCAGGCATGGTGGCTCATGCCACCAGCCTGGCCAACACGGTAAAACCCCGTCTCTACTAAAAATACAAAAAATTAGCCAGATGTGGTAGGGCATGCCTGTAATATGAGCTACCTGGGAGGCTGAGGCATGAGAATCACTTGGACCCAGAAAGTGGAGGTTGAAGTGAGCCAGGATTGTGCCACTGCACTCCAGCCTGGGCAACAGAGTGAGACTCTGTCTAAAAAAAAAAAAAAAATTACCCAGTCCTTGGTATTTCTTCATAGGAATGCAAGAATAGCCTAATACATCCCTGTATGATTTCTTTGGCTGTAATGAGTGTCAGTGTTGTCTGTGAATTTCTTAGTGGCTTAGGCTGTGGTTGTTAGTGGAAACTGCGGTGAGTCTTTGGTGGGGATGGGGATGTCAGATGGGCTGGTCCTTGGGCACAGTGGTGGTGGGTCTGTATCTGTAGTTGTGGGTCTGAGCTGGGTCAGTTCTTGGGCCTTCTGGTGTCATGCTCAGATGCTAGTGATTACAGTGGTGGGCTGAGTGGGCATTGCCATATGCCCCTGGGTGGTGTGCATGATGTTGGTGGTGGCAGTGGCAGTGGTGTGCCACTTTTGGGCCCCGATTGGTGTGCATGGATGCCAGTGGTGGTGGTGTTGGGCTGGGCAAGACAGTCTCCTGGCCCCCAGGTGGGGTATGTGTGTTGTGGTGGTGGTGCAGTCTTGGCATGTTGATCCCTAGGCCCCCATGAGGTGCACATAGGTGTTTTCAGCTAGATGGGGTGGCCCCCTTTTTATGCCTTTGGACAACCCACATGTGAGTTGCTAGTGGTGGGCAGAGTGGCCGATCCACACACACTTGGATAGCATGTGCAGATGCTGACAGTGATGGTGGTGGGTAGTGTGGGCAGTCCTCTGGCCCTGCTAATGGTGCATGCAGGTGGTGGTGGGCTATGTGGGCCTATTTTCAGTTCCTGGGATGGCATCCAGGCAGACTGGTCTCCAGGCACCCTAAAGGCCCTTGGGAATCCTGCTGCTGGAGGGGTTGAGGTTGCTGTCAGTGGCAGTGGCCTTGTGTAGGTGGCTCTCAGGCTGTGGGGAGTGCATGCTTCTGTTCTTTTTGTCTTTGGGGCAGCCTCCCTGGTGTGCTATGCTGACCTTTTCTCAGGATATAGGGTGATGCATTGGCTATAGTGCAGGGGACCTGGTTGCACTGCTGGGTCCAGCTGGTGTGTCTTGATGCTTCAGGTGGACATGGGAAGATGTCACTGGGGCTTTAGGGATGTGGTTGTAGGGCCCTAGTGGAGGATGTAGTCTAGAGGGGGCTGTGATTTCAAAATGGCACTATGCTGTGGCTGCTTGTGCCTCCAGTGGGTATGTAGGACCCGGCAGTAATGCCTTCTCTGCAATAATGCCATTGTGTGGGCTCCTGAGATCTCCCTCTAATAGTCTCAGGGTCCACAAGGGCCTAGGGGCTTTCCCATGGCTAGGATTGTGGGAGTCTGCAGTGGGAACGTCTATCACTTGGGGATCTCTCATTTACCTTTTTTTCACAATGAGGAGTGCCTCCTGGCACTGAGCCAAACCTGGCTGGCTGCCTTGTTTTCCTCTCCTTTTATGCCTCAGAGCTTTCTTGTCACTTCTGTGCTGAATTTCAGTGTTCTTTCTTAGAAGCTCTGTTTGATGTGTGGTTATCTACTTAGTGTTTTGGTCCTTCTTTGTGAAGGAAGTGAGCCTTAGTCGCCTTTGGTCAGCCATCTTGAAGCCCACCATCATCTCTCTGTTCTGTTTTCGTTTTATTCGAGTAAAGCATTCTTCCATCCAGTGCTCAACTTTGTTGTGTTTTCCTTGGCAACTGTGATACCAAGATGCAGTGGACAAAAGTGCTAAGACTTCTAATCCTGAAAATAGTCAAGAGATGTCACTCGTTAGACATTTGTTAGTTCAATTCTATTTATAATAGGAATTGTTTTCTTCACTTTATTGTTGGATTGTTCCCTGCTAATTTATAGAAATACACTTGACTTTGTATATTGATCATGTGTCCTGCAACATTACTGAACTCGTTTATTAATTCTAATAGTTTTTTTTTAGTGGATTCCTTAGAAATTTCTGTATAGAAGCTTATACCATCAGCTACTAGAGATACTTTTACTTCTTTCTTTCCAATCTGGCTGCCTTTTTATTTCTTTTTCTTACCAAATGGCTTTTCCTCCACTATAATGTTAAATAGAGCTGACAGTGGTGAACATTTTTGTCTTGTTCCTGATCTTAAGGGGAAAGCGTTCAGTCCTTCACCATTAATTATAGTATTAGCCATGATTTTTTTTTTTAAACAGGTGGGGCTGGGCATGGTGGCTCATGCTTGTAATCCCAGCACTTTGGGAGGCCGAGGTGGGCCTATCACGTAAGGTCGGGAGTTCAAGACCAGACTGGCCAATATGGTGAAACCTCATCTCTACTAAAAATACAAAAACTAGCTGGGTGTTGTGGTGGGTGCCTGTAATCCCAGCTACTTGGGAGGCTGAGGCAGGAGAATCACTTGAACCCGCGAGGTGGAGGTTTCAGTGAGCTGAGATCACGCCATTGCACTCCAGTCTGGGTGACAAGAGTGAGACTCCATCTCAAAAATAAATAAACAGGTGGGCTTTATCAGGTCAAGGAAGTTCAATTCTATTTTAGTTTGTTCAGTGTTTTTATTGCAAAAGGATGCTGGAAGCTGGGCATGCTGATGTTTGCCATAGTTCTAGATAGATGAGAGGCTAAGGTGGGAGGATCACTGGAGCCCAGGAGTTTGTGGCCAGCGTGGGCAACATAGCAAGACTCCCATCTCTTAAAAAATAAAGACCTGAAACCAAAAATTTCTATGAGGTAATATCAGAAAAACTCTTCTAAACATTGGCTTAGGCAGAGTTCTTGACCAAGAGCCCAAAAGCAAATGCAACAAAAATAAAAATAAATAGATGGGACCTAATTAAACTAAAAAGCTTTTGTACAGCAAAAGAAATAATCAGCAGAGTAAACAGACAACCCAGAGAATAGGAGAAAATCTTTGCAAACTATGCATTCAACAAAGGACTAATATCCAGAATCTACGAGGAACTCAAATCAGCAAGAATAAAAACAAATAATCCCATCAAAAAGTGGGTAAAGGACATGAATAAACAGTTCTCAAAAGACGATATACAAATGGCCAACAAACATATGGAGAAATGCTCAACATCACTATCAGGGAAATGCAAATCAAAACTACAATGAGATACCACCTTACTCCTGCAAGAATGGCCATAATTAAAAAATAATAATAAAAAGATGTTGACGTGGATGTAGTAAAAAGGGAACACTTTTACATTGGTGGTGGGAATGTAAACTAGTACAACCACTATGGAAAACAGAATGGAGATTCCTTAAATAACTAAAAGTAGAAATACCATTTAATTGAGCAGTCTCACCACCCAAAGGAAGTAAGTCATTATATGAAAAAGATACTTGCAGATCCATGTTTATGTGTGCTATAGCAGCACAATTTGCAATTGCAAAAATAAGGAACCAGCCTAAATGCCCATTAACCAATGAGTGTATAAAGAAACTGTGATATGGACAGCATGGACTACTACTCAGCCATAAAAAGGAACAAAATAATGGCATTTGCAGCAACCTGGATGGAGTTGGAGACTATTATTCTAAGTGAAGTAACAGAGGAATGGAAAACCAAATATCATACGTTCTCACTTGTAAGTGGGAGCTAAGCCATGAGGATGTAAAGACATAAGAAGAGGGATAAAAGACTTCACATTGGGCACCGCATACACTGGTCAGGTGATAGGTATACCAAAATCTTAGAAATCTCCAGTAAAGAACTTACCATATAATCAAGAACCACCTGTTTCCCAAAAACTATTGAAATAAAAAAGGCCACTGGCTTTTTTCTTGCATACATATATTGTGATTACTATGGTTTTTGTCCTTTATTAGTATTACATAGTACATTAATTGATTTTCATATGTTGAACTGACCTTGCATTTCCTGGAATAAAAATCCTACTTGTAATGTTGCTTAGTCCTTTTTTTTTTTTTTTGAGACAGAGTTTTGCTCTGTTGCCCAGACTGGAGTGCAGTGGTGTGATCTCAGCTCACTGCAAGCTTTGCCTCCTGGGTTCACATCATTCTCCTGCCTCAGCCTCCCGAGTAGCTGGGACTACAGGTGCCCGCCACCACGCCTGGCTAATTTTTTGTATTTTTTAGTAGAGACAGGGTTTCACCATGTTAGCCAGGATGGTCTCGATCTCCTGACCTCGTGATCCACCCTCCTTAGCCTCCCAAAGTGCTGGGATTACAGGCGTGAACCACCGCGCCCGGCCCAGTCCTTTTTAATATTGCTGGTAATATTTTGTTGAAGATTCTTGTGTTTGTATTAATAAAAAATATTACTTTGTAGTTTTTGTTTGATGTCTTTGTCTTGTTCTGATATTAGGGTAATACTGGCCCCATATAATTAGTTGGGAAATGTTCTTTCCTTTCGTTTTGGAAGAGTTTATGAAGGATTGATATTAATTATTTGAATGTTTGGTAGATTTCTCCAGAGAAGCCATCTGGGCTGTGCTTTTCTGGGCTGTGCTTTTTTTTGTAGGAAGTTTTAAAAGTACTAATTTGATCTTTTTACTTGTTACAGGCATATTCAGATTTTCTATTTCTTCAGTAATTCGTCTCTTTCTAGGAATTTGTCCATTTCACGTAAATTATCTGATTTGGTGTACAGTTGTCCATAATGTTCTTTTATAATCATTTCTTACTTTTATAAGGTAGTTGGTGATGTTCCATGTCTTATTCTTGATTTTAGTAATTTAAGTCTTTTAAAAAAAATCTTGGTCAATCCAACTAAAGGCCTGTCACATTTATGGATCTTTTCAAAAAACCAACTTTCAGTTTTGCCAATTTTCTCTATTTTCCATTTATTTCCTTTACCTTAATCATTGTCATTTTTTCCTCTGCTTGCCTTAGAGTTAATTTTCTATTCTTTTTTCCAGTTTCTTATGGTGAATGTTTAAGTTATTTGAAATTTTTCATCTTTTTTATTAGAGATATTTATAGCAATAAATGTTCTCCTAAGCAGTTCTTTAGCCACCTCTTGTAAGACTTTTTATTTTTATTTTTTGAGACGGAGTCTCGCTCTGTTGCCCAGGCTGTAGTGCAGTGGCATGATCTCGGCTCACTGCAACCTCTGTCTCCCAGGTTCAAGCAATTCTCCTGCCTCAGCCTCCTGAGTAGCTGGAACTATAGGCACCTTCCACCACGCCTGGCTAATTTTTGTATCTTTAGTAGAGTCGGGGTTTTGCCATATTGGCCAGGCTGGTCTCAAACTCCTGACCTCAACTGATCTGACTGCCTCAGCCTCCCAAAGTGCTGGGATTACAGGCATGAACCACCATGTCCGGCCGCCTCTTGTAAGATTTGACAGGTGGTAGTCTCATTTTTATTCATCTCAAAGTCTTTTCTGTTTTTCTTTGTGATTTCCTCTTTGACTCACTGGTTAATTAGGAGTGTGTTGTTTAATTTCCACATATTTGTATATTCCCTAATTTTCCTACTGTTACAGGAGATCGATTATAGTTTGTGTAATTTCAGCCCTTTTACATTTATTGAAGCTTGTTTATGGCATAACAGGCTCTATCAAGTGTTTCATGAGCACTTGATAACTATGCTGCTGTTGTTGGGTGGAATGTTTTGTAATTGTCTCTTAGGCCTAAAACAGACAATGTTTTGCCCTTAATAAGAAATATATGTAGGTCTCTGGTTCTTTCCCAGTTCTTGGAATGATCCCTTTGATGTCCTGGATGGAGCATCAGGGGAGTGCACCTTTGTTAGTTTGAAGATGGGTGAAGAGACATTACTGTACAAAGGGAGATGAGAAAGGAGGAACCAGTATGGTGCCTCAACTTTAAGTGTGTTCTCAGGCAGATTTATTTGAGGAAGTCCTATAAAGGAGACAAAGGATCTGGAAATGGGTTAGCTTAAAACCATTTGTGGTTCTTTATCTTTTAGTAGGACTTTATTTTTCTCCAGGGGTATGTGTGCCCCAGGGTGAAGATAAATTGAAAGGATCTTGTAAAGAGTTAAGGTTAAGGATTTGCTTTTATATGCACTGGGAAACTACTGAAGTTTTAGGAAATAAACATTTTGTTTTAGTGAGGTTAATCTGTAGTATGGATAATGGGAAGAAGAGACTAGAACTATGGAGCTTATTTAGAGTTTATGCAGAAAGAAATTTACATTCAATTCATTAAAAACTTGTTGAGAATTTATTTTGTGTTAGGCATGGGCTGAGCTCCTCTTGTTCAAGAATTCACAATCACATTCAGTGTTTCAAGTACAGTAATTTTGATATGTCTTAGGTATGGTGGTGGCACAAGAAAAGTTACTGTCTATAGTCTGATAAATTATATATATATATATATTTTTTGTTTGTTTGTTTTAGATTCTGAGCTCTGGATGCAGATATCACATACTTACTAGATTTCGCCATTTGGATGTCTCCCAGGGACGTCAACTACATGTCTAGATGGAGATCATGATCTTTAGTCATCTCCAGTCTGTTCTTGTTTTAGTATTTTTGGCTCAATAAATGATGTTAGTCAGGTAAAGTTACAATTTTGCAAGTCCATATTCAGTTAGTCACCAAGTATTAATGCTTCTAAATATCTCTTGAGGTAAGGGTAGCAGGCCACCATTATACCATTATCTCTTTTTGGACTGCTGGATCAGGTTTTTTATTTTTATTTTTATTTATTTATTTTTTAATTTCAGATGAGCTCTTACAATATTGCCCAGGATGGAGTGCAGAGGCAGTTTACAGGAGCAGTCATCACACACTGCAGCCTCAAACTCCTGGGGTTATGTGATTCCTCCTGCCCCAGCCTCCTAAGTGGAACTACAAGCATACACCACCATGCTGGGCAGAATCTTCCTGCTTTCAATTTTGCTATTCTTTCTCCCTTTTCTGCACTGTAACTTCCCAAGTGATTTTAATAAAAACAAACCATGTCTTGGCACTCCCTTTCTTAAAACCTTTTTATTGCATCATTTAGGATAAAGTCCACATTTCTTAAAATGACTTAAAAGCAACTTGGACTTCTGGTTCCTGCTTACTTCACCAGCTTTGTCCCAATCACCAAGCTACTAATCTGCCATATTGAACTTTTTGAGTTTAAAATGTGGCATATTCTCTGTAACCTGCTGTTCTTGCAGATCTGGTCCTGATTTATGTCTCTGACTACTTCTTTTATTTATTTATTTATTTTTGGATAGGATCTTGTTCTGTTACCCGAGGCTGGAGTGCTGTGGTGTGATCATGGCTCACTGCAGCCTCGACCTCCTGGGCTCAAGGGACTGTAGATGCATGCCAGCACATCTGGCTAATTTTTAAATTTTTTTGTAGAGATGGAGTCTCACTATGTTGCCCAGGCTGGTCTCCAGCAGTCCTTCTGCCTCAGCCTCCTAATGTGCTGAGATTACAGGGGTGAGCCACTGCACCCAGCTTCTAACTACCTCTCTAAGTCTCCCTCTTTCCAGCTGTATTATCCAACCAATCAAGTATCTTTTAGTTCCTAAGAGTTATTCTTTCTCTTGCCTTTTGGCTCTTTGCACATGCTCTTCTAACACTTTTACTCCTTTTCACCCATTTTTGCCTTACTCCTATTCATTCTTTAGTTTTCAGGTTGTTTGTTCAAGGAGGCCTTCCTTGACCCCTAGACCAGGTTTAATTTTTCTGCCACATGCACCCACTGAACCTTTTATGTGCTTTAGCAATTGCACTCAACATATTTTATAAGGATTACTTGTTTTTCTTCTCCACAGCACTGTGAGCTTTGAAAGGACAGCATCTGGGTCTGTCTGGTTCACTACTGTATCTCCAGACCTGGCATCTTGCTAGACACATGGAAAATGCTCAGTGCATATGTACTGAATGTTGAGAAATGACTATCATAATTAACTTTGCTCGGGTGGATCAGGAAATGTCTCAGAGACAAGGAAATGCATGAGTTGGGGCTTGAAAAATGAGTAGGTAGGCCAGGCGTGGTGGCGGCTCATGCCTGTAATCCCGGTACTTTGGGAGACTGAGGTGGGTGGATCACTTGAGCCCAGGAGTTTGAGGCCAGCCTGGGCAACATAGTAGGACCCTATGTCAACAGAAAATACAAAAATTAGCTAGGTGTGGTGGTGCGTATCTGTAGTAACAGCTACTCTGGAGGCTGAGGTGGGAGGATCACTTGAGCCTTGGAGGTTGAGGCTGCAGTGAGCCATGATCATGCCACTGCACTGCAGCCTGGGCAACAGAGCAAGACGCTGCCTCAGAAAAAACAAGAAAAAAAAATGAGTAGGTATTTTCAGGATATTGGAGTGAGAATGAGGGTGATGAGGGGAAGGGCATTTTGGGAGGACAGAACACCATTTGCAAAGGCACAAAGATATGAAAAAGCACAGGCCATTAGGCAGCTGACTGCCCATAGTTCCAACCAGGTAGAGTGTGAATTTGAGGGATTTTTGAGAGATGGGACTAGATGATGAGATGATGAAGAAGAGACAAGATCATGGAGGGCCTTAAAGGTAATTGTCTTCTGGTTGGCATTAGGAGCCATTCATGTTAAGGAGGATATTTTAACATTTATTAAACTTTTGTTATGTCTTAGGTTTTTTTCTAAAAATGTATTATTTAATACAACAGTCTTCTTTCCGTCAGCTGTGATTCATCTTAAGTGAGTGAAGGCTAGTATCTTATTTATCCTGATACACTAGGTGTTTATAATTATATCCTAAGCAAGATCATTATTCTTTGAAATCAGATTTTGTGTATTATACTTCTCTATATCCCACAGAGAACTTAGGTCATTTTTGGTACAGTTTTGATATACTCTTATCAATGCCTCTTTCAAAATGAGTACAGCATACCAGATGAATCCTGTAGAATAGTGCTTTTACTACCTGTGTTCCTTGCTCTCTGCTTTGTTAATGAAATTGACAATGGCATTAATATTTTTGGGTGTAGTTGGCCAGGCGTGGTGGCTCACACCTGTAATCCCAGCACTTTGGGAGGCTGAGGTGGGCGGATCACGAAGTCAGGAGATCGAGACCATCCTGGCTAACATGGTGAAACCCCATCTCTACTAAAAAATACAAAAAATCAGCTGGGTGTGGTGGCAGGCACCTGTAGTCCCAGTTACTTGGGAGGCTGAGGCAGCAGAATGGCGTGAACCCAGGAGGTGGAGCTTGCAGTGAGCGGAGATCACGCCACTGCACTCCAGCCTGGGCGACAGAGCGAGACTCCGTCTCAAAAAAAAACTTAAAAGTATAATAATAATAAAATTAAAAAAAATTATATATATATATTTATTTTTTTTTTGGTGTAGTAATTTTCGGTTTATGTTTTGGTTATGTTTATGTTTATTTGCCAAAGCTTATCAAGCTTTTGACATGAATTACTTTTAAGATTTTTTTATTTGTAGTTGATCTTTGGAACCTAAATTAGGAATTTTAATATTTATTCCTGTTAAACTGTTTTAGTTTCTAATTCTGACTTTTTTTAAATTTGGATCTTATTTATATATTTGCATAACTAATAGAGGCTTAAAAATCCCATGATAGGGTATTCACCACTGTGATGCTTCCCTTGCCCATTCAGTTCTCTACTTTTTCCACGGTTGTTCCTTATATATTTTTCTGGAGTTTCTCTGTGCATTCACAATACTAGCAAATATTAATGCATATTCTTACATTTTGTTTTTCTTTTGATACTAAAAGTAGCATGCTATATTCACTGTTCAGCGAATTTCTCCCTCTAGTTAATACTTCTTGGAGATCTTTTAATATAGTCCATAGGGAGAGTCCTTATTTTAAAAATCTGAATAATGTTCTAGTACATGGATATGCCATAATTTAACCAGTTCTCTATTAATGGATATTTGCATTATGTACATTTTTTGCTAATAGAAACAGTGCTTCAGTGAGTGACCTTGTATATACTTGCCGATCCTCATTTACACTTGTGCAAATATACCTGTAAGATAAAGTTACAGATGTTGGACATGTAGAATCTCTGAGTGTACGCACTTGTCTTTCAGTGGTGGTTTAAAGTTTTTTTGTTTTTCTTTTTTTATATAGATCTTGCCCATTTCTTAGTTTGTTCTTAGGTAGTTACCTTTTTGTAGTTGTTGTAAGTGGGATCTTTTCAATGATTGTATTTCTGTTGATTCCATATATTTATGTATGTGTGTATATATGTATGTGTGTATATATACCTTACTCTTATTGTAGCTTTTTTTCTAGTTGATTATCTTGGGTTTTTTGAGTATGTGAAATCACCTACAGAATAGTGTTTATTTTTTCCCTTTCTGTCCGCACCTGATACTAATAACAAAGTGTCTTTATGTTTCCTTTTTTTAAATTGAGACGGAGTCTCACTCTGTTCCTCAAGCTGGAGTGCAGTGGCGCAATCTCAGCGCACTGCAACCTCCACCTCCCTGGTTCAAGTGATCCTCCTTCCTCAGCCTCCCGAGTAGCTGGGATTACAGGCATGCGCCACCATGCCCGGCTAATTTTTTGGTATTTTCAGTAGAGATGGAGTTTCACTATGTTGGCCAGGCTGGTCTCGAACTCCTGGCTTCAAGTGATCCGCCCACTTCAGCCTCCCAAAGTGCTGGGATTACATGCATGAGCCACTGCACCTGGCCGTGTTTGTGTTTACTTTTGCATTATTAAATAATCTTATACTTCTTACTTGGTTTGTGTTATATTAAGCATTCACAATATATATCAAGTATATCAGAATATCTAAATGATATAATTTCAATTCCAGTGGTTACAGATGAGGCCATCGGTACCTTTAATCTGCCTCTCACCTTCTTTCCTTTTCAGTTTTTTCTTGTGTGTGTCATTCTGCATTATCAGGGCATATAACCTTTATATCCTGTCACTCTAATCTCCATATTTGTTTTATTCTTAGTTCAGCTATCAAATTTATTCAGTGCTCATTGTCAGCTCTTTTTTGTGAAATTTCCTCAAAACTATCCTGTTTCCTCAATAAGAGATCATGAGCAAGATATTCCCTGAGTTTTTGGGTGTTCAGCACTGTTTGTAGCTTTTATACTTTATTCTCTAAGGACATCTTGGTTGCATGGAACATCTTTTGCTTATATTTTCTTTCCTTCAGTGTCTTTAAAATGTTTCTCTAGTGTCTTTCAGTGTTAGATATTGCAGTGGAGAAATCTGAGGCTAGTATGACTTTAAACCCCTTTCATTTTTCTTTTTAAGTTTTAAAGTCTAATAAATTTTCTAGGTTATGTCTTGTGTTGAGCATTCTGTGTCAGTGTTTCTTGGCACAAAATATTTGTTAAAGTATTTTTCATCCTCCCACAAGAAAACCTTTCTGAATTATATCTCTGTAATTATATTTCTGAATTAATCTTCTCTTGTTTTGAGTTTGTTTAGGAATTTCAATTATGCATATATTAGATTCCTTTTGCCATCCGCTCTAGCTGTAATTTTTTTCTGTAATCTCCCTTCAAGTTTGTGGGTTGATTTTTTTTTTTTTTTTTTTTTTTTTTTTTTTAAGACAGAATCTTGCTCTGTCACCCAGGCCAGAGTGCAGTGGCACGATCTCGGCTCACTTGTGCTCCACCTCCTGGGTTCAAGCCATTCTCCTGCCTCAGCCTCCTGAGTAGCTGGGACTACAGGCGCCTGCCACCATGCCCGGCTAATTTTTTGTATTTTTTAGTAGTGACGGGGTTTCACTGTGTTAGCCAGGATGGTCTCAATCTCCTGACCTCGTGATCCGCCCACCTCAGCCTCCCAAAGTGCTGGGATTACAGGCGTGAGCCACTGCACCCGGCTGTGGGTTGATGTTTTTAATCAGTTTGGGGAAAATATCAGTCATTATCTTTGTGAATATTGTTTTTCTTGTATTCTCTTTTTTTTTAGGACTCTAGTAGTAAGTTTTTTAGATCTTTTGATCAAGTTTTACATGTCTATTATACTCTTACTTGTTTTTTCCTCTCTGTTTCAGTTTAGATATTTTCTTTTTTTTTTTTGTTAGTTTTTATTTCATACTCATAAACTTAACTCTGCAATCCAACTAGGCATGGAAGAGAATGAGGAAAATATGGAACCCAAAGACCTGCAGCAAGAGCACAGTGATTATAGGATGCTGCGAGCAAATGGAGTGGAGGGGTGCTCTCCTGAGCTACGGAAGGAATGGTCTGATGGTTAAGATAAAGCACAAGTCAAATTTATTAGAATTGTCCACAGTCGGCAATGGTGATCTTCTCACTGGTCTTGCCGTTTCTGGATCTAGAGCACTCCATGGCCTGCATAATATTAATGCTATTATTCACCTTGCCAAAGACCACATGCTTGCCATCCAACCACTGAGGTCTTGGCAGTGCAGATGAAAAACTGGGAACCATTTGTGTTGGGTCCAGCATTTGACATGGACAAGATGCCGGGACTTGTATGCTTCAGAGTGAAGTTCTTATCATCAAATTTCTCCCTATAGATGGACTTGCCACCAGTGCCATTATGGTGTGTGAAGTCACTACCCTGACACATAAACTCTGGAATAATTCTGTGAAAGCAGGAACACTTATAACCAAATGCATTCTTTCCAGTGCTCAGAGCATGAAGTTTTCTGCTGTTTTTGAAACTTTGTCTGCTAACAGCTTGAAGGAGATGCAGCCCAAGGGCGTACCGTCCACAGTGATGTCGGGGTTCTGGGTAGTGTCGTTGTCTACAAAGACAGTTCAGATATTTTCTATTGATCTGTCTTCAAGTTCACTAATTCTGTGTTCTGCTTTGTGGTGAAAACATTTAAAACCTACTCTTTTAATAATGCTCTAGAATAGTGTTTGTCAAAGTTTAACATAGAAAGGTGTTACCTGGAATCTTTTTTTTTAAAAATTTTTATTTTAGGTCCAGAGGTACATGTGCACATTTTTTATATAGGTAAATTGCGTGTTATGGAGGTTTGTCGTATGATTATTTCGTCACCCAGGTAGTAAACATAGTATGCAATAGGTTGTTTTCTATTTTCACCCTCCTCCCACCACCCACCCTCACATAGGCCCTAGAGTCTATTGTTCCCTTCTCTGTGTTCATGTATACTCAGTGTTTAGCTCCCACTCATAAGTGAGAACATGCAGTATTTAGTTTTTATTTTTCTGTGTTAGTTCACTTGGGAAAATGGCCTCCAGCTCCATCCATGTTACTGTGAAGGACATGATCTCATTCTTTTTTATGGCTGTGTAGTATTCCATGGTGTATATGTAACACATTTTCTTTATCCAGTCTGGCATTGATGGGCTTTTAGATTGATTCTATGTTTTTGCTATTGTGAATAGTGCTGCGAAGAACATACACATGCATATGTCTTTATGGCAGAATGATTTATATTCCTTTGGATATATACCCAGTAATGGGATTGCTGATTGGATATATACCCAGTAATGTGATTGCTGGTTGAATATATACCCAGTAATGGGATTGCTGGGTTGAATGGTAGTTCTGTTTTAAGTTCTTTGAGAAATTGCCAAACTTCTTCCACAATGGCTGAACCAATTTACATTTCCACCAGCAGTGTATAAGCGTTCCCTTTTCTCTGTAACCTTGCCAGTGTCTATTATTTTTTGACTTTTAAATAATAGTCTTTCTGACTGGTGTTAGATGGTGTCTCATTGTGGTTTTGATTTACACTTCTCTAGTGATCAGTGATATTGAGCTTTTTTTTTCATATGCTTGTTGGCTGAGTGTGTGTTTTCTTTTGAAAAGTGTTCATGTTTTTTGCCTTTTAATGTGTTTTTTTTTGTTTGTTTTTTGCTTGTTAATTTGTTTAAGTTCCTTAAGATTCTGGATATTAGACCTTTGTTGGATGCATAGTTTGCAGATATTTTCTCTCATTCTGTAGGTTGTTTATTCTGTTGATAGTTTCTTTTTCTGTGCAGAAGCTGTTTAGTTTAATTAGGTCCCATTTGTCAGTTTTTGTTTTGTTGCAGTTGCATTTTTGTCATGAAATCTTTGCCAGAGCCTATGTCCAGAATGGCATTTCCTAGGTTTTCTTCTAAGATTTTTATAGTTTGAGGTTTTACATTTAACTCTTTAATCCATCTTAAGTTGATTTTTGTATATGATGTAAGGAAGGGTCTAGTTTCAGTCATCTGCATATGGCTACCCAGTTATCCCAGCACCATTTATTGAATAGGGAGTTCTTTCCCCATTGCTTGTTTTTGTCAGCTTTGTCAAATTTCAGATGGTTGTAAATGTGCAGCTTTATTTTTGGGCTGTCTATTCTGTTCAATTTGCCCATGTGTTTGTTTTTGTACCAGTATCATGCTCTTTTGGTTTCTATAGCCTTGTAGTATAGTTTGAAGGTTTGAAGTCAGGTAATGTGATGCTCCCAGCTTTGTTCTTTGCTTAGGATTGTTTTGGCTATTTAGTTCTTTTTGGTTTCATATGAATTTTAGAATAACTTTTTCTAATTCTTTGAAAAATGTCATTGGTAGTTTGATAGGACTAGCATTGAATCTGTAGATTGCTTTGGGCAGTATGGCCATTTTAACAATATTGGTTTCTTCATGAGCATGGGAATGTTTTTTTCATTTGTATGTGTCATCTTTGATTTCTTTCAGCAGTGTTTTGTAATTCTTTCAACTGAACTTTTGATGAACTTTTAATTGATCAGAGTCCCCAGAGCCCCTAGTCACAGAGTGAGTTTACATCCACCTGGCAATTATTTTCTACTGGGTCTTCACTGAATGGGGGGTGGAAATATGCCAAAAGAAAGAGGACAGGTCAGGGAGACTGTGGGGCAACGCTTAAGATTCATGGGGTTTTTACTTAAGTGCATGGCTGTGTTGTGCCAGAGACTGAGGACAGGGTAGGAAAGCTGAGAGAGATCCTCCTGAGGCATGTGAGGACATTATCAAGTGCATAGCAGCATCCTGCAGAAAACTGAGAGCAGGGCAGCAGGGTAAAGGGTGATTTCCTGAAGTACAGAAAGCCTGGGGCATACAAGGCTGGCAGCTGGCTGTGTAAATCAGAGAGAGAGAGACAAAGAGAAAGATCAAGTTCTGTGCTTTGTGAAGCAGAGAGAGGTTATGATTTATCTGGACTGGAAAGTGGTAGATATTAAGAATTTTACCAGTGCCCAGATTCCTAACCCTGGTGAAGAAAAAGTTCTGATCTAGCATCTAAAACATTTGAAGCACTGGTGAAATAAATCAAAATTTAAGCTGAAAGAAAGCTGGGCTCATCTTAAGTACGTGTTAGAAGTATTATTTCCTTTAGCCTCTACTGTTCTTTTACACAGTACTGTCTGTCATACAGTAAAAAGCTATGAGACATGCCATGAAGGAGGATAAAGCGATTCATAATTAAAAGACAAAATAGTCAATAGAAGTAGCCTTACAGATGGCCCAGGTGTTGGAATTAGCAAATAGGGGACTTTAGTATTGTAATAAATATACTAAAGCCTGTAGGGGAGGTGGACAACATGTATGAACAGATGGGGAATTTCTTTCTTTTTCTTGTTTTTTTTTTTTTTTCTCTTGAGACAGGGTCTGGCTGTGTTGCCCAGGCTGGAGTGCAGTGGCATGATCTCGGCTCACTGCAGCCTCTTCCTCCTGGGCTCAAGGCATGCTCCCCACTCAGCCTCCCAAGTAGCTGGGACTACAGGCACATGCCACCACACCCAGCTAATTTTTGTACTTGTTTTATAGAGACAGGGTTTTGCCATGTTGTGCAGGCTGGTCTCAAACTCCAGAGCTCAAGTGATCTGCCTGTCCTGGCCCCCAAAGTTCAGGGAATACAGACGTGGA
This sequence comes from Homo sapiens, assembly GCF_000001405.40. Taxonomy (NCBI): domain Eukaryota; kingdom Metazoa; phylum Chordata; class Mammalia; order Primates; family Hominidae; genus Homo; species Homo sapiens. The sequence continues at coordinate 50,723,058 of NC_000003.12, forward strand.
CCACCATGCCTGGCCTCAGATGGAGAATTTCATCAGGGAAATGAAAACTGAAAAGAACCACGTGAAAATTTTTAGAACCAGAAAGTAGAGAAGAATTCATTTGGTGGTCTTGCAGACAGGACATAGCAGCAGGAAAATATGAAGCAGTCTATACACAGGTCCATAGAGATTACCCATACCAAACCGTAAAAAGAAAGCTGGTTGACAGTAAAGCTAAAGAGACCTTCTGAGATCTGTGGGACAAAATGAAACTAACATATTGGTAGTTAGAGTCCTGAAAGAAGAGTAGACGGAAAGTGGAATAAAAGAAATAATTCAAAAAGTAATGACTGGGTGGGTGTGGTGGCTCATGCCTGTAATCCCAGCACTTTGGGAGGCTGAGGCGGGGGGATCACTTGAGGTCAGGAGTTTGAGAACAGCCTGGCCAACATCGCGAAACCTCGTATCTACTTTGGAACAGAACAGAGGCCTCAGAAATAACACCACACATCTACAACCATCTGATCTTTGACAAACTTGACAAAAACGAGCAATGGGGAAAGGATTCCCTATTTAATAAATGGTGCTGGGAAAACTGGCTAGCCATATGCAGAAAGCTGAAACTGGATCCCTTCCTTACACCTTTTACAAAAATTAACTCAAGATGGATTAAGGACTTAAACGTAACACCTAAAACCATAAAAACCCTAGAAGAAAACCTAGGCAATGCCATTCAGGACATACACATGAGCAAAGACTTCATGACTAAAACACCAAAAGCAATGGCAACAAAAGCCCAAATAGACAGATGGGATCTAATTAAACTAAAGAGCTTCTTCACAGCAAAAGAAACTATCATCAGAGTTAACAGGAAACCTACAGAATTGGAGAATATTTTTGCAATCTATCCATCTGACAAAGAGCTAATATCCAGAATCTACAAAGAACTTAAGCAGATTTACAAGAAAAAAACAACCCCATCAAAAAATGGGCAAGGGATATGAAAAGACACTTCTCAAAAGAAGACATTTATGTAGCCAACAAACTTATGAAAAAAATCCTCATCATCACTGGTCATTAGAGAAATGCAAATCAAAACCACAATGAGATACCATCTCATGCCAGTTAGAATGGCGATCATTAAAAAGTCAGGAAACAATGGATGCTGGAGAGGATGTGCAGAAATAGGAATGCTTTTACACTGTTGATGGGAGTGTAAATTAGTTAAGCCACTGTGGAAGACTGTGTGGCAATTCCTCAGGGATCTAGAATAGAAATACCATTTGACCCAGCAGTCCCATTACTGGGTATATACCCAAAGGATTATAAATCATTCTATAAAGACACATGCACACGTATGTTTATTGCAGCACTTTTCGCAATAGCAAAGTCTTGGAACCAACCCAAATGCCCATCAATGATAGACTGGATAAAGAAAATGTAGCACATATACACCATGCAATACTATGCAGCCATAAAAAAGGATGAGTTAATGTCCTTTGCAGGGACATGGATGAAACTGGAAACCATCATTCTCAGCAAAGTAACACAGGAAGAGACCACCAAACACTGCATGTTCTCACTCAGGTGGGAATGGAACAATAACACATGGACACGGGGAGGGGAACATCACACACCGGGGCCTGTCGGGGGATGGGGGTCTGGGGGAGGGATAGCATTAGGAGAAATACGTAATGTAAGTGACAAGTTGATGGGTGTAGCAAACCAACATGACACATGTATACCTATGTAGCAAACCTGCACGTTGTGCACATGTACCCCAGACTTAAAGTATATATAAAAAGAAATAGCTGGGCATGGTGGCACACACTTGTAATCCTAGCCACTCGGGAGGCTGAGGCAGGAGAATCACTTGAATCTGGGAGGCAGAGGTTGCAGTGAGCCGAGATAGTGCCACTGCACTCCAACCTGGGCAGCAGATGAGATTCTGTCTCAAAAAAAAAAAAAAATAATAATGACTAAGAATTTCCAAGTCGTGATGAAAGATACCACCTCACAGATCCAACATGTTCAAGGAAACTCAACTGCATCACCTAGGTAAATTATACTCAAAGAAAATCTTAAAGTTAGCCAGAGATAAAAGGCATCTTATGAAAGCAACAAGAAGAATGAATAATAACAACATCTTATGGCGTTTATCACATATATAAAGGACAAATATGACAATAAGAGCACAAATGGTGGGTAAATAGAGATACTAAATAAGGTTCTCATGTTGTTTCTGAGATAGTAAAATATTATTTAGAGAAGGACTATGGTAAATTAAGGATGTGTATTATAATCACTAAAGTACTAAAAACACAAGCACTGTTCCTAAACAGTTAGTAAAAGAGACAAGTGAAATTGTGAAATGTTTTCTATTAACCAAAAACAAAGGAGGGACCTGAGGTCACCAAAAATGGAAGAGTAAGGAGCTTCAGTGATTCATTCCTCTACTGATACAGTGATTAAAGTGGCAAAAATGTCAGAATGAACCTTTTTGGAACTCTGGTATCCAATAAAAAATAACCACCAAGTGAATGCTTAATGAAGAAAGAGGCTGATAAATTTTGATACAAGGGTATTGTGGCACTTTTGCTTACCTACTCACCGTCTCCCATTCTTGGTGGCAGCAATGGGGATAGTGACCTATATTCCTGGTATGGTTTGCTGGTGCCAGAGGAGGCCCATGTGGACTTTGTCTCAAATAATTGTGGTTGTACATTTTGACCTGTCTGCTATGAGGGATTGGTTTAGGGGCTTGCTTTTGTTTTGTCCCTCCTCAGAACTTTCTCAGGGTTGGAGTAGCCTCCCGGGTGGCATTTGTTGAAAATATTTGAAGGCATATACAGTCATCCCTTGGTATCTCTTGGAGTAATTGTGAAAAGAGAACAAAAATTCCCAAGTGATTCTTACAGGGTACACCCTTTTATGTTACAATGTCGCGGATATAAAAATTCAATGTTGCTTAAATGCATGACATAAAATGGAATAGTATTTGCATATAACCTGTGCACATCCTCCCATATACTTTAAATATTTTCTCTACTACTTATAATACCTAACACAATGTATAATGCTATGTACATAGTTTTGTATTGTTTAGGGAATAATGACAAGATTTTTAAAAGCCTGTATATGTTCAGTACAGATGCAATTTTTTTCCTGAATATTTTTGATTCACAATTGGTTGAATCCATGGATACAGAACTCTGTGGATTCAGCAGGCTGACTGTACTACCTTCAGCCATTCAGAAGAAGGGACAATATTTGGGGCAAGCAGCAGAGAGACTGAAAAATCTAGGAAGGGAGAGACTGGGGAAGGAGATACAGGAGGTATAAGGACTTTGTAAAGTGTATATTGGAGAATCCAGAAGTCCATGTACATACCAGGGCTAGACCTATACTGAAAAAAGACCTGAGAAGACCTTAAGCTTGTACTTTTGACTGATCTTCCGGCTCTGTGTGAGCAGGAAGTAAAGGCTAAGGCTGAGTTATAAGTGGCCTTGGTAAGCACTGAAGGAGAGCCCTAAGTCAGGCCAGTCTGCAAAGACTAGGAGAGTATTATTATTATTTTTTTTCTGTTTTGACTCTAGGCATTTAAGGAAATTTGTCAAATTGCAAGATGACTACTAAGCCAATGGAAAAGAGACTTAAGTGATCACAGCACAAAGAATTTACTCTTTACAAAACTAGTTTTAAAAATTCACTAAACAAATATAACCCACAACAACAGCAAACTCTGGGGAGGGAGAATAATCTGATTTCCAGAGTTACCACATTATAATATTCAAAATGGCTGGATTTTAACAAAAAAAATTGTGAGACTTGCAAAGAAACAAAATGTGTAGCCTATTCACAGGGGGAAAAAGAAAGAATAGAACCTTTCCATGAGAAAGCTTGATCATTGAACTTACTAGAGAGAGGTTTTAAGTCAGCTGTCTTAAATATACACAAACAGCTAAAGGAAACCATGGGCATAGAACTAAGGGAAGCCAGGAGAATAATGTCTCACTAAAAAACAGAGGAGGCACAGAAGAACAAATGGGACTGTTAGAACCAATAGAAAACAAATATCAAGATTGTAGACTTAGGCCAAACCATATAATTACATCATTAAATGTAAATTGAATAACCATTTAAGAGACCAACACAAACTGGTTAAAGAAAGCAAGATCCCAAGCCTATGGTGTTTAGAGGAAAAGTACTTTAAAGATGAAGACATAGAAAGGTTATAACTAAAACGACAGAAAAAAGATATGCCATGCAAATGTTATGCATAAGAAATCTGTTATGTCTGTATTAATATGAGACAAAGTAGACTTCAAGAAAGGGAATATTACTAGAGAAAAAAGACATTTAATAATGGTGAAAAGGTTGGCCAGGTGTGGTGGCTCACGCCTGTAATTCCAGCACTTTGGGAGGCCGAGGTGGGCAGATCACCTGAGGTCAGGAGTTCGAGACCAGCTTGGCCAACATGGTGAAACCCCATCTCTACTAAAAATACAAAAATTAGCTGGGTGTGGTGGCACGTGCCTATAATCCCAGATACTCGGGAGGCTGAGGCAGGAGAATTGCTTGAAACCGGGAGGCAGAGGTTGCAGTGAGCCATGATTGCGCCACTGCACTCCAGCCAGGGTGATAGAGTGAGGCTCCTCAAACAAAACAAAACAAAACAAAAAAGGATGAAAGGGTCAATTTATTGAAGATATAAAAATCCTAAATGAGCATGCACAGTTAATAGAGCTTTAAAACAAGCTATAAGCAAAACAAGCTAAAGAAGCAAAAATTGAGAACTAAAGAGATAGACACATCTATAATAATAGCTGGAGATTTTAACATCCGTTTTTTAGTAACCAATAGAAGAAACAGACATTATCTCAGTAAGGTTTTAGTAGATTTAAACCACACTATCAACCAAAACTTGACAAAATTGAAATTTTAGATCATTATACCCAACAGAGTACACAGTTTTCAGTTGCTTATATACTTACTGACGTAGATCATATGATGGGCCAAAAAACATGTCTTAATAAATTTTAGAGAACTGAAATCATACAGCATGTGTTCTTTAATTAAAATGAAATAAAAACCGTAAAATAATCAGGAAACTTTCAAATATTTGGAAATACTTCTAAGTAACCCAGGGCCATAAAAAATCACAGAGGAAATTAGAAAATATTTTGTCATGCAGGGTAGTCTGGAAAAAAAGGAAAATATTTTGAATTGAATGATAATGAATACGTAACATCCAAAATTTGTGGGTGCAGTAAAGCAATGCTGAGAAGAAATTTTATAGTTTTAAATACTTATGTTAGAAGGAAAGAAAAACTTAAACAATCTAAGCTACCCACAAGAGAAACTAGAAATAGAATGGTATGTTAAACCCAAATAATGTTAGAAGGAAAGAAATAAAGATAAGAGCTGAAATCAATTAAAGAGAAAATAGACAGATTAGAGAAAATAAGTAAAGCCTAAAGTGGTTTTTTGAAAGTATTGATAAAAATGATAAATCTCTTGCAATACTGATGAATTAAAAAACAGGGAAGACATGTTTGTAATGAAAGTAGGGGAGACATCAGGGAATATTATGAACCATTTTACTTTAAATATTGCTTGAATGGCTCAGTTGAACAAAGTTGACACAGGAAGAAACAGAAAACCAGAGTGATACTATATTAAATAAATAGAATTTTTTTTTTTTGAAATGGATTCTTGCTCTGTTGCCCAGGCTGGAGTGCAGTGGTGCGATCTCGGCTCACTGCAACCTCTGCCTCCAGAGTTCAAGCAATTCTCCTGCCTCAGCCTTCTGAGTAGCTGGGATTACAGGTACCTGCCACCGCATTGGGCTAATTTTTATATTTTTAGTGGAGATGGGGGTTTCACCATGTTGGCCATGCTGGTCTCAAACTCCTGACCTCTAGTGATCTGCCCGCCTCGGCCTCCCAAAGTGCTGGGATTACAGGTGTGAGCCACCGTGCCTGGCCTGTTTTTCTTTTTTTGGCCAGGCACGGTGGCTCATACCTGTAATCCCAGCACTTTGGGAGGCCGAGGCAGGTGGATCACTTGAGCTCAGGAGTTCAAGACCAGCCTGCGCAACATGGCAAAACCCATCTCTACAAAAAAATACAAAAATTAGCCAGGTGTGGTGATGTGGTGTGCCTGTATTCCCAGCTACTCGGGAGGCTTAAGGTGAGATCGCTTGAGCCCAGGAACTTGAGGCTGCAGTGAGCTGTGATTGCGGCGCTGCACTCCAGGGCAGGCAAAATAGCAAGGACCTGTCTCCAAAAAAAAAAAAAGTTGTTTATTTTTATTTTTATTTTATTTATTTATTTATTTATTTTTATTTATTTATTTATTTTATTATTATACTTTAAGTTTTAGGGTACATGTGCACAATGTGCAGGTTAGTTACATATGTATACATGTGCCATGCTGGTGCGCTGCACCCACTAACTCGTCATCTAGCATTAGGTATATCTCCCAATGCTATCCCTCCCTATTTTATTTATTTTTTAAGAGAGGGTCTCATTCTGTTGTCTGGGCAGGAGTACAGTGGCTCGATCATAGCTCACTGTAACCTTGAACTCTTGGGCTCAAGTGATCTACTTCAGCCTCCCCAGTAGCTAGGACACACCACCATACCAGACTAATTAATTTTTTTTTAATAGATGGGATCTCGCCATGTTGTCCAGGCTGATTTTGAACTCCTGGCCTCAAGTGATCCTCTCAGCCTCCCATATTGCTGGGATTACAGGTGTGAGTCACTGTGCCTGCTCTGAATTTCATTTTTTTTTTTTTTTTTTTTTTGAGATGGAGCCTCACTTCAGTGGCCCAGGCTGGAGCACAGTGGCACAGTGTAACCTCTGCCCCCTGGGTTTAAGTGATTCCCCTGCCTCAGCCTCCCGACTAGTTGGGATTACAAGTGCCTGCCATCACACCCAGCTAATTTTTGTATTTTTGTATGTTGGCCAGGCTGGCCGAATTTCTGATAAAAGAACTTTCCCACCAAAAAAACTCAAGTTCCAGATGGTTTCACTTGTGAATTAATTCTATGACACATTTAAGGAAGAAGTAATACTAACTTTGCACTAACGCTTTTAAAAATATATATTTATTTTTTGAGACAGAGTCTCACTCTGTCACCCAGGCTGGAGTGCAGTGGCGTGATCTCAGCTCACTGCAACCTCTGCCTCTCAGGTTCAAGCGATTCTCCTGCCTCAGCCTCCCAAGTGGTTGGGATTACAGGTGCCCGCCACCATGCCCAGTTAATTTTCTGTATTTTTAGTAGAGATGGGGTTTTGCCATGTTGGCCAGGCTGGTCTCAAACTGCTGACCTCAAGTGATACACCCATCTTGGCTTCCCACAGTGCTGGGATTACAGGCGTGAGCCGCTGTGCCCGGCTGCACAAACACTTTCAGAAAGCAACAGAGGACGAAACATTTTCTAACTCATTTATTAAGCCAGCATAACCTTGATCCAAAGCCTAAGGAGATTAAAATAAAATTGTCCAGGTGTGGTGGCTCATGCCTGTAATTGCAGCGCTTTGGGAGGTCGAGGTGGGAGGGTCTCTTGAGGCCAAGAGTTTGAGACCAGCCTGGCCAACATAGTGTCTCTACATTGTCTCTACAAAAAATTAAAAAATTAGCCAGGTGCTGTGGTGTGCACCTGTAGTCCTAGCTACTTGGGAGGCTTAGGTGGGAGAATTGCTTGAGCCCAAGAGTTTGAGGCTGCAGTGAGCTAGGATCACACCACTGCACGCCAGCCTGGGTTACAAAGCGAGATCCCATCTCTAAAAAAATATTCCTTTTGGCCGGGCGTGGTGGCTCATGCCTGTAATCCCAGCACTTTGGGAGGCCGAGGTGGGTGGATCACGAGGCCAGGAGATCGAGACCATCCTGGCTAACGTGGTGAAACCCCGTCTCTGCTAAAAATACAAAAAAAATTAGCTGGGCGTGGTGGTGGGCGCCTATAGTCCCAGCTACTTGGGAGGCTGAGGCAGGAGAATGGCATGAACCCAGGAGGCAGAGCTTGCAGTGAGCCGAGATCCCACCACTGCACTCCAGCCTGGGTGACTGAGCAAGACTCTGTCTCAAAAAAAAAAAAAAAAGTTCCTTTTAAACATAGATGTAGAATCCCCTTAATATTAACAATTTAAATTCAGCATTATATAAAAAGGATAATACACCACAACCAGTGTTGTTTATCCGAGAAAGGCAAGGTCAATTTAACAACTCAGGAGTAAATCAGGTGTGATAGTATAATGATAGATTCAAGTCACTGTACATTTGTTCAAGTCCATAGAATATACAAAATCTTGAGTGAGCCCTAATGTAAACTATGGACTTTGTGTAATTATAGTGATGTGTCAACGTAGGCTCATCATTTATAACAAATGTTCCACTCTGGTGGGTGGATGTTGATCGTGGGTGAAGTTATACATGTGTAGGGGAAAGGGTATATGAGAAATCTCTATACCTTTTTCTTAATTTTCCTGTGATCCAAAAACAGCTCTTTAAAAAAGGTATTTTTAAAAATAAATCAGTGTAATTCACCATTAACAAAATAAAAGAGAAGAATATGCAGTCATCTTAGTATATGCAGAAAAAACATTAGGTAAAACTTACCACCATTTATTATGAAAAGAGTCCCATCATCCAAGAATGGAAAGAACCTCCTCAGTCTAATAAGGGCATCTCTGAAGAACCCACAGCTAACATCATTTTTAATAATAAAACCTAGAATGTTTCTCTCCTAAGCTTGGGAAAAAAACAATGATATCTGCCTTCACAACTTCTATTTGACATTGTTTTGGGATCTTAGTTAATGCCAATAAAGCAAGAAAAGAAGTAGCAAACATAAATATTGGAATTAAAGAAGTAAAACTCAGATTTGCAGGCGATCATGATTATGTTATTAGAAAACTGTAGACAATCCATAATGAAATGCCTAATATTAGTTACGGAGTTTGGCAAAGTCTGAGAACAAGGTTAATGTATTTAAAAAAAAAAAAACAATGTCCAGGGTTCAAGTCCCTGCTTGGGTGCTGCATTTCTTTCATGGATGAAGCTGGAAGCCATATCCTCAGCAAACTAAAGCAGAAACAGAAAACCAAACACCACATATATATTCACCACATATTCTCACTTATAAGTGGGAGCTGAACACTGAGAACACATGGACTCAGGGAGGGGAACAACACACACTGGGGCCTGTTGGGTGGTGGGGCTGGGGCAGGGAGAGTATTAGGAAAAATAGCTAATGCATGCTGGACTTAATACCTAGGTGATGGGTTGATAGGTGCAGCAAACCACCATAGCACATGTTTACCTATGTAACAAACCTGCACATCCTGCACATGTACCCCAGAACTTAAAAAAAAAAAAGTCAGGGTCTCACTGTGTTGCCCAGTCTGCAGTGCAGTGGCGTGATACGTAGCTCACAGTAACCTTGAACCCCTGGGCTCAAGAGATCCTCCTGCCTCAGCCCCCTGAGTACCTAGGACTACGGGTGCACACCATCATGCCTGGCTGATATTTTTTATTTTATTTTTTGTAGAGACAGTGTCTTCCTGTGTTGCCCAGGATGGTCTTAAACCCTTGGCCTCAAGCCATCCTCCCACCTCCGCCTCCCAAAGTGTTGGGATTACAGGTGTGAACCACTGTACCTGGCCATAAAAAATGAATTACGTATTTCTATGTTCCTCTAATGAACATTTGGCAAAATTATGTAGCATGCTTTATGGTAGTATAAATTATATTGTATACCTAAGGATAAATATAATGAAATATGTAGGATATGTAGTAATGTTTTGAAAATAACAAAACTTTGCTGAAATATTAAAGATTGAAATAAATTTAAAGATAATGTGTTCATGGGTTAGAAGACTCAATATTGTAATCTCAATATCCTACCAGGCATTTATTTATTAATTTATTTAATTTAAAGATGGGAGGCTGGTCTTGAACTCCTGAGTTCAAGTGATACTCCCACCTTGGCCTCCCAAAGTGCTGAGATTACAGGCTTAAGCCACCATGCCTAGCCCAGGCTTTAAAAATATATAATTTGGTAAGCTGATTGAAAAATGTATATGGGCCTAGAGTAGTTAATATATGGTATATCCTAGAGAATGTTCTGTGCATTTGAAAATCATATGTATTCTAGTGCTGTTGGATGGGATGTTTTGTATGTCTCTTAGGTCCATTTGGTTTATTATGTTGTTCAAGTCCACCGTTCTCTTACTGATTTTTGGTCTGGATGGTCTGTCCATTGTTGAAAGTGGTGTATTAAAGTTCTCTACCATTATTGTATTTCTGTCTATTCTCCCCTTTAGATCTGTTAATATTTGCTTTATGTGTTAAGATGCTCTGTTAGATGCATATGTATTTACTACTGTTATATTCCCTTCATGAATTGACCCCTTAATCATTATATAATGCCCATATTTGTCTCTTATAAAATTTTTCACCGAAGCCTATTTTGTCTGATACAAGTATAGCTACTCTTGCTCTCTTTTGGTTTTCATTTGGATGGAATATCTTTTTCCCACCCTCCACTTCCAGGCTATGTGTGTTCTTAAATCTAGGTTGAGTCTCCTATAGGCAACATATAGTTGGATCATGCTTTTAAAATCCATTTGGCCACTCTGTGTCTTTTTTGGAGAATTTAATCTATTTGCATTTAAAGCCATCATTGATAGGTACTTACTGTTAACCTTTTGTTAATTTTTTTTTAACTGTTTTGTTGTTCTATTTTTTTTTCTCCTCTTTCTGTCTTCCTTTGTGATTTGATGATTATTTGTAGTGGTATACTTTGATTCCTTTCTGTTTATCATTTATGTATCTACAATAAGCTTTTGCTTTGTGGCTGGCTGAGTCTTTAATACATGTTGTAGTTGTAACAGCTGTTTATAGGTGATAACAACTCAACTCTGCATATAAAGAACTTGACACAACATTGTGACTGTAACTAATAACAATGTATAGTGTTCTTGAAAATTGCTGAGTAGATTTTAAGTGTTTTCACCATAGAAAAATGATAAGTATGTGAGATAATACATATGTTAATTAGCTCAATTTAGCCATTCCACTGTCTCTCTGTCTACCTATCTACCTACCTATCTTTCAAAGCAACATGTTACACACAACAAATATGTGTAGTTTTTATTTGTCAATTAAAAAATGAATTTAGGCCAGGCATAGTGACTCATGCCTGTAATCCCAATACTTTGGGAGGCTGAGGTTGGAGGATCACTTGATCCCAGGAGTTCAGCCTGGGCAACATAGACCCCATCTGTACCAAAAAAATAAAAATTAGCCAGATGTGAGTGTAGCATGCACCTGTAGTCTCAGTTACTTGGGAGGCTGAGGTGGGAGGATCACTTGAGCCCAGGAGCTCAAGGCTGTAGTGAGCCATGATTGTGCCATTGCACTCCAGCCTGGGCAACAGAGCAAGACTCTGTCTCAAAAAAATAACACCAAACAAACTCTACAACTGTAACTTCTCTCCCCACATTTTATGTCACAAATACTCTGAATTTTATTATATTCTTGCTTTTACAGTGAGTTTTTTTTTTTTTTTTTTGAGATGGAGTCTCACTCTGTCGCCCAGGCTGGAGTGCAGTGGTGTGATCTCGGCTCACTGCAAGCTCCGCCTCCTGGGTTCATGCCATTCTCCTGTGTCAGCCTCCCAAGTAGCTGGGACTACAGGTGCCCGCCACCATGTCTGGCTAATTTTTTTGTATTTTTAGTAGAGGCGGGGTTTCACTGTGTTAGCCAGGATGGTCTCGATCTCCTGACCTTGTGATCTGCCTGCCTTGGCCTCCCAAAGTGTTGGGATTACAGGCGTCAGCCACCGCGCCCAGCCTGCAGTGAGTTTTATACTTAATATATTTTCATGTGTGTGTTAGCATCCTTTTATTTCACTTTGAAGCACTCCCTTTAGCATTTCTTGTAAGATAGGTCTAGTGTTGATGAACTGCCTCAGCTTTTGTATGAGAACATCTTTATCTCTCCTTTGTTTCAGAAAGACAGCTTTGCCAAGTATAATACTCTTTGCTGTCAGTTTTTTTTTCTTTTGGAACTTTGATTATAGTATTCCATTTTCTCCTGGTCTGCAAGGTGTCTGCTGAGAAATCTACAGATAGTCTTATGGAGGATGCCTTGTTTGTGATGAGTGCTCTCATGTTGCTTTCAACGTTCTTTGACTTTTGAGAACTTGATTATAATGTGCCTCACTGAAGATCTCTTTATGTTTATTCTATATGAGGTTGTTAGGGCTTCATGGATCTGGATATTTATTTCTCTGTTTATTTGTTTATTTTTTGAGATGGAGTCTCTGTCACCCAGGCTGTAGTGCAAATGGCATGATCTCAGCTCCCTGTAACCTCTGCCTCTTGGTATCAAGCAATTCTCCTGCCTCAGCCTCCCAAGTAGCTGGGATTACAGGTGCACCACCATGCCCTGCTAATTTTGTATTTTTAATAGAGACAGGGTTTCACCATGTTGGCCAGGCTGGTCTTGAACTCCTGACCTCAAGTGATCTGCCTGCCTCGGCCTCCCAAAGTGCTGGGATTGCGGGGTGAGCCACTGCACCCAGCCTGTTTCTCTAGATTAGGGGAAATTTTCTGTCATTATTTCTTTTAATAAAGTGTCTGCCCTTTTTCTGTGTTCATTTATGAACTCTTATTATATTAGCCTGTTCTTGCACTGCTATAAAGAAATACCTGAGACTGGGTAATGCATAAATAAGAGGTTTAATTGGCTCATGGTTCTGCGGCTATACAGGAAACATAGTGGCTTCTGTTTCTGGGGGGGCCTCAGGGAGCTTTTACTCATGGCGGAAGGCATAGCAGGAGCAGGCATCTTTTTTGTTTTAATTATACTTTAAGTTCTAGGGTACGTGTACACAACGTGCAGGTTTGTTACATATGTATACATGTGCCATGTTGGTGTGCTGCACCCATTAACTCGTCATTTACATTAGGTATATCTCCTAATGCTATCCCTCCCCGCTGCCCCCACCCCACAATGGGCCCTGGTGTGTGATGTTCCCTTTCCTGTGTCCAAGTGTTCCCATTGTTCAATTCCCACCTGTGAGTGAGAACATGCAGTGTTTGTTTTTTTTGTCTTGCGATAGTTTGCTGAGAATGATGGTTTCCAGCTTCATCCATGTCCCTGCAAAGGACATGAACTCATCCTTTTTTATGGCAGCATAGTATTCCATGGTGTATATGTGCCACATTTTCTTAATCCAGTCTATCATTGATGGACATTTGGGTTGGTTCCAAGTCTTTGCTGTTGTGAATAGTGCCACAATAAACATATGTGTGCATGTGTCTTTATAGCAGCATGATTTATAATCATTTGGGCATATACCCAGTAATGGGATGGCTGGGTCAAATGGTGTTTCTAGTTCTAGATCCTTGAGGAATCGCCGCACTGTCTTCCATAATGGTTGAACTAGTTTACAGTCCCACCAATAGTGTAAAAGTGTTCCTATTTCTCCACATCCTCTCCAGCATCTGTTGTTTCCTGACTTTTTAATGATTGCCATTCTAACTGGTGTGAGATGGTATCTCATTGTGGTTTTGATTTGCATTTCTCTGATAGCCACTGATGATGAGCATTTTTTCATGTGTCTGTTGGCTGCATAAATGTCTTTTTTTTTTTTTTTTTTGAGACAGAGTCTCATTCTGTCGCCCAGGCTGGAGTGCAGTGGTGTGATCTCGGCTCACTGCAAGCTCCGCCTCCCAGGTTCATGCCATTCTCCTGCCTCAGCCTCCCAAGTAGCTGGGACTACAGGTGCCCACCACCATGCCCGGCTAATTTTTTGTATTTTTAGTAGAGACGGGGTTTCACCGTGTTAGGATGGTCTCGATCTCCTGACCTCGTGATCCACCCGCCTCGGCCTCCCAAAGTGCTGGGATTACAGGTGTGAGCCACTGTGCCTGGCCAATAAATGTCTTCTTTTGAGTAGTGTCTGTTCGTATCCTTCGCCCACTTTTTGATGGGGTTGTTTTTTTCTTGTAAATTTGTTTGAGTTCTTTGTAGATTCTGGATATTAGCCATTTGTCAGATGAGTAGATTGCAAAAATTTTTTCCCATTCTGTAGGTTACCTATTCACTCTGATGGTAGTTTCTTTGCTGTGCAGAAGCTCTTTAGTTTAATTAGATCCCGTTTGTCAATTTTGGCTTTTGTTGCCATTGCTTTTGGTGTTTTAGACATGAAGCCCTTGCCCATGCCTATGAGCAGGAGCAGGCATCTTAAATGGCAGGAGCAGGACCAAGACAGGGGGTGGGGAGGGAATGTGCTACACAGTTTTAAACAACCAGATCTCATGGGAACTCTGTCATGACAACAGCACCAAGAAGATGGTGCTAAACTGTTCTTGAAGGATCCACCCTCATGATTCAATCACCTCCCACCAGGCCCCACCTCCAACATTGGGGATATAATTTGATGTGAGATTTGGGTGGTAACACAGATTCAAATCATATCACCCATATATATGAATATGTTAGTTTACTTGATGGTGTCCCATAATTCCTTTGGCTTTTTTTCAGTTCATTTCATTCTTTTCTTTCTCCTTTTTGTCCTCTTACTGGGTAATTTCAAATGACCTTTGAGCTCACTGATTCTTTGTTCTGCTGATTGAGTGTGCTCCCTATGGAATTCTTCAGTTCATTGTGTTCTTCAGTTGCAGAATTTGTTTGGTTCTTTTTCATGGAGTCTCTTTGTTGGACTTTTTATTTAGTTCATGTATTATTTTCCTTATTTCATTCAGTTGTCTGTGTTCCCCTGTAGCTCACTGAACTAATATAAGACAGTTATTTTGAATTGTTAATGCAGTTTCTAGCTCTCTTTAGGGTCGGTTACTAGTGATTTATTTTGTTCCTTGGTGGTGTCATAATTCCTTATTTGTGATCCTCTTGGCCTTGGGTTCTTGTCTTCTGTGCATTTGAAAAAATAGGCACCTCTTTCAGTCTTTACAGGCTGGTTTTGGCAGGGCAAGCCCTTTACAGTCATTCTGCCTGGAGATTATGGGTAGGCCATCTGGTGGGTTCTGCAGGCAGGCTTGATGATATAGTCGTTGGGTGGGATGGCCTGGTGCTTTGGTCAGCGGGTGGGTGTGCCTGGCCCCTGGGTTCACAGAGGCTGATCCTATGTCTTGGTATTCTGAGGTGGTCTTGGAGCCTGGGTATGTGGGTGCTGGTGTACACCTGAGGTTCATGGAAGTCAGCCTGGTGCTGGAGTTACCAGGCACCAAACTGGCAATTGGAGCCTGAAAGAACAGCTTGGAGCCCAGGCCCACAGTTTCATGGGGCAGGCTTGAGGCCTGGGTTTGTAGGGCCTGGCCCGGAGCCTGAGTCCATGGGAGCTGACCTAGAACCAGGGTTGGCCTGGCAACGAGGTCCTCAGGGGCTGGCATGCTCGCAGTCATTTTAGAAATCAATGTCTGTGTTTTGTGGATTTCAATGAATTTATGTGCATGTTTTTTAAAGAATGACCTCTGCTTTCATCAGATTGTAAGGGAAATTTCTGTGCTTGTGGCATGAGGGTAGGTTATAAAGGAAAAAGAGGGAAGTGATTTGGAGGCATTATCCTTTTTCCTGTTACAGGTGCAGATTAAGTTCACCCTTTAACACCCAGCATTTTGTCAGTGTCATTTATGGTGAGGTACTATTCCCAAATCACAATAGAAAATTTCACATTTTTTTCTGCCTTAAATAAAATGTCACTTTACTTTATTACTTATTTTCAGTATGTCTACTGTACCTAATGAGCCCTGTTTGTGTTAATTTTCTAGGTTTGTGACTTAGTATCAATAGTCTTAAACCATCATATTTCATATCTCCGTTGGTAGGCTTTTTTCATTGTTTACTTTTTGTAGGTCCAGGCACAAACAACTCTCTGTAATTTTGCTACTGCATAATAGCAGTTTTCCAGCTAAATAAGCAGCAGATTGATACTGTGTGCTCTGATTACTGTACTAATGTTTTGGGTCACATTCTTCCACTTGAGTTTTTGGGGGGGGGTTATTTAGATTTAGGTATAATAGATTTAAAAACATATTCTCTAATCTACTAGTTTCCTGTAAGACACATCTCTTGCAAGTTTTTGCAACGTCTTGTTGTCTTCTTGTTTCATTTACCTGTTACAGGGAATGACTTAACTACTCTTTATATACCACAGATACATACCCAGGCATTGCATTAAATTAAGTTTTTTCGTTAGGTTGAAATCAGTCTACTAATGTATCTTCCCCTTCCTTAACTGTGTTTATTTTTTTTTAGACCAACCAAATCATTTAGTTGTTCCTCCCTTTTCATCTGTTTTTTCTCATTAGTGACTATATGTTTTGCATTGTTCTACAGTACCTTCCTTCAGACATTTCTGCTTTCAAAAATTGAACCACCCATTCCTTAGTACCTTTTCTTAGCATTTACTTGACCATCTGACATATTATTTGCCTTTGTTTATGACCTGTCTATTCCCGGAATGTTTAAGCTCTTCGTGGTGCAAGGAAGGGTTTTTATATCTTTTGTTCTCTGGTATATCCCTGGTTCTTAGAAGAGTGTTTGTCATATAATAAATATTTGTTGAATGGATCTCTACCCATTTATATGCATCTCCTTTTTCAGAAGTATAAAGAGAATGGGCTTGGTTACTGCACAGTCCTGGATTTGAATTCTGTTTTTTTCTTCTTACTAGTTGTGTGACCTGGGGCAGGCTAATTGAACAATCTGTTATCTGTTTCCTTCTCTATCGATTGGCAACTATACCTGTTGGATATAAAAGTGAGCCATATCAATTCACCTTGACATTAAAAAAATTTATAATTGATATAATCTATACCTATTTAAAGTGTACATTGATAAATTTTGACATACGTATTCATCTGTGAATTCATCACTGTAATCACTCCCAGAAGTTTCTTAAGCCTCTTTTTAATCCTACTCTTTCATCTCTATTTCTCCTCTTGCCTTTTCCCCCATCTCCAAACAACTACTTACCTGCTCTCTGTCACTGTATATTACTTTGCATCTTCTAAGATCTTATATAAATTGGTCATACTGTATGTACTCTTTTTGACTACATTTCTCATTATTCATTTAGTCTCATTATTTTGTGATTTATCTCTGTTACCTGTATCAATAGTTCTTTTCTTTATTTTTACAGAATAGTATTCCATTGTGTGAACATACCAAAATTTGTTTATCCATTCATTGTTGATAGATATATGGATTATTACCAATTTTTTTGCTAATCAAATAAAGCTGCTGTGAACACCCATGAATCAATCTTGGTATCGTCATATTTTTTTCATTTCTCTTGAGAAAATACCGAGGAATGGAACGGTTAAATTATGTGGTAGGTATATACTTAACTTTTTTAGAAACTGCCAAACTTTCTTCCAAAACGATAGTATCATTTTTACATTCCACTAGTGATGTGTAAGAATTCCAGTTCTTCCACATCTTTACTAACATTTGGTATGGCCAGTCTTTTTAATTTTAGCAGTCTATAGGTGTGTAGTGGTATCTCACTGTAGCTTTAATTTGTATATTGAGAATCCTTTTATGTGACAGCTGTTTTACCGTCTTGGAAGTGAACATTCAAAATTTTTTTTCTGTTTTAAAATTAGGTTGTTTTCTCATTATTGGGTTTTTAAAGTTGTTGTAGTATGGAATCATTAATTTATTTGTCATGCATTTTGTTGACCATAAAATTTCATGCCTTGTACCTGGGTTTTACTTTTTACCACAATAGCTTTTTAAAGAATTGTGTTAAAATATATATAACATAAAGTGACCATTTTAACAATTTTTAAATGTATAATTCGGTGGTATTAAGTATATTCACAGTGTGTAGCCATCACCACTATCTAGTTCCCGAACTTTTTTATTACACCAAACAAAAAGTCAACACCCATGAGACAATAACTCTTTGTTCTCCCCTCCCCCAAGTCTAGGTACCTTATATAGGTGGAATTATACAATACATGTTCTTTTGTGTTTGGCTTGTTTCACTTAGCATAGTGTTTTCACGGTTCTATATCATGTGCTAGAGCTTCATTATTTTTTTGGATGACTATATATATATATTATATATATGTATATATCCCCCATTTTGTTTATCCACTAATATACACTTACATTGTTTCCACCTTTTGGCTACTGTGAATAATCTATGAACATTGATGTACAAGTATCTGTTTCAGTCTCTGTTTTTTTATTTTATTTTATTATTATTCTTTAAGTTTTAGGGTACATGTGCACAATGTGCAGATTAGTTACATATGTATACATGTGCCATGCTGGTGTGCTGCACCCACTAACTCGTCATTTAGCATTAGGTATATCTCCTAAAGCTATCCCTCCCCCCTCCCCCCACCCCACAACAGTCCGCAGAGTGTGATGTTCCCCTCCCTGTGTCCATGTGTTCTCATTGTTCAGTTCCCACCTATGAGTGAGAATATGCAGTGTTTGGTTTTTTGTTCTTGCGATAGTTTACTGAGAATGATGATTTCCAGTTTCATCCATGTCCCTACAAAGGACATGAACTCATCATTTTTTATGGCTGCATAGTATTCCATGGTGTATATGTGCCACATTTTCTTAATCCAGTCTATCATTGTTGGACATTTGGGTTGGTTCCAAGTCTTTGCTATTGTGAATAGTGCCGCAATAAACATACGTGTGCGTGTGTCTTTATAGCAGCATGATTTATAGTCCTTTGGGTATATACCCAGTAATGGGATGGCTGGGTCAAATGGTATTTCTAGTTCTAGATTCCTGAGGAATCACCACATTGACTTCCACAAGGGTTGAACTAGTTTACAGTCCCACCAACAGTGTAAAAGTGTTCCTATTTCTCCACATCCTCTCCAGCACCTGTTGTTTCCTGACTTTTTAATGATTGCCATTCTAACTGGCGTGAGATGGTATCTCATTGTGGTTTTGATTTGCATTTCTCTGATGGCCAGTGATGGTGAGCATTTTTTCATGTGTTTTTTGGCTGCATAAATGTCTTCTCTTGAGAAGTGTCTGTTCATGTCCTTCGCCCACTTTTTGAACAGACCTGCAGCTGAGGGTCCTGTCTGTTAGAAGGAAAACTAACAAACAGAAAGGACATCCACACCAAAAACCGATCTGTACATCACCATCATCAAAGACCAAAAGTAGATAAAACCACAAAGATGGGGAAAAAACAGAGCAGAAAAACTGGAAACTCTAAAAAGCAGAGCGCCTCTCCTCCTCCAAAGGAACGCAGCTCCTCACCAGCAACGGAACAAAGCTGGACGGAGAGTGACTTTGACGAGTTGAGAGAAGAAGGCTTCAGACGATCAAACTACTCCGAGCTACAGGAGGAAATTCAAACCAAAGGCAAAGAAGTTGAAAACTTTGAAAAAAATTTAGACGAATGTATAACTAGAATAACCAATACAGAGAAGTGCTTAAAGGAGCTGATGGAGCTGAAAGCCAAGGCTCGAGAACTACGTGAAGAATGCAGAAGCCTCAGGAGCCGATGCGATCAACTGGAAGAAAGGGTATCAGCGATGGAAGATGAAATGAATGAAATGAAGCGAGAAGGGAAGTTTAGAGAAAAAAGAATAAAAAGAAACGAACAAAGCCTCCAAGAAATATGGGACTATGTGAAAAGACCAAATCTACGTCTGATTGGTGTACCTGAAAGTGACGGGGAGAATGGAACCAAGTTGGAAAACACTCTGCAGGATATTATCTAGGAGAACTTCCCCAATCTAGCAAGGCAGGCCAACATTCAGATTCAGGAAATACAGAGAACACCACAAAGATACTCCTTGAGAAGAGCAACTCCAAGACACATAATTGTCAGATTCACCAAAGTTGAAATGAAGGAAAAAATGTTAAGGGCAGCCAGAAAGGTCGGGTTACCCACAAAGGGAAGCCCATCAGACTAACAGCGGATCTCTCGGCAGAAACTCTACAAGCCAGAAGAGAGTGGAGGCCAATATTCAACATTCTTAAAGAAAAGAATTTTCAACCCAGAATTTCATATCCAGCCAAACTAAGCTTCATAAGTGAAGGAGAAATAAAATCCTTTACAGACAAGCAAGTGCTGAGAGATTTTGTCACCACCAGGCCTGCCCTAAAAGAGCTCCTTGAAGGAAGCACTAAACGTGGAAAGGAACAACCGGTACCAGCCACTGCAAAATCGTGCCAAATTGTAAAGACCATCGAGGCTAGGAAGAAACTGCATCAACTGACGAGCAAAATAACCAGCTAACATCATCATTACAGGATCAAATTCACACATAACAATATTAACTTTAAATGTAAATGGACTAAAAGCTCCAATTAAAGGACACAGACTGGCAAATTGGTTAAAGAGTCAAGACCCATCAGTGTGCTGTATTCAGGAAACCCATCTCACGTGCAGAGACACACATAGGCTCAAAATAAAAGGATGGAGGAAGATCTACCAAGCAAATGGAAAACAAAAAAAGGCAGGGGTTGCAATCCTAGTCTCTGATAAAACAGACTTTAAACCAACAAAGATCAAAAGAGACAAGGCCATTACATAATGGTAAAGGGATCAATTCAACAAGAAGAGCTAACTATCCTAAATATATATGCATCCAATACAGGAGCACCCAGATTCATAAAGCAAGTCCTTAGTGACCTACAAAGAGACTTAGACTCCTACACAATAATAATGGGGGACTTTAACAGTCTCTGTTTTCTGGGGTTATTTTGGTGTGTACTTAGGAGTAGAATTCCTAGAGCATATGGTAATTTTCTGTTTAACTTTTTGAGTAACTGCCAAGCTGTTTATGGAAAACTGCTATAAAGCAGCTGTACCATTTCACATTCCCACCAGCAGTGCACAGGGTTCCAATTTCTCCACATTCTTATAAGCCAACACTTATTTTCTATTTTTTAAAAAGAAAATAATAGTCCTCGTAGTGTATGTGAAGTAGTATTTTGTGGTTTAGATTTGCATTTTCCTAATGAGTAATGATGTTGAGCATCTTTTAGTGTGCTTGTTGTTCATTTGTATATCTTTTATTAAAGTCCTTTGTCCATTTTGAATCAGGTTAAAATTGTTTGTATTTTGATGAATTGTAGGCCTTCTTTATATATTCTGTATATGAAAACATTATAAGACATATGATTTACAGATATTTTATACCACTCTGTGAGCTTGGCACTCTCTTAATAGTGTCCCTTAATGCACAAAGCTTTTAATTTTGATAAAGTCTAATTCATATGTTTTCTTTTGTTTGTGCTTTTGGTGTCATAACTTAGAAACCATTTCCAAATCTGATGTCATGAATATTTGCCCCTATGTTTTCTTCTAGGAGACTTATAGTTTTAGTTTTTATGTGTAGCTCTTTGATCCATCTTCAGTTAATTTTTTTTTTTTTTTTGAGGCAGAGCCTCACTTTGTCACCCAGGGTGGAGTGCAGTGGTGCCATCAAGGCTCACTGCAGCCTCAACATCCCAAGCTTGGGTTATCCTCCACCTCAGTCTCCTAGGTAGCTG
Source organism: Homo sapiens (assembly GCF_000001405.40). Lineage (NCBI taxonomy): Eukaryota > Metazoa > Chordata > Mammalia > Primates > Hominidae > Homo > Homo sapiens. Next base: position 50,744,568 of record NC_000003.12, read on the forward strand.
GGACTACAGGCACGTGCCACCACACCTGGCTAATTTTTTGTGTTTTTTGTAGAAACAGGGTTTTGGCACGTCACCCAGGCTGGTCTTGAACTCCTGGGCTCAAGCGATCTGCCCGCCTTGGCCTCCCAAAGTGTTGGGGTTACAGGCGTGAGCCACTGTATCTGGCCTTCAGTTAATTTTTGTATGTGTTGATAGGTAAAGGTCCAACCTCATTGTTTTTGCATGTGGATATCTAGTTTTTCTAGCACCATTTGCTGAACAGTCTGCCCTTTCCCCATTTAATGGTCTTGGCACCCTTGTTAAAAATGTCTCATGGTTTATTTTTGGCTCTTGATTATATTTTATTGATCTATATGTCTACCCTTATGTTAGTATCACAGTATTTTGATGACTACAATTTTGTAGTAAGCTTTGAAACCAGAAAGTGTGAGTCCTCCAACTTTATTCTTTTTCAAGACTGTTTGGCTACTTAGAGTCCCTTGAGCTTCCATATTAAATTTAGGATGTATTTTTCTCTCTGTAAAAAATGTCTTTGGGATTTTTTATTTTTATTAGTTTTTTGAGACAGAGTCTCACTCTGTTGCTCTCCTGTCTCAGCCTCCCAAGTAGCTGGAATTATAGGGGTGTGCCACTGCACCTGGCTAATTTTTGTATTTTTAGTAAAAGTGGGGTTTCACTGTGTTGGCAAGGCTGATCTCGAACTCCCAACCTCAGGTGATCTGCCCACCTCAGCCTCCCAAAGTGCTGGGATGACAGGCTGAGCCACCGTGCCCGGTGCCTTTCAGATTTTGATAGGGGTTGCATTGAATCTGTAAATTGCTTTGGGTAGTAATGTTATTTTAACAATAAGTCTTCCAATCCATGAATATGGAATGTCCTTCCACTAAGTAATGTTTTGTAGCTTTCATTATGCAAGTCTTATACTTCCATGGTTAAGCTCATTCCTAATTGTTTTATTCTCTTTCATGTTGCCGTAAATGGAAAGTGATCAAAACCAGGAACATGTCCATGCTGATTCTTCAGGGTTCCTTCAGACCGAACAAAACGCATAACACTGAATTTTTGGAGGACAAGGTCCCCCTGCCTGTTCAGGCATCAAGCAGCTGCTTCAGGAATATGAGCTACTATCCCCGCTGTTGCAGAGGGGATGAGGAATGAGCAAAGATAGCTGGTTTGCATATATTGTCCTCCTACCCAACATCAACTTTATTAACTTCTTCCCTAATCAGATCGTTCATCCGTGGTTGTTATAAGTGTCCAGTTCGGCTCCAGGGTTCCAAGAGAATTGATTCTGGTTTTTATTCCAGTTTCCTGTTTGTTTTCTTTTCAGGGGAGGGACCAACTCATAGAGCTTCCTGTTCTGTCATTGTGTGTCACTTCACTGTTATTGTTGGGTTTTTGAGAGTTCTTCATATATTCTAGACACAAGTCCTTTATCAGATATATACTTTGCAAAGATTTTCTTTCAGTCTATGTCTTATGTTTTCATTCTTTTTACAGTCTCATTCAAAGAGCAAGAGTTTAAATTTTGATGATGTCTAATTTTTTTTTTTTTTTTTTGAGACAGAGTCTTACTCTGTTGCCCAGGCTGGAGTGCAATGGTACAATCTCGGCTCACTGCAACCTCCGCCTCCTGGGTTCAAGCAATTCTGTCTCAGCTTCCTGAGTAGCTAGGATTACAGGCACACACTACCATGCCTGGCTAATTTTTGTATTTTTAGTAGAGATGGGGTTTCACCATGTTGACCAGGCTGGTCTCGAACTCCTGACCTCAGGTGATCTGCCCACCTCAGCCCCACAAAGTGCTGGGATTACAGGCATGAACCACCATGCCCAGCGGATGATATCTAATTTATCAGTTGGTTCTTTTGTGGATTATGCTTTTGGTATCTTATCTGAGAAACCTTTGCCTAACCGAAGGTCATGACAATTTTCTCTGATAATGCCTTCTGGAAGTTTTATAATTTTAGATTTACAGTTAGGTTGTGTTAGTCCATTCTTGTTTGCTATAAAGAAATCTGAGGCTGGGTAATTTATAAAGAAAAGACGCTTAATTGGTTCACAGTTCTGCAGGCTGTACACACGGCATAGTGCCGGCATCTGCTTATGGTGAGGGCCTCAGGAAGCTTACAGGCATGGCAGAAGGCAAAGGGGAGCCAGTACATCACATGGCAAGAGCAGGAGTAAGGGGTGGAGGAAGTGCCACATACTTTTAAACAAGCAGATTTCATGAGAACTCACTAGCTGTTGAGAGGGCACCACCAAGACATTCATGAGAGATCTGCCTGCATGACCCAAACACCTCCTACCAGGCCCCACCTTTAACACTGGGCATTACATTTCAACATGGGATTTGGAGGGAACAGACATCCAAACTATATCATCTATTATCCATTTTGAGTTTTCTTTTTAATACGGTACAAGGTATGGATTCAAGTACATTTTTTTTCACATGGATATCCATTTGTTCCCACACCATTTGTTGAATTGGCATTCCTTTCCCCACTGGATTGTTTTTGCATCTTTGTAAAAAATCAACTGTCTTTATATGCATGGATTTATTTTTGGACTTTTGATTCTGTTCCACTGATCTATTAGTCTGTATTTACCACATATTAGTCTTCAGTACCACACTATTTTGATTATCGTAGCTTTATAATAATTCTTGAGATCAGGTAGTGTTAGCTTCCAATTTTTTTATTCTTTTCAGAGTTGTCTTGGCTATTCTATGTCATCTGCATTTCCATATGAATTTTAAAATCAATTTGTCTATTTCTATAATTGGGATTTTGATTGGGTTGATTAAAATCTATTGATTAATTTGGAGAGAATCATCATCTTAACAATATGGAGTCTTTTGACCAAGGTACAAGGCATATCCACTTATTTAATTTTTTTCAGAAATATTTTAGTTATCAGTATGCAGATGTTTCATTTATTTTGACATATTTACCCTTAAGTATTTCATAGGTTTTATGTTAGTTTAAATGGTATTGTTTAAATGGTATTGTTCTGGCTGGGCGTGGTGGCTCATACCTGCAATCCCAGCACTTTGGGAGGCCAAGGCAGACGGATCACTTGAGGTCAGGAATTCGAGACCAGCCTGGCCAGCATGGTGAAACCCCATCTCTACTAAAAATACAAAAATTAGCTGGGCATGGTGGCGCATGCCTATAATCCCAGCTGCTCAGGAGGCTGAGGCAGGAGAATCTCTTGAACCTGGGAGGCGGAGGTTGCAGTGAGCCAAGATTGCGCCACTGCACTCCCACCTGGGTGACAGAGCAAGACTCTGTCTGAAAAAAAAAAGGGGGGGGGTATTGTTTTTAAAAATATTTTGTTTTCTGCTAGATTATAGAAATGTGGTTGTTTTTTGCATAGTGATCTTGTAATGTATGACACTGCTAAACTCTCTTATTCTAGTAACTGTTTTTGGTAGATTCCATTTGATTTTTAGGTTAGAAAATCATGTTATCTGCAAGTAGAGTTTAACTCTTTCCTTTTCAATTTGTATGCCTTTTATTTATTTTTTTCCTACCTGCCTGACTGCCCTGGCTACAGCCGTCAGTACAGTTTGGAAAGTGGTGTAAGTAGACATTCTTTATTGTTTCTGATCTTTTTCTTTAGAGATGGGGTCTTGCTATGTTGCCCAGGCTGATCTTGAATTCTTTGCCTCAAGTGATCTTTCCACTTCAGCCTCCCAAGGTGCTGGGATTGCAGCTGTGAGCCAGTGTGCCTGGCCCTGTGGTTTCTGAGTTTAGAGGGAAAGGATTCGGTCTTGTAAAGTTGACTTTTTAAACTAGTGAGTTCCCACAGTGAATATAAGTAAACACTGGGTGGGGAAAGACAAGAGACTGTGTAGGATACCAGAGTTGTGGGTGTTCTCTCTAGAGAGCAAAGACAGATCTGGTCACAGCTGGGGAAGGAATGAATAGTCAGTTAAGAGTATGGAAAAAAGAGCTCCAAAGTGCTTGTTGTTGGTAATGTTTGTCCGCTCTTCAAGGAAGAAAGAAATGAATTTCTTGAAACTAAATACAATCTCTGAAAAACAGTGCTTTATGATGGGACAAGTTGGTACTTTTAGGCTTTCCATGGCTTAGATGTAACATTTCCTCCAAACTCTCTACCCTCTTTCATCGTGGTTTCTTACCAAACTACTTTCTGCTACACCTTGTAGTATACTGTGGTACCAGTAGTAGGTTACCTTGAATAGAGGATGTCAGCACCTTGGATACTGGGAAAGAATGTTCTTCACTGAAAATTTAATTACTTGGTAGGCTGGTTTACATACTGAGTTATTTCTTAGAATTGATTCTCAAGGAGTGTTATGGTGACCTTTATGGGTCAGATGAACTCTGTTTAAAATGCCTTCTTATGTGTCGTAACAAATAATGCTGTCTTTTAGATCTGTTAGAAAATAGCCATCTAGATTTCTCCTGATGATACTTCCTGCCTGCCTGCCTGCCTTCTTTCCTCCCTCCCTCCCAAAATTAAGATTACATGGGATAATGTGTGTGATATGCCTAGGAAAGTGTTTGAGATGAGAGCAGGCCTTCATCAGTTAGTTTCTTTCTATCAGCATTTGCCTCCTCTTTATAGTTTTTCTAGGTATAGCTTTAACTTGTCTTTCTTTGTTTCAAATATTTAATTAAAATATTGTTTTGCTTCCCTAGCCTGGGACAAATTTAGCATTTAATATTTACATAGCTGTAGGTGAAACGTGCTTTTTATCACTATGTTCTGTTGCAAGTAAATTTGTAGTGTATAGTGTGGCACAGGAAAATGGGAACTGGGAAAGTAAGGATTAAGTTTCAGGCAAATGGGGAAGAAAAGAGGTAAAAGAAAACAAGAAGTAAAAGAAGTGAATGATTTTCTTCTCTACCTCGTCTTGTAAATAGCTTCAGATAATGAGCTTATTTGTTTGGTTTAAGGCTGGAGTGGCTTAGTAAGGATAGATATTTCTGTGAGTCAATCTGTAGTCAACATCCTACCCCAACTTGTTTTTATACCTATTTTTAAAAATCCTATCAGTGGACATCATCTTTCACTGCCTCTTTGGATTAAGCATGTCTCACAGAAAAATCCCATCATAGAGACTCCTTATCATCTAGTAACTCTTTATGCTAAAAAGAAAGGTAGGAAAGACTATCCAGAAGCAAATTACAGTTAATTTGGTATATTTACTCTCTAGTAATATGTCAGATAAAAAGTCTTGGGCCATTTCTACAAACATCATTTCAGATGCCTTAAGGTAGTGTTTAACTGACAGTATTTTCTTTGGGGTATAGCCTAACTCCTTAGTTAATTTTCTGTCTTCCATTACTGTTCTCAAATCCATTATACACTCTGGCCTTTCCCCAGTTTCCTAGTATCCCTTAACGCAGGGGCCCCCAACCCCTGGGCCGCGGACTGGTACCAATCTGTGGCCTGTTAGGAACCGGGCCTCACTGTGGGAGGTGAGCAGTGAGCAAGCCAGTGCTACCACCTGAGCTCCGCCTCCTGTCAGATCAGCAGGGGTGTTAGATTCTTATAGGAATGCAAACCCTATTGTGAACTGTGTATGTGAGGGATCTAGGTTGCATGCTCCTTATGAGAATCTAACTAATGACTGATGATCTGAGGTAGGGCAATTTCATCCTCAAACCCTCATCCCTGACCTGGCCCTGGGTCCATGGAAAAATGTCTTCCATGAAACTGGTCTCTGGTGCCAAAAAAGGTTGGGGACCTCTGCCTTAAAGAGTTTACAGTCTACCTTTGATTTTTTTTTTTTTTTTTTTTTTTGAGATAGAGTCTCATTCTGTCATTCTGTCACCAGGCTGGAGTGTGAGCTATCTTGGCTCACTGCAACCTCCAACTCCCGGTTCAAGCTATTCTCCTGCCTCAGCCTCCCGAGTAGCTGGGATTACAGGCGCCTGCCACCACGCCCAGCTAATTTTTGTATTTTTAGTAGAGACGGGGTTTCACCATGTTGGCCAGGATGGTCTCGATCTCTTGACCTCATGATCTGCCTGCCTTGGCCTCCCAAAGTGCTGGGATTACAGTCGTGAGCTACCGCGCCTGGCCTACCTTTGCTTTTGCATTGCAGTGCTTCACTTGCTTTGCATGAGGTAGTGCTAAAATAATAGTTAATTATCAGTTGGGAAAGAAGTGGGGATTGCTTTGGCATTATTCATGGCCAGTTTTGTGTGCTTTAAGCTAGATTTTCTCCGCTGTCCATTTGCTCCCAGAGTGTGTTACTCCACCATCCAGCTGGTGTGTGCTATAGAATGTAAATTAATTTCATAATTGGCCCAAGCAAAACATAATTAAAAAGACAGATTTGCTCTAAGAGATCATCTTTGCAAAGCCAAACAAATTATTTTTTGAGTGAGCCACAATTTTTTTTCTTTTTTATTTGTATGGACAATGTAGAATTAATTTATTGGAATAGCTTCTCATTTAATGTAATAAAATTTTAAGATTAATTAGCAATGCAATAATGCTTCAAATGCAAACAATTTTGATATTGTCTTTTAACCAAGAAATAAGAAAAAGGGCATAAGTATGTATAGGATTGATGATATTTTTGTGGGTATCTAAAGTAGTATTAGGCGATAATAGGTCTACTTGGATTAAAACTATTTCTAAGGAAAAAGAAGCCCCTGAAGTGACTTTTTTATATGTCCTTTGACCCTGTGACATAAAAAGAATGGACTTTTTTTTTTTTTAACTTTAAGTTCTGAGATACATGTGCAGAACATGCAGGCTTGTTGCATAGGTATACATGTGCCATGGTGGTTTGCTGTACCTATCAACCCGTCATCTAGGTTTTAAGCCCTGCATGCATCAGGTATTTGTCCTAATGCTCTCCCTCCCCTTCCCCCAATGCCTGGACAGGCCTCAGTGTGTGATGTTCCCCTCCCTGTGCCCATGTGTTCACATTGAAGAATGGACTTTTTATAAGCAGTTGTTGTGCAATGAATGCATAGGTATTACAGCTTATGTAAATGTTAACTGAGATTCATAGTAGTCTTCCCATCTGATCTTATTATGATACCACAAAAATAGCACCAGTTAATTACATATATGATGGCATGTATATAGCTTATGTTTTGATGGTTTGAAATAAACCCCATATATATTAGTCCATTCACATACTGCTATAAAGATACTACCTGAGACCAGGTAATTTATAAAGGAAAGAGGTTCAGTAGACTCACAGTTCCACATGGCTGGGGAGGCCTTAGGAAACTTACAGTCATGGTGGAAGGCAAAGGGGAAGCAAGCTTGGACCTTCTCACATGATGGTAGGTGAGAGAAGTATGAGGAGTGAAGGGGAGGAGCTTCTTATAAAACCATCAGATCTCCTGAAAACTCACTCATTATCACAAGACCCGCATGGGGGAAGCCACCCCCATGATCCAATCACCTTCTACCAGGTCTCTTCCTAGACATGTGGGGATTATGGGGATTACAATTCAAGATGAGATTTGGGTGGGAACACAGCCAAACTATATCACCCCAGTACCTGCAATGCTTTTTCTTTTTTGTCTTTTCTTTTCTGCTTCATAGGGAAGGTTGTCAAATAGAAAATATGATATTTCACTGGAAGCTTTCTTTGTAAGAAAGGTGTGTTAGGTAATTTAAAAACATTCTAGTGAAGAGATAAACTACTTAGCGACTATAGCCAGGTGCAGTGGCTCACCCCTGTAATCCCAGTACTTTGGGAGGCCGAGGCAGGCGGATCATGAGGTCAAGAGATTGAGACCATCCTGGCCAACATGGTGAAACCCCATCTCTACTAAAAATTAAAAAATAAGCTGGGCGTGGTGGTGTGCACCTGTAGTCCCAGCTACTCGGGAGGCTGAGGCAGGAGAATCATTTGAATCCGGGAGGCGGAGGTTAGAGTGAGCTGAGATCACGCCACTGCACTCCAGCCTGGCGACAGAGCGAGAGTCCGTCTCAAAAAAAAAAAAAAAACAAAAACAACTGGGAGGCCAAGGTGGGTGGACCATTTAAGGTCAGGATTTTGAGAACAGCCTGCCCAATATAGTGAAACTCTGTCTCTAATAAAAATACAAAATTAGCCTGGCATGGTGGTGCACACACCTGTAATCCCAACTACTCAGGAGGCTGAAGCAGGAGAATCATTTGAACCCAGGAGGCAGAGGTTGCACAGAGCCGAGATCGCACCACTACACTCCAGCCTGGGTGACAGAGCAAGACTGTCTCAAAACAAACAAACAAACACCCCTACTTATCGACTGTTAAGTGGAGGCAGTCATTAAATTACTTCCATGTAGTGTAATGATCTACAATACTATAAATTCCTCCCTCCCGTACTTTGTGCTACCTTTGTTACAAATTTTACTTTACAAAATACCAAAAATATATGACATTGGTACTATTTTTGCTTTAGACTGGGAGTTTGCAAATATTTTCTCTAAAAGGCTAGATAGTAAGTACTTTAGACTTCATGGGCCATGAGGCAAATTCGAGGATATTATGTAGGTACTTAGATAACAAGAGAGGGAACAGATCTCCACACGTTTTTTTGATGAAATTCAAAATATAATAATTGAATATAATGTTTTGTAATGCCTGCTTACTAATGAGAAGAATAGAATCTTTTTTGAATAACATTTTAGTTACTTAGTGTTCCTTGTTCCCTGTGATCAAAATAATTTATAAATCTTCATCTGTCAGTGCTGATCTGTAATGAGATTTTATGTATTTTATCTGTAGAAATACCTTTTCGTATAAATAGATATTGCCAAATACTGGTGTCACTCCATAGGTGAATTTTTCTTTTTTTTTGAGACATGGTCTTACTTTGTTGCCCAGGGTGGAGTGCAGTGCTGCAATCACAGCTCACTACAGCCTTAATCTTCTGGGCTCAAGTGATTCTCCCACCTCAGCCTCCCAAGTTGGGACTATAAGTGTGTGCTACCATGCTTGGATAATTTGTTTGTTTGTTTGTTTGTTTTTAGTTTACTTTTTGTAGAGACAGGGTCTCACTATGTTGCATAAGCTGGTCTCAAACTCCTGGGCTCAGGCAGTCCTTCTGTCTTGGCCTCCCAAATTGCTGGGATTACAGGCGTGAGGCACCGTGTCTCACCCATAGGCAAATATTTTAATTTGAGAATATTTGTCACTTTAAAGGCATTTATGGGAATCTATTAGAGTCTTCTCTTGTTATTTGCCACTTACTATGTTATTATATTGCAAATTAAAGTACTTCTGATGATGGTTAGGTGGCAGCTCATCAGTTGTACTGTTAAATGGATTGTGAAATACAGAAATTTCCTTTGAAGTTGCATTTTCCTTTGCAGTTGCAAGAAGTTTAAAAAATGCTGCAGGCCAGCACTTTGGGAGGCCGAGGCAAGTGGGTCACCTGGGGTCAGGAGTTTGAGACCAGCCTGGCCAACATAGTGAAACCCCGTCTCTACTAAAAATACAAAAATTAGCTGGGCGTGGTGTCACGCGCCTGTAGTCCCAGCTACTTGGGAGGCTGAGGCAGGAGAATCGCTTGAACCTGGGAGGCGGAGGTTGCAGTGAGCCAAGATCGTGCCACTGCACTCCAGCCTGGGTGAGACAGAGTGAGACTCTGTCTCAAAAAAAAAAAAAAAAAAAAAAAAGCTGCAGGAGGAACAGAAAACCAAATACTGCGTGTTTTCACTTATAAGTAGGAGCTAAGCACTGAACACACAAGGACATAAATATGGGAACAGTAGACACTTTGGACTACTAGAAGGTAAAGGGAGTGGAGTGGGTAGAAAAGCTACCTGCCAGGTACTATGCTAACAACCAGGTGCCGGGATTTATACGCCAAACCCAGCATCATGGAGTATTCTCATGTAACAAATCTGTACATTACCCCTTGCATCTAAAAAGTTGAAATAAATAAGAAAACTTTTTAATTGAAAAAATGTTGCGGGAACTGTACTTTGAGCACATAAACATATTTGCTGCAAATTTGAGTGAGAATGGAGATACTGCTTTTTGTTTTAACAACTTTTTTTTTTTTTTTTTTGGGACGGAGTTTTGCTCTTGTCGCCCAGACTGGGGTGCAATGGTGTGATCTTGGCTCACTGCAACCTCTGCCTTCTGGTTTCAAGCGATTTTCCTGCCTAAGCCTCCCAAGTAGCTGGGATTACAGGTGTGCGCTACCACGCCTGGTCAATTTTGTATTTTTTGTAGAGATGGGGTTTCACCATGTTGGCTAGGCTGGTCTCGAACTCCTGACCTCAGGTAATCCATCTGCCTCGGCCTCCCAAAGTGCTGAGATTACAGGTGTGAGCCACCACTCCCAGCCCGTTTTCACTTTTGACAACATGGGAAATGTGTAAAGCAGCTTGGTTTTACTTGTGATTCAAGTTGTTGTTGAAATGACTTTACAGCAGTTGTGAGTTTCATATATAAGTATTTTTTAAGTTTCATTCATTAAAAATATCAAAATTGCAGCAAAAGCTAGTTTCCAAAACCATTTAGTATTTGATAATAGTGGTTGAGGGCAGTTCTCATTCAGAAAAATTTGAGTTTAAGCTTGTAAGCTCAAAAAATTGCAACAACGTGATCACTGCTAATCATCTTACTCTGTACTTGAGCAAGTCATTATATTCAGCTTCAGTTTCTCACAGAGGTTCACATAAGTGAAGATGGTTAAGACCATGTGAGCGAATGAAGTTCATTATTGACTAATGGTTGTAGAGTCAAATAATTTTTGTAGAGTACTTGTTGATGAATAATACCATAGGTTTTAAACATCTTGCATTTTTGTAAGCTTTGTAAATTTGCCAAACTGAACCTTTTTCTGCTCCATGTATAGTATCACCACCATTAGTTGTAACACATCTTAGCAGATACCACTTCAGGTTACAATGAATTAGTGTCTCAACTTGTTCAGTCACTTTGGACTTGCAAGTGACTTTTTGAGTATAACTGAACAGTATCAGTAATATCTGTTGATGTAAAAGAGAACCATTTGAATTATTTTGCCTTTTTATAAAATATACAATACATTGGTTTTTAGTATATTCAGAAGGTTGTGCAACCATCATCATCTAATTTCAGGACATTTTCATCTCCCAGGAAAGAAACTCTGTGCCCAATAGCAATCAATTCTTATTCCCTTCTCCAGAAAATAGATTAGTGAATCCATTTTCTGTGTCCATGTATTTGCCTATACTGGACATTTCATATAAATGGAATCATATAATATATACTCTTTTGTGTATGGCTTCTTTTACTTAGCATAGGATTTCAAGGTGCATCTGTGTTATAGCATGTATCAGTATTTTATTCTTTTTCTAGACTAATAATATTCCACTGTATAGATAAGAATTCTGCTGAGGGGCAGAAGTAGGTTTAAGGCTGAGGGAGAGACCAAGGCAAGTTTTAGAACGGTAGTGAGAGTTTATTAAAAAGTTTTAGAGCACAAGTGAAAGGAAGCACAGTATACTTGGAAGAGGGCCAAGTGAGATCCAAATGCCCCATTCAGCCCTGGACTTGAGGTTTTATTTGCTGGCATGGTTCTGGGGTTTCTGTTTCCCCTCCCTTGATTTTTTACCTTGGGGTGGGCTGTCTGCATGTGCAGTGGCCTGCCAGCACTTGGGAGGGCCACATGCACAGTGTGTTTATGGAAGTTGTACACATGCTAATTTGGGGACGTTTTTCCCTTACCAATAGAGTGTTTCCAGAGGATGGTCATATACTGGTTAAACTCTGCCATTTTGCCTCATAATGTGCATGCTTGAGTCTGCTCGCCCAATTCCTGCGATCTTATTGGGAAGCTGCTGATTACCATCTCCAGGTGTTTTCTATGGTTGCCTGACATTCTGGGAGCGGGGAGCGGGGGCATGTAGGGGGGTTCTCCTGCCCTGCTTGTCTGTCTACCTACTCTAACAGATATATCACATTTTGTTTATCAAAACATACATTTTTTTTGTTTTGATTAGTTCAAAACACACACTGTTTTGAACATGTGTGTACAGGTTTTTATGAGAGCATATGTTTTTAGTTCTCTTCAGCATATACCTAGGAGTGGAAATGCTAGATCATATAGTAATTATATGCTTAACTTTTTGAGTAACCAAGCTATTTTTCACAGGAGCTGCACCATTTTGCATTTTCACCAATAATGCATCCTCTCTTACACTTTTGTTGTCAGTCTTTTTGATTCTAGCACATGCAGACTGGTATCTTGTGGTTTTGATTAGCATTTCACCAATTACTAATGATGTGGAGCATTTTTTCATGTGCCTGTTGGCCATTTGTATATCTTCTTTGGGAGAAATATCTATTCACATCCTTTCCCTATTTAAAAATTGTGTTATCTTTTTTCTTTTTTGAGACAGGATCTCAGTCTGTCACCCAGGCTGGATCATGGCTCACTGCAGCCTCACTCTCCCAGGCTCAAGCAGTCCTCCCGTCTCAGCCTTCCAAGTAACTGGGACTGCAGGTACACCTCACCACACCTGGCTAATTTTTCATAGAGACAGGGTTTTGCCATATTGCTCAGGCTGATCTTGAACTCCTGGGCTCAAGCAATCCATCTGCCTTGGCTTCACAAAGTGTTGGAATTACAGGCGTGAGCCACTGTGCCCAGTCAGATTGTCGTCTTTTTTTTTTTTTTTTTTTTTTTCTGAGACTGAGTTTTGCTGTCTCACCCAGGCTGGAGTGCAATGGTGTGATCTCGGCTCACTGCAGCTTCCGCCTCCTGGGTTCAAGCGATTTCTCCTGCCTCAGCCTCCTAAGTAGCTGGGATTACAGGCGCGCATCACCATGCCTGGCTAATTTTTGTATTTTTAGTAGAGGCAGGATTTCACCATGTTGGCCCGGCTGGTCTTGAACTCCTGGTCTCAAGTGATCCACCTGCCTGGGCCTCCCAAAGTGCTGCGATTACAGGCGTGAGCCACTGCGCCTGGCTCAGATTGTCTTTTTATTGTTGTGTTGTAAAAGTTCTTTATATAGTCTAGATACAAGTCCCTTGTAAGATATGTGATATATAGATATTTTCTCCATTTTGTAGGTTGTCTTTTTACTTTCTTGGTGGTCTTTGTAGTGCAAAAGTTTTAAATTTTGATGAAATTTAATTTTCTTTTTTATTGCTTATGTTCTTGGTTTCACATCTAAGAAACAGTTGACAAATTCAAGGCCATAAAGATTTACTCCTGTTTAAGAATTCTGTAGTTTAGCTCTTACATTTAGGTTTAAACTTTTTTGAGATAATTTTTGTTTATGATGTGAAGTAAGAATCCAAGTTCATACTTTGCCTGTGGATATCTATTGAAAAGATGATTCTTTCTCCTGTTGAATTGTCTTGGCACCTTTATTGAAAATTAATTGGATGGCTGGGCACGGTGGCTCACGCCTGTAATCCCAGCACTTTGGGAGGCTGAGGCGGGCAGATCACGAGGTCAGGAAATTGAGACCATCCTGGCTAACACGGTGAAACCCCGTCTCTACTAAAAAATACAAAAAAAATTAGCCGGGAGTGGCAGTGTGTGTGTGTAGTCCCAGCTACTCGGGAGGCTGAGGCAGGAGAATGGCATGAACCCGGGAGGTGGAGCTTGCAGTGAGCCGAGATCGCGCCACTGCACTCCAGTCTGGGCGACAGAGCGAGACTCTGTCTCAAAAAAAAAAAAAAAAAAAGAAAAAAAAAAAGAAAATTAATTGGACATAAATTTGAAGGTTATCCCCCCCGCCCCAGAGTCTTAGTTCTTTTCCTTTGACATAATTCTATCCTTATGCCACTACCACACTATCTTCACAATTGTAATTTTATAGTAAGTTTTGAAATTGAGAAGTGTGGATCCTTTATATTTTGTCCTCATTTTCAAGATTGTTTTGGATATTCTGGATCTCTGTATCTCTGTTTTTTTATTGTGCTTATATATTACGACAGTAAAAAAAAGATATATAATTAAATTTATAGTTTTAACCATTTGTAAGTGTACAGTTCTGTCTATGGCCATACCACCCTGAACGCGCCGATCTCGTCTGAAAGTGTACAGTTCTGCAGCATCAAGTACATACATACTGTTGTTAAATAACCATCTCCACCATCTATATCTAGAACTTTTTCATCTTCCTCAGCTTGAACTCTGTACCCATTAAAGACTGACTCTTCATTCCACACTTTCCCAGCCCCCGGCAACCAAAATTCTACTTTTTTCTTTATGAATTTGAGCACTCCGGGAACAATGTATTACAGATACTCCTTCTCTTTTGATGAGGGTACATCCAAAAGCTTATTGTAAGATTGAAAAATCATGAATTGAACCATCATAAGTTGAGGATCATCTATAGTGGAATCATATAAAATTTTCCTTTTGTGACTAGCTTATTTTACTTAGTGTAGTACTTTCAAGGTTTATCCATGTTGTAGCATGTCAAGATTTTGTTACTTTGTAAGGCTGAATAATATTCCATTGTAGGCACGTACCATATTTTATCTGTTCATCTATCAGTGGACACTTGGATTACTTTCACCTTTTCACTATTGTATATAATCGTGCTAGAACACGGGTATACAAATATCTGTCCTTGTCCCCTGCCTTTGGATATATACGCAGAAGTGGAATGGCTGGATCATATAATTCTGTTTAATATCAAATTAAAATTAAATTTGTTAAATGAAATTAGATATTTAATTAACTAAATTAAGTATTTAATTTAAATTCTTTTTAAATTAAAATAATTATATTTGATTATTCTGTTTAATTTTTTTAGGAATTGCTATACTGTTTTCCACAGCGGCTGCACCATTTTACATCCCCACCAGCAATGCAAAAAGGTTCTAATTTCTCCACACCTTTAATATTTGTTCTTTTTTATTTTTTCGTAATAGCCATCCAAATGGGTATGAAGTGGCATCTCATTGTGCTTTGATTTGCATTTCCCTAATGATTAGGGATGTTGAACATCTTTTTATGTGCCTGTTGAGCATCTGTGTATCTTCTTTGCAAAAATGCCTACTCAAGTCTTTTGCCTATTTTAAGAATCAATTTGGGTTGGGTGTTTTGGCCCACACCTGTAATCCCAGCACTTTGGGAAGCCAAGGCAGGAGGACTGCTTGAGCCCAGGAGTTCAATACCAGCCTGGGTGACAAGTAAGACCCCGTCTCTAAAAAAAAAAAAAAAAAAAATGGAAAAAATTAGCTGGGCATGGTGGCACGTGCCTGTAGTTCCAACTACAGGAAGGCTTGGGAGGCTGAGGTGGGAGTATTGCCTGAGCCCAGGAGTTCAAGGCTACAATAAGCTGTAATCATGCCACTGCACTCCAGCCTGGGTGACCGAGTGAGATATTATTAAAAAAAAAAAAAAAAATCTGTTTGTTTGTTGCTGATCTGTAGGAGTTCTTTATCCTGTCAGTTAATTCCTTATCAGATATATGATTTAAAAATATTTTTTCCCATTCTGTGGATTGTTGTTGATGTAGCCTTTGATGCATACAAGTTTTAAATTTTGATGAAGGCGGACTCTTTTTTTTTTTTCCTGTACTTTTGGTCATGAAGAAATCATTTCCAAACCCAGTGTCATGAAGCTTTTCCCTTATGTTTTCTTCTAAGAGTTTTACAGTTATAGCTTTTACTTTTAAGTCTTTGAGCCATTTTTAGTTCATTTTTGTATATGCTGTGAGATAAGGGTCCATCCAACTTTATTCTTTTGCATGTGGTATCCAGTTTTCCACCACCTCTGGTTGAAAAGACAGTCAGTTCTTTGTTGAATGATCCTGGCACTCTTGTCAAAAATCAAGTGATCATTTATGTGAGGGTTTGTTTCTAAGATCACAACTGATTTTTATATGCAGATGGTTCTTGACTTAGGATGGT
Organism: Homo sapiens; assembly: GCF_000001405.40. Lineage (NCBI taxonomy): Eukaryota > Metazoa > Chordata > Mammalia > Primates > Hominidae > Homo > Homo sapiens. The sequence continues at coordinate 50,760,379 of NC_000003.12, forward strand.
TTGTCTTATGGTTTTTGGACTTTACTATGGTGCAAAAGTGATGTGAATTGAGTAGAAATCATACCTTGAGTATTAATACTACCGTTCTGTTTTTCACTTTCAGTATAATATTCACTAAATTATATGAGGCATTGAACATCTTATAAAATAGGCTTTGTGTTAGATGATTTTGTGCAGCTGTAGGCTAATTGAAGTGTTTTGAGCATGTTTAAAATAGGCTAGGTTAAATTATGATGTTTGATGGGTTAGATATTTTAAATGAATTTTCAATTAAAGATATTTTTAACTTACGATGGATTTATCAGAATGTAACCACGTTGTTAGTCGAGGAGCATCTGTACAGATTGTGTATCCTGCAATCTTGCTGAACTAGTTTGCTACCTCTAATAGTTTAATGTGGATTCTTTTTTTTTTTTTCTTTTGAGATGGAGTCTTGCTCTGTCTCTCAGGCGGAGTGCAATGGCGTGATCTCGGCTCACTGCAAGCTCCGCCTCCTGGGTTCACGCCATTCTCCTGCCTCAGCCTCCTGAGTAGCTGGGACTACAGGCGCCTGCCACCACGCCTGGCTAATTTTTTGTATTTTTAGTAGAAACGGGGTTTTACCGTGTTAGCCAGGATGGTCTCGATTCCTGACCTCGTGATCTGCCTGCCTTGGCTTCCCAAAGTGCTGGGATTACAGGCGTGAGCCACCGCACCTGGATGGATTCTTTATTAAAAAAAAAATACACATAAGATCCTGTCTTCTTTATTTTTTTATTTTTATATCATTTTTTAAAAATTTAGCTTTTACTTTTATTATTTTTTAAAATAAACAAAGCTGCAATGTTTTCCTCTAAATTCCTTAGCATAATAAATAAAATTCCCTTTTGCAACACACATGGTACGTCATTTTATATTTCCTTAATAGTCTCATGAATATCTTTTCTCATTGAGATTCCACCTGTGTCCAGTAGAAGGAAAACTTAGCTGAAAGGAACATGAAATAGGCTGAAAAACAAAATTTCTAAATTGCTAGTAGCCTTAGAACACCTTAACACAATTTCGGAGATTCAGCTGCTTTGAAAGTGGGCTGCAGTCTGTGTGAGGGCAGTGCTACTTGAGGTTGATTCAGAATGTAGTCTTTAGGGCCCCAAGCTTAAAATGTGGGCCTAGATTCCACCTTTGGTGTCTTTATCCCTGGGAAGCCGTCAAAAGTGCTGGCCAGGTCCTCAGCAGCTAATTTCCCCAAGGGAAAAATTACCCTCTCAGTTGGATTCACTTTTCTGCACTTTAATCTTCTTTTGGATCTTCACCTGATAATTTTTCACCATTTTTCTGAGCTTTTTGGTGTCGTTAGGCTAATGGCTTTGATAAAATGTCCGTTCCCATCCCATTACTGGGTATATACCCACAGGATTATAAATCATGCTGCTATAAAGACACATGCACATGTATGTTTATTGTGGCACTATTCACAATAGCAAAGACTTGGAACCAACCAAATGTCCACAATGATAGACTGGATTAAGAAAATGTGGCACATATACAACACGGAATACTATGCTGCCATAAGAAAGGATGAGTTCATGTCCTTTGTAGGGACATGGATGAAGCTGGAAACCATCATTCTCAGCAAACTATCGCAAGGACAGAAAACCAAACACCGCATGTTCTCACTCATAGGTGGGAATTGAACAATGAGAACACTTGGACACAGGAAGGGGAACATCACACACCGGGGCCTGTTGTGGGGTGGGGGCAGCGGGGAGGGATAGCATTAGGAGATATACCTAATGTAAATGACAAGTTAATGGGTGCGGCATACCAACATGGCACATGTATATATATGTCACAAACCTGCATGTTGTGCATAAGTACCCTAGAACTTAAAGTATAAAAAAAGAAAAAAAAAAGAATAGATAACCTTAAGGTAGGGAGGCTTTTTAAATTGGAAAGAAGCCCCAGCTAGAGGCTCAAAGACAATAAATAAAAAACCACAGAAGTCAGTAAAATTAGGTATATAATGTTAAAACTAACATTATTCACATTATGGTATGTAAATGACATTATATAATACTTAGTTTTGGTCATCAATATGGTGGTCATTGTGCACGTCTGAAATTAAGAGAGATAGGAAATATATAAAGAGTTGAGAAATGGGGATGAATTCTACTTCTGGTAAGGTAGGGCTGTATACTTTTAACCAATATTCCTACTAAAGATCTTGTCATCTTTAAATGGAAGTAGTTTTGTACCCTACTTTCTGATCCTGATCTTATAAAGCATTCAGTTTTTCTTTAGTAAGTGTGATGTTACCTGTGGGTTGAGGAAGTTATATTGTAGTCCTAATATTCTGAGGTTTTTTTTTTAATCATGAAAGGGCGTTAGATTTTGTCAAATGTTATTTCTGCATCCAGAATAAATCCCGCTTCATCATGTGTAATCATCTTTATGTGTTATGGATTTTTTTCCTTGTGATATGTTTGTTTGGTTTTGGCATGAGAGTAAGTAATAATTGCCTTGGGAGTTGTTCCTTCCTTTTTTTATTTTTTTAAAAGTTTTTTTTGAAGGATTAGTGTTCTTTTTTAAGCATTTAGTAAAGTTCACCAGGACAGATGCCCTTTGAATTACAGTGGGGTTATATCCTAATAAGTTCATCATAAGTGGAAAATATTGTAAGTTGAAAATCCATTAAAAAATACCCTGATAAGCCCATTGTAAAGTCAAAAAGTTGTAAGTTCAGATGCTTTTCAACTTACAGTGGGGTTATATCTCAATAAACCATTGTAAAGTTGAAAATTATATTTCTAACCATTGTTAAGTCAGGGACCATCTGTCTGGTCTTGGACCTGTGAGAGGCATTGTGATTACTGCCTCAATCTCTTTTCATATTAGAGAGCAATTCAGATTTTTCTATTTCTTCTTTTTTATTTTTATTTTTGAGATGGAGTCTCGCTCTGTTGCCCAGGCTGGAGTGCAGTGGTGAGATACACGGCTCCCTGCAACTTCTGCTTCCCGGGTTCAAGTGGTTTCTACTGCCTCAGCCTCCTGAGTAGCTGGGATTGCAGGTGCGCACCACCACACCTGGCTAACTTCTGTATTTTTAGTAGAGATGGGGTTTTGCCACATTGGCCAGGCTGGTCTCAAACTCCTGACCTCAGGTGATCCACCTGCTGCGGCCCCCCAAAGTGCTGGGATTACAGGTGTGAGCCACTGCACCTGGCCTCTATTTCTTCTTGAGTCAGTTTTGATCATATGTTTCATTTTAGAAATTTGTCCATTTACTCTAGCTTATGAAAAATTTTGGCATACAATTGTTCAAAGTATTTCTTTTTAATATTTTTTATTTTTTTAACGTTGGTAGTAATAGCTTCACTTTCATTCCTGATATTAGTAATTTAAGTCTTCTCTCTGTTTTTCTTGGTCAATCTGGTTAAATGATTAATCAATTCTATTGATATTTTCAAAGAACTAACATTTGGTTTCATCGATTTCTTTGCTCAGTTTTCAAATTGACTATGGATATTGGTCTATATGTATACAACTCTTAGAGCACTTTTTCTCACCAAAATGCTAATGGTCTTGAACAAGTTTATATTCTCAGGACATATTTCTTTGTTTGCTGTGATCAAACACTATTTAATTAATTCACTATTTGTAGGTGGCTTTCCTCGTACGACTAGCTAATGACCTACTCAGAAATTTACTTTCGTTGGTTTTATTTTCATTTCTATTTTTGTGTAGTTCTGTGATGAGATGTTGTATTACATTTTTTTTTCTTGATGGATGGTTTCCTGTGAATTGGGAATACTGTGCTGAGTGCTTAGTCTGTATGCTAACATGTATTCTTTTAGCACAGATTTCATATTATTGCATAATAAACAGAAATAAATACTACAGAAGCTGTATACAATTGGCCCTTCATACCCGTGGGTTCTGCATCTGTGGATTCAACCAACAGCAGATCAAAAATAGAAAAAAACCTAACAATACCATGATAAAAAATACAAAATTATTATAGGCATACAGAATTTATACTGTATTAGGCATTATAACTAATCTAGAGATGGTTTAAAGTATACAAGAGTATGTTTATAGGTTATTTACAGATACTACACCATTTTATATCAGGGACTTGAGCATCCATGGATTTTGGTATTTAGGAATTCTTGGAAACCATCCTGTATGAACACTGAGAGATGACTGTGTGGAATTATGCTGTAAATACTGTTTATAACCCTTTCTACTTAACATAGTGTGAAAAAATTGAATTTCATAAATATCTACAAAATTTAAGAATTAGCAGCTCAGTATGATGACACATACCTGTAGTTCCAGCTGCTTGGGTGAGGGGGTGAGGCAGGAGGATCACTTGAGCCAAGGAGTTTGAGACCAGCCTGGGGAACATGACGAGACCCCATCTCTTAAAAATTTTTTAAATGTTAAAAGAGTTAGTGTATCTTCTTCCTAATATGTTGTTTTTCAAGTCTTCAGTTTTATTTTGCCACGGATAAATCCTTCATTATATATAGTTAACAATGAGTAATGTTAAAGGGCATATTTGTTTTGTTTTGTTTTGTTTTTAGTAGTGGTGGGATTTCAGTATGTTGGCCAGGCTGATCTCAAAATCCTGACCTCAAGTGATCCACCTGCTTTGGCCTCCCAAAGTGCTGGGATTATGGGCTTATTTGTTTTGAAGCTGCCACTTTCTTAGGTTTTTTTTTTTTTTTTTTTTTTTTTTTGAGACAGAGTCTCGCTTTGTCGCCCAGGCTGGAGTGCAGTGGCGCAATCTCGGCTCACTGTAACCTCTGCCTCCCAGGTTCAAGTGATTCTCCTGCCTCAGCCTCCCGAATAGCTGGGATTACAGGCACGTGCCACCATTCCTGGCTAATTTTTTTGAATTTTTAGTAGAGATAGGGTTTTACCATGTTGGCCAGGCTGGTTTCAAACTCCTGACCTCAAGTAATCTGCCCATCTCGGCCTCTCAAAGTGCTGGGATTACAGGCATGAGCCTCCACGTCCAGCCTTTCTTAGAATTTATAAAGTATCTGACAGACACAGTAGGGAACAGAGCCAAACAGTCTATTAACTTGTAGATTTATTCTTCATGATATTCCTGCAAATAAAGTATAGGCCTGAAAATGGATCCATGATTTTAGGGAGAAAGCTCTACTCTCTTTCAGGCTGCCTGCTTTTCTAGCAGGTATAATTTATTTATTTTTCTTTCCTCCTGTTTTTATATTAATTAAAAAAATTAATTTTTAAAGTTTTATTTTTAATGGACACATAATTATGCATGTTTATAGGGTACAGTGTGATGTTTTGATACATGTACACATTGTGTAATGATCAAATCAGGGCAGTTAGGTTTTCCATCACCTCAAGCACTTGTCATTTCTTCCTGGTGAGAACATTCAAAATCCTCTCTTCTAGCTATTTTGAAATATACAATACATTATTGTTAACTGTAGTCACCTTACTATGAAATAGAACACCAGAATGTATTCCTCCTATCTAACTGCAACTTTGTTTGACCAAACCTCTAACCATTCCCCATCCCTTAACCACCCCCAGCCCCTGCCCCTGTCTCTGGTAACCGCGGTCCTATTCTCTACATCTGTGGGATCAACTTTTTAAAACTCCACATGAGTGAAATAATAAGGTATTTGTCCTTCTGTGCCTTGGCTTATTTCACTTAATGTCTTCTAGGTTCATCCATCTTGTCGCAAGTGACAGGATTTCATTCTGTTTTTATGGCTGAATAGTATTCTTTTTTTAAATATGCTTTAAGTTCTAGGGTACATGTGCACAACGTGTAGGTTTGTTACATATGTATACATGTGCCATGTTGGTGTGCTGCACCCATTAACTTGTCATTTACATTAGGCATATCTCCTAATGCTATCCCTCCCCCCTCCCCCCACCCCACAACAGGCCCCGGTGTGTGATGTTCCCCTTCCTATGTCCAAGTGTTCTCATTGTTCAATACCCACCTATGAGTGAGAACATGTGGTGTTTGGTTTTTTGTCCTTGTGATAGTTTGCTGAGAATCTTGGTTTCCAGCTTCATCCATGTCCCTACAAAGGACATGAACTCATCCTTTTTTATGGCTGCATAGTATTCCATGGTGTATATGTGCCACATTTTCTTAATTCAGTCTATCATTGATGGACATTTTGGTTGGTTCCAAGTCTTAGCTATTGTGAATAGTGCCGCAATAAACATATGTGTGCATGTGTCTTTATAGCAGCATGATTTATAATCCTTTGGGCATATACCCAGTAATGGGATGGCTGGGTCAAATGGTATTTCTAGTTCTAGATCCTTGAGGAATTGCCACACTATCTTCCACAATGGTTGAACCAGTTTACAGTCCCACCAACAGCGTAAAAATGTTCCTATTTCTCCACATCCTCTCCAGCACCTGTTGTTTCTTGACTTTTTAATGATTGCCATTCTAACTGGTATGAGATGGTATCTCATTGTGGTTTTGATTTGCATTTCTCTTATGACCAGTGATGAAGAGCATTTTTTCATGTGTCTGTTGGCTGCATACATGTCTTCTTTTGAGAAGTGTCTGTTCATATCCTTTGCCCACTTTTGGATGGGGTTTTTTTTTGTTGTAAATTTGTTTGAGTTCTTTGTAGATTCTGGATATTAGCCCTTTGTCAGATGGGTAGATTGCGAAAATATTCTCCCATTCTGTAGGTTGCCTGTTCGCTCTGATGGTAGTTTCTTTTGCTGTGCAGAAGCTCTTTAGTTTAATTAGATCCCATTTGTCTATTTTGGCTTTTGTGGCCATTGCTTTTGGTGTTTTAGACTTGAAGTGCTTGCCCATGCCTATGTCCTGAATGGTATTGCCTAGGTTTTCTTCTAGGGTTTTTATGGTTTTAGGTCTAACATTTAAGTCTTTAATCCATCTTGAATTAATTTTTGTATAAGTTGTAAGGAAGGGCTCCAGTTTCAGCTTTCTACATATGGCTAGCCAGTTTTCTGAGCACCATTTATTAAATAGGGCATCCTTTCCCCATTGCTTGTTTTTGTTAGGTTTCTCAAAGATCAGATGGTTATAGATGTGTGGTATTATTTCTGAGGGCTCTATTCTGTTCCATTGGTCTATATCTCTGTTTTGGTACCAGTAGCATGCTGTTTTGGTTACTGTAGCCTTGTAGTATAGTTTGAGGTCAGGTAGCATGATGCTTCCAGCTTTGTTCTTGTGGCTTAGGATTGTCTTGGCAATGCGGGCCCGTTTTTGGTTCCATATGAACTTTAAAGTAGTTTTTTCCAATTCTGTGAAGAAAGTCATTGGTAGCTTGATGGGGATGGCATTGAATCTATAAATTACCTTGGGCAATATGGCCATTTTCATGATATAGATTCTTCCTATCCATGAGCATGGAATGTTCTTCCATTTGTTTGTGTCCTCTTTTATTTCGTTGAGCTGTGGTTTGTAGTTCTCCTTGAAGAGGTCCTTCACATCCCTTGTAAGTTGTATTCCTAGGTATTTTATTCTCTTTGAAGCAGTTGTGAATGGGAGTTCACTCATGATTTGGCTCTCTGTCCGTTATTGGTGTATAGGAATGCTTGTGATTTTTGCACATTGAGTTTATATCCTGAGACTTTGCTGAAGTTGCTAATCAGCTGGAGGAAATTTTGGGCTGAGATGATGGGGTTTTCTAAATATACAATCATGCCGTCTGCAAACAGGGACAATTTGACTTCCTCTTTTCCTAATTGAATACCCTTTATTTCTTTCTCCTGCCTGATTGCCCTGGCCAGAACTTCCAACACTGTGTTGAATAGGAGTGGTGAGAGAGGGCATCCCTGTCCTATGCCAGTTTTCAAAGGGAATGCTTCCATACTGAATGCCTATTCAGTATGATATTGGCTGTGGGTTTGTCATAAATAGCTCTTATTATTTTGAGATATGTCCCATCAATACCTAATCTATTGAGAGTTTTTAGCATGAAGGGCTATTGAATTTTGCCAAAGCCTGGCAGAGACACAACAAAAAAAGAGAATTTTAGACCAATATCCCTGATGAACATCGATGCAAAAATCCTCAATAAAATACTGGCAAACCGAATCCAGCAGCACATCAAAAAGCTTATCCACCATGATCAAGTGGGCTTCATCCCTGGGGTGCAAGGCTGGTTCAACATATGCAAATCAATAAACGTAATCCAGCATATAAACAGAGCCAAAGACAAAAACCACATGATTATCTCAATAGATGCAGAAAAGACTGAATAGTATTCTATTGTGTATATATACCACATTAAAAAATTCTTTCATCCATTAATGGACACTTATATTGATTCCATATCTTGGCTGTTGTGAATAGTGCTACATTAAACATGGGAGTGCAGATATCTCTGACATCCTGATTTAATTTCCTTTGGATATATATGCAGTAGTGGGATTGTAGAATCATATGGTATTTATATTTTTTAAGTTTTGGAAGAACCTCCATCCCGTTGTCCTGAATGGCTGTACTGATTTACGTTTCCACCAGCAGTGTATGAGAGTTTCCTTTCTCTTCACATTCTCAGGAACTTTTTTTTTGTCTTTTTGATAATTGCCATCCTAACTGGGATGAGGTAATAACTCATTGTGATTTTGATTTACATTTCTCTGATGATTAATGATGTTGAGCATTTTTTCATATACCTGTTCATCACATTTATGTCTTCTTTTGAGAAATCTTTATTAATTGGATTTTTTTTTTTTTTGCTACCGAGTTGAGTTCCTTATATTCTGGATATTAACATCCCTTGTCAGATGCATAGTTTGCAGATATTTTTTTCCCATTCTGTAGATTGTCTCTTCACTCTTCTTTACTGTGCAGAATCTTTTTAGTTTAATGTAATCCTTTTTTGTTAAACATTTCTGGTCTGTGCTTTTGCCAGACTGATGTTATGAATTGTTTCTCCTATGGTCTTTACTAGTAGCATTCAATAATATTCAATATCCCTTCATAATAAAAACTCTAAACATGTTAGATATATTAATGGAAGGAATGTACTTCAGCACAATAAAGTCCATATATGACAAACCCATAGCTAACATCATACTGAATGGGGAAAAGCTAAAAGCTTTTCCTTTACAATATGGACCTAGATGAAGATGCCCACTTTGACCACTCCTGTTCAACACAGTACTAGAAGTCTTGGTCGAGCATGGTGGTTCACACCTGTAATCCTAGCACTTTGGGAGGCTGAGGGTGGCAGATCACTTGAGGTCAGGAGTTCGAGACCAGCCTGGCCAACATGGTGAAACCCTGTCTCTACTAAAAATACAAAAATTAGCCGGGTGTGTGTGGTGGGCGCCTATAATCCCAGCTACTTGGGAGGCTGAGACAGGAGAATCGCTTGAACCTGGGAGGCAGAGGTGACAGTGAGCTGAGATTGTGCCATTGCAGTCCAGCCTGGGCGATAGAGCAAGACTCTGTCTCAAAAAAAAAAAAAAAAAAAAAGTTTTAGCCAGAGCAATTAGGCAAGAGAAAGAAATAAAGGGTGTCTAAATTGGGAAGGAGAAAGTCAAATTGTCCCTCTTTGCAGGTGGCATGATCTTATATATTGAAAACTACAGACTTCACCAAAAAACTATTAAAACTAAGAAATGAGAATTCAGTAAAGTTGCAGGCTACAAAATCAACATGCAAAGCCTTTCCTCTAAGATCTGGAACAGGACAAGGATGCCCACTTTCACCAGTTATTCAGCATAGTACTGGAAGTCCTAGATAGAGCAATCAGACAAGAGAAAGATATAAAGGGCATCCCTGTTGGAAAGGGAGAAGTCAAATTATCCATATTTGCAGATGATATTATCTTATATTTGGAAAAACCTGAAGACTCCAACAAAAAAACAATTAGAACTGATAAATTCGGTAAAGTTGCAGTATACAAAATCAACATACAAAAGTCAGTAGCATTTCTATATGCCAAGATTGAACAATCTTAGAAAGAAAAAAGTAATCTCAGTTACAATAGTTACACATAAAATTAAATAGTTAAGAATTAACCAAAAAAGTAAAAGATCTCCATAATGAAAACTATAAACACTGATGAAAGAAATTGAAGGGGACACAAAAAAAAAGAAAAAAAAAATCCGTGTTCATTGATTGGAACAATCAGTATTTTTTAAATGTGCATTCTACCCAAAGAAATCTACAGATTCAAGGCACTGCCCATCAAAACAGTGATGACATTCTTCACAAAAATAGAAAAAAAAATGTAAAATTTATACGGAACCAGGAAAGACCCAGAGTAGTCACAGCATTCCTAAGCAAAAAGAACAAAACTGGAGGAATCGCATTACCTGACTTCAGATTATGCTACATATAGACGCATAGACCAATGGAACAGAATAGAGAACCCAGAAACAAGGTTTGTCTAACCCTAACCCTAACCGTACCTTAACTGGCAGGTTAGGGTTAGAGTTAAGGTTAACACAGCTACAGCGAACTCATTTTCACCAAAGATGCCAAGAAATACACTATGGAAAAGACAGTCTCTTCAATAAATGGTGCTGGGGAAATTGGATATCCATATATAGATGAATGAAGCTAGACACCTATTTCTTGCCATATACAAAAATCAAATCAAAATGGATTACAACCTCAAACTATGAAGCTACTACAAGAAAACATTGGGGAAAATCTCCAGGATATTGGTCTGGGCAAAAATGTCTTGAGCAATACCTCAAAGCACAGGCAACCAAAGCACACATGGACAAATGGGATCACATCAAGTTAAAAAGCTTCTTCACAGCAAAGGAAACAGTCAATAAAATGAACAGACAACCCACAGAATGGGAGAAAATATTTGCAAACTACGCATCTGAGAAAGGATTAATGACCAGAATATATAAGGAGCTCAAACAACTCTATAGGAAAAAAATCCAATAATCTGATCAAAAAATGGGCAAAAGATTTGAGCAGACATTTCTCAAAAGTTATACAGATGGCAAGCAGGCATATGAAAAGGTGCTCAACATCATTGATCATCAGAGAAATACAAATGAGACCTACAATGAAATACCATCTCACCCAAGTTAAAATGACTTATATCCAAAAGACAGACAATAACAAGTGCTGGTGAGGATGTGGAGAAAAGGGAACCCTTGTATGCTGTTGGTGAGAATGTCAATTAGTACAACCACTATGGAGAACAGTTTGGAGGTTCCTCTGAAAACTAAAACTAGAGCTACTGGCCGGGTGTGGTGGCTCACACCTGTAATCCTAGCACTTTGGGAGGCCCAGGTGGGTGGATCACGAGGTCAGGAGATTGAGACCATCCTGGCTAACATGGTGAAACACCATCTCTACTAAAAATACAAAAAATTAGCTGGGTGTGGTGGCGGGCGCCTGTAGTCCCAGCTACTCGGGAGGCTGAGGCAGGAGAATGGCGTGAACCCGGGAGGCGGAGCTTGCACTGAGCTGAGATTGCGCCACTGCACTCCAGCCTGGGCGACAGAGCGAGACTCCATCTCAAAAACAAAAACAAAAACAAAACAAAAAACAAAACAAAATAAAACAAAAAAATCTAGAGCTACTGTGTGATTCAGCAGTCCCACTGCTGGGTATATACCCCAAAGAGAGGAAATCAATATATCGAAGAGATATCTGCACTCCCATGTTTGTTGCAGCACTGTTCACAATAGCCAAGATTTGGAAGCAATCTAAGCATCCATGAACAGATGAATGGATAAAGAAAATGTGGTACACATACACAACGGAGTACTATTCAATCATAAAGAAGAATGAGATCCTTTTATTTGCAACAACATGGGTGAAACTGAAGATCATTATATTAAGTGAAATAAACCAGGCACAGAAAAACAGACATCACATGTTATCACTTATTTGTGGGATCTAAACATCGAAACAACTGAATTATTAGAGACAGAGAGTAGAAGGATAGTTACTAGAGGGTGCGAAGGGTAGTGGGTGGCTGGGTGAGGGGAGGTGGAGATGGTTAATAGGTACAAAAAATAGTTACAAAGAATGAACAAGACCTACTGTTTGATAGCTCAACAGGGTGACTATGGTCAGTAACTTAATTTACATTTTAAAATTACTTAAAGAGTGTAATTGGTTTGTAACTCAAAGGATAAATGCTTGAGGGGATGGATACTTCATTCTTCATGATGCACTTATTTTCACATTGTATGCCTGTATCAAAACATCCCGTGTATACCATAAGCATTTACACCTACTGTGTATCCACAAAAATTAAAAATAAACATAAATTAACATATAAAATATGTAACATTTATATGTGCTACGATTATTCAATCTCAAAAAGAAATCAAGAAAACAATCTCATATACAATAGGTAAAACAAAAAATACCTAGGAATAAATTTAACCACAGAGGTGAAAGATTTCTACAATGATAAACTAATGTTATTAATGACAAAAACTGAAGAGGACACACATAAATGGAAAGATCTCATGCTCATGGATTTGAAGAATTAATATCATTAAAATGCCCATACTATTTCAAATGATATACAGATTCAGTGCAATCCCTGTCAAAGTACCAATGACATTCTTCACAGAAATAGAAAAAAAAAAATCCTAAAATTAGTATGGAACCACAAAAGACCCTAAATAGCTAAAGTAATGTTGAGCAAAAAGAAAACAGCTGGAGGCATCACACTAATTGTCTTCAAAATATACAATAAAGCAGTAGTATCCCAAACAGTGTGGTACTAGCATAAAAACAGACACACAGAACAATGGAACAGAATAGAGAACCTAAAATAAGTCCACAGTTACAGCCAACTTATTTTTGACAAAGGTGCCAACAATACTCATTGGGGAAAGAATGGTTTCTTCTATAAATTATGCTGGGAAAACTGGATATTCACATGCAGAAGAATTAAACTAGACTCCTATCTCTTACCATTTACAAGAATCAACTCACAATGGGCTAAACCCTTAAATGTAAGACCTGAAACTATAAAACTACTAGAGGAAAATGGGAAGCACTTCATGACATTGATCTATATTAATTTAAAAAAAATCATTTGAAAGCCAATGTAGAAGGAAGATAGTTATGGAAATGTAAAGTTTACATAGGTTCTGTGAATACACATGAAACACTCAATTTTAAACAATGAAGGCTGTTGTTAATTTACATGTTCTTGTTAATTAGTGATGTGGATTAAGAAGACAGGAGTGGTGGTGAGTGCTCCAGAGATTGAAATTTAATAGTAAGGGCCTCGATAAAGAGTTTGTTAACGAGTAAAAGAACTGCTGATGTTAATTTCTTAAGTGCTTATGCAATTCATTGTAGTTTTATTTATGAGCCAAGCTTAGAATACACCTTTGATCTTAGACAGCTATATCATTGTTAATTTGTGGCTACCTGCAATGACTTGAGACTACAGAACCTAATCCTTTCCCCTCTACCTTGGAGGGTTCAATGCAATAAATCCTAGGGTGGACCATTTATTTTTCACTTGGTAGTCAGAGTAAGACACCGATGAGTATCTGATGTTTCTTAACAATTCCCAAGCCTGTACAATATTAAGTGATAGAGCTTGGTAGAACTGCTTTTCAAAGTTTTAAAAAATTTGAAAAGTTTTTGTTCAGAATTTATCTTCCATTGAGGATTTAAAACATTTACAGATTTATAATGCTACAAGTACTTGCAAATATAGCCAAATATTCCCAGAGTATACAGATTACCAATAGCAGTTTGGATGTCTTCAGCAGAGATCAAATATAAATATATGCATATATACACATGCAAATAGACTCATGGTATATACATTTTTTCACAGCTTGTTTTCTTTACAACTGAGAGGCTTGATATCAGTATATATTCACCTCCTTCATCCTTTGCATTTTTATACACATTTCAGAATCAGTTTATTGATTTCTACAAAAAAGTTTATTAGAATTTTGATTGGGATTGCAGAGAATGTAATGATTAATTTAGGGAGAATATATATTTTTACACTATTGAGTTTTCTAATCCATTAATATGATATATGCTTATATTAGGCTTTTAATGTCTCTAATATTTTATAGCTTCTTGTGTAGAGTTCTTCTACATGTCTCATTAGATTTATTTCCAGTTACATGGCATTTTTTGATGTTGTTATAAATGGTGTATTTTCAAAACATTTAATTTTCTAATTGTTTATTGATATATAGACTTAAAAATATTCACCTTGTATCTAGTGACCTTGCTACAATCATGTATTTGTTGTAATAGTTTATGTCTATATTCTTTTGGATTTTTTTTACATACACAGTCAGACCTGCTGATAAAGACAATTTTATTTCCTCATTTCCAATTATTACACCTTTAATTGCCTTATTTGCATCGACTGGTCCTGCATACAGTGTTGAATAGAAATGGTGACAGTGGCCATCCTCTTCTTGTTCCTAACCTTAGTGATAAAATGTTTTGTATATCACCAGTGTGTGTGATGTTTCCTATAGACACATCATAGATGCCCTTTATCAGATTAAGGAAGTCCCCTTCTAGTCTTATTTTCTTAAGAATTTTTGTCATGAGTGGACTTTGAATTTTATCAATTTTTTCATATATAGAGGTGATCATATGATTTTTTTCCTTCATTAATTTTCTAATATTAAACCAATCTTGCATTCCTTGAATAATCCCCAGTTGGTCATGATGCATCATCCTTTTTATGCATAGTTGGATTTGATTTGCTTTGTATTTTTTTAAAAAATGTTTTTATTTATATTAATGAGAAAGATTAGCCGTAATTTTCCTTTAGTCTCATGTCCTCAGGCTTTGCTGTCATGCTGAGTTCAAAATGAATTCCCTCTTTGGAAGAGATTATTTATGATTGGTGTTATTTTTTTCAGATGTTTCGACAGATTCACTGATAAAGTCATCAGGACCTGGCATTTCATTTGTGGGAAGTTTTTAATTACAGATTAACTTTTCTTTAATAAATATAGGACTATTTAAATTTTTAACTTCTCTGCCAGTTTTTGTAGATTTTGCCTTTCTGTAAATTCGTCTCCCATGGAAAATTTCAAATTAGTTGGTATAAGTTTTTTTGTGTAATATCCTTTTATGATGATTTTAATGTTTTGATTGCTGATACTGATAATTTGTTTCTTTTCTTTTTTCCTAATTAGTTTTTCTAGATGTCTGTCAATGTTAGTGTTTTCAAAGAACCAATTTTTAGATTATAAGGCTTGATTTACGGTAGTGGAAGTTCTTCAAGATTGACAGGGCGTTTCTTCTTATTTTTTTCAATAGTTTTGAGAGTAGAGGTAGGTTTTGGTTTCATGGATGAGTTCTTTAGTGATGAAATGTGAGATTTTAGTGCACCTGTTACCCGAGCAGTGTACACTGTATCCAATATGTAGTCTTTTATTTCTCAACCCCTTCCACCCTCCCTCCAGCAAGTCCACAGAGTCTATTACTCTGTATGTCTTTGTGTCCTCATAGCGTAGCTCCCACTTATAGATGAGAACATATGGTATTTGCTTTCCCATTGAGTTTCTTCACTTAGAATAATGGCTTCCAGCTCCATCCAAGTTGCTGCAAAAGACATTATTTTGTTCCTTTTTATAGCTAAGTGGTATTCCATGGTGTATATTTACCACATTTTCTTTATCCACTTGTTGGTCAGTGCGCATTTAGGTTGGTTCTGTGTCTTTGCAATTGTGTGAATTGTGCTGCTATAAATATGCATGTGGATGTGTCTTTTTCATATAATGACTTCTTTTCCTTTGAGTGGATACCCAGTAGTGGGATTGCTGGATCGAATGGCAGATCTATTTTTAATTCTTTAAGGAATCTCCATACTGTTTTCTGTAACTGTTGTACTAATTTACACTCCCACCAGCAGTGTAAAAGTGTTCCTTTTTCACTACTTCCATGCCAACATCTATTGTTTTTTGATTTTTAAATTATGACCATTCTTGCAGAAGGTGGTGTCTTATTGTGGTTTTAATTTGCATTTCCCAGAGGATTAATGATATTGAGCATTTTTTTTCATGTGTTTGTTGGCTGTTTGTGTATCTTCTTTTGAGAATTGCCTATTCATGTCCTTTTTCCAGTTTTTTATGTGATTTTTTTTTTCTTGCTGATTTGAGTTCCTTGTAGATTCTGGATACTAGTTTTTTGTCAGCTGCATAGTTTGCAGATATTTTCTTTGTGGGTTGTCTGTTTACTCTGTTGATTATTTCTTTTGCTGTGCAGAAGCTTTTTAGTTTAATTAGGTTCCATTCATTTGTTTTTGTTTTTGTTGCATTTGCCTTTGGGTCTTACTCAGGGATTCTTTGCTTAAGCCAATGTTCAGGAGAGTTTTTTTCCATGTTATCTTGCAGAATTTTTATGGTTTCAAGTCTTGGATTTAAGTGTTTTATCCATCTTGAGTTGTTTTTTGTATAGTGATAGATGGGGACCCAGTTTCATTCTTCTACATGTGGCTTGTCAGTTTTCCCAGCACCATTTATTGAATAAGGTGTCTGTATTAATCCATTTTTATGCTGCTGATAAAGACATACCCAAGACTGGGCAATTTACAAAAGAAAGAGGTTTATTGGACTTACAGTTCCATGTGACTGGGAAGGCCTCACAATCATAGTGGAAGATAAAAGGCACTTCTCACATGGCAGCAGACAAGAGAAGAGAGAATGTGAGCCAAGCGAAACAGGTTTCCCCTTATCAAACCATCAGATCTCATGAGACTTTTTCAATACCATGAGAGCAGTGTGGGGAACACTGCCCCCATGATTCAGTTATCTCCCACCAGGTCCCTCCCACAACACGTGGGAATTATGGAAGTACAATTCAAGATGAGATCTGGGTGGGGACACAGAGCCAAACCATATCAGTGTTTTTTTTTCCCAGCTTATGTTTTTGTATGCTTTGTTGAATACCATTTGGCTTTATTTCTGGGTTCTGTATTTTTTTCCATTGGTCTAACTGCTTATTTTTATTCCAGTATCATGCTGTTTTGGTAACTATAGCCCTGTAGTATAATTCAAAGTCCCATAATGTGATACTTAATATTGCTTTGTCTGTTCAGGCTCTCTTTTGGTTCCATGTGAATTTTAGGATTGTTTTTTCTAGTTCTTGGGAAAAATGATGATGATATTTTGATGGGAATTGCATCGAATCTGTAGATTGCTTTTGGCAGTACAGTCATTTTTACAATATTGATTCTTGTTATCTGTGAGCATGGCATATGTTTCCATTTGTTTGTGTCATCTGTGACTTTTTTTTAGCAGTGCCTTGTAGTTTTTCTTGTAGAGATCTTTAATTTCCTTGGTTAAGTATATTCCTAGGTATTTTATTTTTATTTTTTGCAGCTGTTGTAAAAGGGATTGAGTTCTTGATTTGATTCTCAGCTTGATTTTTGGTGTATGGCAGTGCTACTGATTTGTGTACATTGATTTTGTTCCTGAGACCTTACTTTACTGAATTTGTTTGTTAGATCTAGGAATCTTTTGTATGACGGGTTTTCTAAGTATATGATTATATCATTGATGAATAGTGACAGTTTGTCATCTTCTTTTCCAATCTGGATGCCCTTTATTTCTTTCTCTTGCCTGATTGCTGGTTAGGACTTCTAGTACTATGTCAAAGAGAAGTGGTGAAAATGGGCATCCTTATCTTGTTCCAGTTCTCAGGGGGAATGCTTTCAACTTTTCCCCATTCAGTGTGATTTGACTGTGGGTTTGTCATATATAGCTTTTATTACTTTGAGGTAAGATGGGGCTTTTCTTTATTCTTTGTATTCTTATATGAATTTTGGAATCAGTTTGTCAATTTCCTTAAAAAAGTTACGGGATTTTGATTGTTATCTATAGATTTTTTCTGTTGTGCATATGCTTTCTATTTCATTAGTTTCTGTTCATTTTTATCATGAGAATTCTGCTTTTCAAAGCATAATCAAATTTATTTGATGATTCTTTTAAAAAATATCTATTTGTTTGCTTGTGGTAGATAAGAAGCTCCTAATATTATTTTTTTCTTAAGTAATTGATACAAACTTGCTCAAAAAGTACACTTGAACACAGGATATCCAAGGGACAGAGACTCTGTTAATAGAAATGTTTTTCTACAAGCACACATGCACCCACCACTCATGGATAGCAATTTTCCCACAATGTATTTTATTGTCCCAAACTGCTAATATTATTTTTCAAAATGTAGATTAAATGGAAAGGGGCTTACACTTTAGAAAGAGGAATTAGTAAAGAAGGGAAGGTATACATTTAAGAAAATTTAGTGCTTAATTCAGTGACTCTGACCATGTCTCAGTGTTTAAAAATGCTAATTGGTGTGTTTATCCTTGCTTTTCTAGTGATATGCAGCTTTCGAGGATCTGTCCCTCAAGGGTTGGTCTTAGAAATAGGAGAAACAGTCCAGATTCTTGAAAAATGTGAAGGTGAGTATGGACCTACAAAGCACATAAATTGTGATCATTTTTGGCAGTATTATATACATTTATTTTGTGCTAATAAGATTATAAGCAATAATTCTGGAGCCATAATTAGTCACATGATGAAATAGTGTTATATAAAATTCTTCCTGATCTGTGTTCAGCATAAAGGTATGAGCTTTTTTGATTCTAATATATTAGCAACAATTAGATAATTAATTTCTGGCTGTCAGAACACGTTTTTTACATATATTTATGGGGTACTTGAGATACTTTGGTACAGATATACAATGTGTAATAATCACATGGTACATGTAGTATCATCTCAAGCATTTACCTTTTTTTGTGTTGCAAAGGTTCCAATTGTACTCCCTCAGTTATTAAAAAATGTGCAATAAATTATTGCTGACTGTAGTCACCCTATTGTGCTATCAAATACTAGATCTTATTCATTGTATCTAACTATATTTTGTGCCCTCTTACTTATTTTTTATGAATAGGTAATCTACCCATGCTTAGCTGCCTTTGAATAGAACTACGTTATAGTCCATTTATTTGTATGTTTCCGTCTGATTGGCTGGGCATCTTTAGTCCTAATTAGAACAGGTCCTCAAATTTTTTTTAATTTTTGTTTATTTATTTTTTTTTGAGAGGGAGCCTTGCTCTTGTTGCCTAGGCTGGAGCGCAATGGTGCGATCTCAGCTCACTGCAACCTCTGCCTCCCAGGTTCAAGTAATTCCCCTGCCTCAGCCTCCCTAGTAGCTGGGATTACAGGCGTCCACCACCACGCCCAGCTAATTTTTGTAGTTTTAGTAGAGATAGGATTTCACCATGTTGGCCAGGCTGGTCTTGAACTCCTGACCTCAGCTGATCCGCCTACATCAACCTCCCAAAGTGCTGGGATTACAGGCGTGAGCCACTGCGCCTGGCCTAAATATGTTTAAATGTAGTTTGGCTTGACTACTGTCCTCTTCTGTGGCATATATGGGTATTTCTACTGTAACATTTACACATTCTTGAGATGGATCGTGTTCTTCAGAATCTGTAATTAATAAGATTTATGGGAAAAATAGGGAGAAATTACACAAAATCAGAGTATTAACAAAAGCAAAATTGATGCCATGGCAAATAACTTGGGCAGCCTGGACTAGCAGTTCAGTACGGCTACAAGCCATCTCAGATGGTATAATGAAGTAGAACTGTTGCAGTGTGGGTATAGAGCCAATGTATATGGGAGTGGAGCTCTAATCTAGTTGGGTTACTGTTAAGAGGGGTATGGGAGGACATGTAACCTACCATGATCCAGGAATCATATATATTTAGGAGTACACTTCTCTGGAAAGGGAGCTACACGTACCGTTTTAAATTTTCTTAAAAACAGAAGTATAAATTAGCACCCTTTTGTGATAACAACTCTAAGGGAACTAAGAATAGAAGGTAATTTTCTTTATCTAATAAATGATAGCTACTAAAATACCTGCAGCAAACATCACATTCGGTCATAAAATATTGAAAGAGTTTTCACTGAGATCTAAAAGTGAGACAAGAATACCTACTGTCTTACTCTGTTTATGTTTTGCTATAAAGGAGTACCTGAGGCTGTATAATTTATAAAGAAAAGGGATTTATTTGCCTCATGGTTCTGTAGGCTGTACAAGAAGCATGACACCAACTTCTGCTTCTGGTGAGGGCCTTAGGAAGCTTCCACTCATGGCAAAAGTCAAAGAGAAGCCTGTACGTGCAGAGATCACATGGCGAGAGAGAAAGCAAGAGTGAGGGGAGGTGCCAGGCTCTGTTTAAAATTTTTATTTTTTAATTGACAAATAATAGTTGTATTCATGGGTACATAGTGATGTTTTGGTGCATATAATATATAGTGATCAGATCAGGGTAACTAGAATATCCATTATCCCAAACATCATTTGTTTTGGTTGAGAAAGTTCAATATTTTCCTTCTAGCTTTTTGAAACTATATATTATTATTAATTATAGTCATCTTATGTGGGATAGAACATTAGAACTGATTCTTTTTATCTAGTTGTAATTTTGTATCCTTTGACAAATCTCTTCAAATCCTCCCTTCCCCTTCCCCTCCAGTATCCTTCATTCAGGTTTTTTTTGTTAGCTTCCATGTATGAATAAGAATATGAGGTGTTTAACTTTCTCTTTTTGGCTTATTTCACTTAACATAATGTCCTCTAGTTCCATTCACATTACCATGAATGGCAGGACTTCAGTATTTTTTATGGCAGAATAGTATTCCATTGTGTATATACAACATATTTTCTTAATCCATCTGTTATTGGACACTTAGGTTGATTCCATATCTTGGCTGTTGTGAATAGTGCTGCAATAAACATGGAAGTGCTGATGTCTCTTCAATATAATGACTTCTGTTCCATTGGATAAAATCCCAGTGGCTCCACAAAGAGATCTTGAGACCAAAAAATAAAAAATAAAAATAAAAAAAAAAAGAATCCCACTGGGGTGGGATTGCTAGATCATATAGTAGTTCTTTTTTTTTTTTTTTTTTGGAGACAGGGTCTCATTCTGTCAGCAGGCTGGAGTGCAGTGGTGCCATCACAGCTTACTGTAGCCTCGACCTCCTTGGGCTTAGGTGATCCCACCTCAGCCTCCTGAGTGGCTGGGACTACAGGTGCACAACATCATCAGGCCTGGCTAAGTTTTGTATTTTTTGGTAGAGATGGGGTTTTGCCATGTTGCCCAGGCAGGCTGGTCTTGAGCTCCTGGGCTCAAGTGATCTGCCCACCTCAGCCTTCCAAAATGCTGAAATTAGAGGCATGATCTAGCACACTCAGCTATATAGTAGTTCTATTTGTAGTATTTTTTTTAATTTGAAATATTTATTTATTTATTTTAAGTTTTGTTTTAGGTTCAGGGGTACGTGTACACATTTGTTATATTGGTAAACTCATGTCACAGGGGTTTGTTGTACAGATGATCTTGTCACCCAGGTATTAAGCCTAGTATCCATTAGTTATTTTTCCTGATCCTCTGCCTCTTCCTACCTTCCATTCTCTGGTAGGCCCCAGTGTCTGTTGTTGCCCTCTGTGTGTCCATGTATTCTCATCTTTTAGTTCCCGGTTGTAAGTGAGAATATGTGGTATTTGGTTTTCTGTTCCCATGTTAGTTTGCTAAGGATAATAGCCTCCAGCTCCATCTATGTTCCTGCAAAGGACAGGATCTTGTTCTTTTTTATGGCTGTATAGTATTCCATGGTGTATATGTTCCACATTTTCTGTAGTCTACAATTGATGGGCATTTAGATTGATTCCATGTCTTTGCTATTGTGAATAGTGCTGCAGTGAACATACACATGCATATGTCTTTATGATAGAATGATTTATATTCCTTCGGGTATATATGCAATATTGGGATTGATGGGTCGAATGGCAGTTCTGTTTTTAGGTCTTTAGGAATTGCCATACTGTTTTTCACAATGGTTGAACTAATTTACACTCCTGCCTACAGTGTTTAAGCATTCTTTTATCTCAGCAGTCTCACCAGTACCTGTTATTTTTTTTTTTTTTTTTTTGAGACGGAGTCTCGCTCTGTCGCCCAGGCTGGAGTGCAGTGGCGCGATCTCGGCTCACTGCAAGCTCCGCCTCCCGGGTTCACGCCATTCTCCTGCCTCAGCCTCCCGAGTAGCTGGGACTACAGGCGCCCGCTACCACGCCCGGCTAATTTTTTGTATTTTTAGTAGAGACGGGGTTTCACCTTGTTAGCCAGGATGGTCTCGATCTCCTGACCTCGTGATCCGCCCGCCTCGGCCTCCCAAAGTGCTGGGACCTGTTATTTTTTGAGTGTGTGTGTGTGTGTGTGTGTGTGTGTGTAGCTTTTAAAAAAAATTCTTTTCAAAATTAAGTTTTTTTATTTCAATAGGGTTTTTGGGAACAAGTGGTGTTTGGTTACATGAGTGAGTTCTTTAGTGGTGATTTCTGAGATTTTGGTGCACCCATCACCCGAGCAGTGTACACTGTACCCAATGTGTAGCCTTTTATCCCTCACCCACCTCCCACCCTTCCCCCCACCGAGTCCCCAAAGTCCGTTGTATCATGCTTATGCCTTTGCATCCTCATAGCTTAGCTCCCACTTATAAGTGAGAACATATGATGTTTGGTTTTTCATTCCTGAGTTACTTCACTTAGAATAATGGTCTCCAATTCCATCCAGGTTGCTGTGAATGCCATGATTTTTTTTTTTTTTTTGGCTCATGGCTGAGTAGTCCATGGTGTGTGTATATTTGTGTGTGTGTGTGTGTGTGTGTCTGTACCACCACACGTTTTCTTTATGCACTCATTGACTGATGGGCATTTGGGCTAGTTCCATATTTTTGCAGTTGCGAATTGTGCTGCTATAAACATGCGTGTGCATGCGTCTTTTTTGTATGATGACTTCTTTTCCTCTGGGTAGATATCCAGTAGTGGGATTGCTGGATTGAATGGTAGATCTACTTTTTGTTCTTTAAGGAATCTCCACACTGTTTTTCATAGTGGTTGTACCAGTTTATGTTCTCATCAGCAGTATAAAAGTGTTCTCTTTTCACCACATCCGTGCCAATATCTTTTTTTTTTATTTTTAAATTATGATCATTCTTGCAAGAGTAAGGTGGCATCTCATTGTGGTTTTAATTTGCATTTCTTAGATGATTAATGATGTTTAGCATTTTTTCATGTGTTCATTGGCCATTTGTCTATCTCCTTGAGAAGATTCTCAATGGACAATTCTTGAGAATTGTGTATTCATGTCCTTAGCCCATTTTTTGATGTGATTATTTGTTTTTCTCTTCTTGATTTGTTTCACTTCCTTGTAGATTCTGGATATTAGTCCTTCGTTAGATGCATAGTTTGTGAAGATTTTCTCCCACTTTGTGGATTATCTGTTTACTCTGCTGATTATTTCTTCTGCTGTGCAGAAGCTTTTTAGTTTAAGTAAGTCCCATCCATTTATCTTTGTTTTTGTTTCATTTGCTTTTGTGTTTTTGGTTATGAAGTCTTTCCCTAAGCCAGTGTCTAGAAGGGGTTTTCCGATGTTACCTTGTAGAATTTTTATGGTTTCAGGTCTTAGATTTAAGTCTTTGATCCATCTTGAGTTGATTTTTTTTTTTTTTTTGAGATGGAGTCTCGCTCTGTTTTCCAGGCTGGGGTGCAGTGGCATGATCTGGGCTCACCGCAACCTCCGCCTCCCAAGTTTAAGTGATTTTCCTGTCTCGACCTCCCGAGTAGCTGAGATTACAGGTGCCTGCCACCACGCCTGGCTAATTTTTGTATTTTTAGTAGAGGTGGGGTTTCACCACGTTGGCCAGGTTGATCTCGAACTCCTGACCTCAAGTGATCCTCCCGCCTCAGCCTCCCAAAGTGCTGGGATTACAGGCATGAGCCACTGCACCCATCCTTGAGTTGATTTTTGTATAAGGTGAGAGATGGGGATTCAGTTTCATTCTTCTACATGTGACTTGCCAATTATCCCAGCACCATTTGTTGAATAGGGTGTGTCCTTTCCCCACTTTATGTTTTTGTTTGCTTTGTCAAACATCATTTGGCTATAAGTATTTGGGTTTATTTCTGGATTCTCTATTCTGTTCCATTTGTCTATGTGCCTATTTTTATACTAGTACCATGCTGTTTTGGTGACTATAGCCTTATAGTATGGTTTGAGGTAGGGTAATGTGATGCTTGCAGATTTGTTCTTTTTGCTTAGTCTTGCTTCGGCTATGTGGGCTCTTTTTTGGTTCCATATGAATTGTAGATTTGTTTTTTCTAGTTCTGTGAAGAATGATGGTGATATTTTGATGGGAATTGCATTAAATTTGTAGACTGCTTTTGGCAGTGTGTTCATTTTCACAATATTGATTCTACCCATTCATATGCATGGGATGTGTTTCCATTTGTTTGTGTCATCTATGTTTTCTTTCAGCAGTGTTTTATAGTTTTCCTTGTAGAGGTCTTTCACTTCCTTGATTAGGTATATTCGTAAGTATTTTATTTTATTTTATTTGCAGCTAGTGTAAAAGGGGTTGAGTTCTTGATTTGATTCTTAGCCTGGTGGCTGTTGGTGTGTAGCAGTGCTACAAATTTGTGCACATCAATTTTGCATCCTGTGGCCAGGCACGGTGGCTCACGCCTATAATCCCAGCACTTTGGGAAGCCAAGGCGGGCAGATCACCTGAGGTCAGGAGTTTGAGACTAGCCTGGCTAACATGGTGAAACGCTGTCTCTACTAAAAATACAAAAATTAGCTGGGGGTGGTGGTGCACGCCTGTAATCCCAGCTACTTGGGAGGCTGAGCCAGGAGAATTGCTTGAACCTGGGAGGCAGAGGTTGCAGTGAGCTGAGATTGTGCCATTGCACTCCAGCCTGAGCGACAAGAGCAAAACTCCATCTCAAAAAAAAGGTTGTATTCTGAAACTTTTCTGAGTTTATTTTTCAGTTCTAGGAGCTTTTTGGATGGGTCTTTAGGGTTTTTTAGGTATATGATCATGTCATTGGTGAGCAGTGATCATTTGACTGCCTCTACCAATTCGGATGTCCTTTATTTCTTTCTCTTGTCTGATTGCTGTGGCTAGGACTTCCAGTACTATGTTGAAGAGAAGTGGTAAAAGTGGGCATCCATGTCTTGTTCCAGTTCTCAGGTGGAATGCTTTTGTCTTTTCCTCATTCAATATAATGTTGGCTGTGGGTTTGTCATAGATGGCTTTTATTAAGGTATGTCCCTTCTATGCCAATTTTGCTGAGGGTTTTAATCATAAAGGATGCTGGATTTTGTCAAATCCTTTTTATGCATCTATTGAGATGATCATGTGATTTTTGTTTTAAATTCTGTTTATGTAGTATATCACGTTTATTGACTTGCCTATGTTAAACCATCTCTGTGTTCCTGGTATGAAACCCACTTCATCATGGTGGATTATCTTTTAATATACTGTTGGATTCAGTTACGTAGTGTTTTGTTGAGGATTTTTACATCTATGTTCATCAAGGATATTGATGTGTAGTTTTCTTTTTTTGTTATGTCCTATCCTGGTTTTGATATTAAGGTGATACTGGCTTTATAGAATGATTTAGGGAGTCCCTCTTTCTCTATCTTTTGGAATAGTTTCAATAGGATTTTTACCAGTTCTTTGAATGGCTGATAGAATTCAGCTGTGAATCCTTCTGGTCCTGGACTTTTTTTGTTGGCATTTTTTTTTTTTAATTACCATTTTTGTCTCACTGCTTGTTATTTGTCTGTTCAGAGTTTCTGTATCTTCCTGGTTTAATCTAAGAGTGTCGTGTATTTCCAGAAATTTGTCCATCTCTAGGTTTTCTAGTTTGTGCCCATAAAGATGTTCATAGTAGCCTTGAATGATCTTTTGTATTTCTTTGGTATTGCTTGTAATATCTCTTGTTTTGTTTCTAATTGAGCTTATTTGGATTTTCTCTCTTCTTGGTTAATCTTTCTAATGGTCTATCAGTGTTATTCATCTTTTCTTTTTTTCTTTAATCAGCTGATATGAAATTATAAAATTCTAGAAGTCTGAGTATTTGAAACTTACAAAAGTCACCAGAAAATGCAAGCATATTGGGCTTTAGTTTGGTGTTTCCCTTGGTTTAGATGACAGTCCCTCTGTGAGCTCAAGGTCGTCTTCTTGTTTATTTCCTTAGATCTGTTGTTTCAGTGACAACCACAGAACTCTTAGTGGAGGCCAAGGAGAGTCTGAGAACTAAAGAAACGCCCACCATTTCTTTCTTTGCACACTAACACATGGGAACTTATCTCCTGGAGAACACGCTTAAGGAGATGGATGTTAATGATGCTGTGCTGAACTGTTCTTCTCTGCCAACTGCCACAGAAAGTTGTCCGCACTCTGGCCTTTATGATTTAAAGTTGTCCTTACTCTGGCCTTTATGATTTATGAAATCTTTTGCCACAGATTTCACAGATAAAGGGTTTCTCTCCAGTGTTTGTTTTCATGTGTTCATGAAAATACTGCTTCGTGTTGAAATCCTTGCCACACCACTGGCACATGAACTGTTTGTGCCCAACGTGGATGCTCATGTGGGTGTGTAGCTGGTAATTGTACTGAAACCTTTCGTCACAGTTCTCGCATCTGAAGGACTTCTCTCCAGAATGCTGCAGGGAGTGCCCCATGAGTGACATACTGCATTTGAATGATTTTCCACAGGTTTCACATGTAAATGGCATGTCTTTCATGTGTGCAACCATGTGTTTTCGCACATGAGCCATGGCATAGAATTTTTTCTCACAAATTTCACAGGAAAATTTCTTTTCTTCATATCCATGGACGATCTTGATATGTTCATGAAGGATCCAGTTTCTTGAACGATTTATTACAGGCAACAAACTAAATGTTTTTTTCACAGTCTGTTTGCCGGTGAAGATATAGCTCACTTTCCAGGACAAACTTATTGCCACATTTATCACAAATCTGCATGTGCCTATGAGTAATATTCATTTGCTTCTCCAGACACCAGTGAGCATTAAATACCCTGGGGCACACGCCTGTAATCCCAGCACTTTGGGAGGCTGAGGCGGGCTGATCACCTGAGGTCAGGAGTTCGAGACCAGCCTGATCAACATGTAGAAACCCCGTCTCTATTAAAAATACAAAATTAGCTGGGCGTGGTGATGCATGCCTGTAATCCCAGCTACTCGGGAGGCTGAGGCAGGAGAATCGCTTGAACCCGGGAGATGGAGGTTGTGGTGAGCCGAGATCGCGCCATTGCACTCCAGCCTGGGCAACAAGAGTAAAACTGTCTCAAAAACAAAAAACAACCCTGGGTCACTTCTCACAGGTCACACTTAGCTTTCTGCACTGGTGCTTCAGGCTCCTTTGTTTCCCGCTTCTTACGCTTAGGTGGCTCTGCACTCTTCCTGCAACCTCTTGTAGTTCTGGGAGTAGGGGAAGTGGTAGCTGCAGCAACAGAGGCAGCTCTCCTCATTCTTCTTTCTGTAACGCTGACTTTCTCTGTTATCTTCTCCTTTTTCTTCTGCTTATCATTCTCTCCATAGTCATTGCTGTTATCTGTGGCCCCTTCCTCTCTCTCTTCCTCCTCATTGTTTAAGAACAGGAGTCTCTTTGGATTGAGAAGAGGTACCCTTTTCCCCTTTAGGTACATTTAATGTTTGATTATTAAGGTTTACCTCCACTATGATCTGCTCCCTTTTGTAAAAGACTTCTTCCTCTTCTTCCTCCTCCTCTTCTGTGTCATCAGAATTCTCCTGGTCTTCCTTAATAGCATGCACATCAGACTCTGCTCCTGTCTCCCTGAAATGTGGCTGTTCTTCTGTTTCATGGAGATGTAGTTTGCTCATCTTGGTGTCCACAAACACAGAATAAGGACTTCCTGGTTCCCTTTGTTACACTTTGGTGGACAGGTCAAGTTCCTTGTGGCACCATGATGAAAGCTGGATGGCACTTGCCCATGACGGCTATCATCTTGTGCCATTCCTGCTACAGGCACAGCACAGTTTTCAACCAGCTCCTGACGAGAAGTGGCTGTGTGCCTCATTGGTAAATGACTCAATTTATTAAGCAGTTCAGACTGTAAAGAAAATAGCTTTAAAACAAGGTAATTATTAAGACTAAAATATTTTTCCATCCCTAAGAATCACTCAAATGAAAAAAAGATATTCCTGGAAACTGAATTCTTCCAGTGTTGCAGCACCAAAGCATAAGTCAAAAAGGTTTGGTATTATGGCAAGAGCAGACCACTAGTGATTTTTCTTCTGAAGAGAACTACAAGGGACTTGGTGCATCTTATCTGGGCCAGCCACCTCCACCGCCTAGATCAATGCCTTGGCAGTCCTTCCCTGCAGTGGGGGGACTGTAGCCAGAGTCACAACCTCCAGCCAGGCTGGCCCCTCACTCCTGCCCAATGTCTGTCCTCAGGACTGCTCCTCAGACCTGGCCTCGGCTGCTGGCCACAGTGCTATGTGGCCACCACTCCCATGTCTCTGGACTTCCTTCTGAGTGCCTGAGGGCAAGGAGGGTGGCAGGGTGGGCAGAGCGCAGGGAGGGAGGCAGGGGAGGGGGGTGGGTGTGTGGATGTACGTGCAGGGAGGGAGGCGAGTGGCTGCGAGGGCGCGTGCCCGCCCCGTCCCCTTCCTTTGTTGGCCACCCCCCTTTATTATCTTTTCAAAGAACGAGGTTTTTGTTTCATTTATCTTTTGTATTGTTTCTTTTTTGTTTGTTTGTTTCCATTTCATTTAGTTCTGCTCTGATCTTTGTTATTTCTTTTCTTCTGCTGGGTTTGGGTTTAGTTTGTTTTTGTTTCTCTAGTTCCTTGAGGTGTGACCTTAGACTGTCTTCTTTTTTCTCTTTTAGACTTTTTGATATAGGTGTTTAATGCTAAGAACTTTTCTCTTAGCACCTCTTGCTGCATCCCAGAGGTTTTGATAGATTGTGTCACTATTATGCAGTTCAAATAACTTTTAATTTCCATCTTGATTTCATTGTTGACCCAATGATCATTCAGCAGCAGGTTAGTTTCCATGTATTTTCATGGTTTTGAGGGTTCCTTTTGGAGTTAATTTCCAATTTTATTCCACTGTGATCTGAGAGAGTACTTGATGTAATTTTGGTTTTCTTAAATTTATAGAGAGTTGTTTTGTGGCCTGTAATATGATCTATCTTGGAGAATGTTCCATGTACTGATGATTAGAATGTATATTCTGCAGTTGTTGGGTAGAATGTTCTGTAAATATCTGTTAAGTCCATTTGTTCTAGGGTATAGTTTAAGTCCATTGTTTACTTGTGGTCTTTCTGTCTTGATAACCTGTCCAGTGCTGTCAGTGGATTATTGAAGTCCGCCACCATTATTGTGTTGCCATCCATCACATTTCTTAGGTCTAGTAGTAACTGTTTTATAAATTTGGGAGCTCCAGTGTTAGGTGCATATATATCTAGGATTCTGATATTTTCCTGTTGGACTAGTTTTTAAATCTTTTTTGTTTGTTTGTTTGTTTTTAAGACAGTCTCTCTGTCTGTCATCCAGGTTGGAATGCAGTGGTGTGATCTTGGTGTCATCAGTGGTGTGACCTGTGCCTTCTGGGTTCAAGCGATTCTTGTGTCTCAGCCTCCTGAGTAGCTGGGACTGATAGTCATGCACTAGCATGCCTGGCTAATTTTTGTATTTTTAGTAGAGATGGGGTTTCGCCATATTGGCCAGACCGGTCTGGAACTCTTGGCCACAAGTATCTGCCCACCTCGGCTTCCCAAACTGTTGAGATTACAGGCATGAGCCACCATGCGTGGCCTAGTCCTTTCATCATTGTATAATATCCCTCTTTGTGTTTTTTTAACTGCTTTTGCTTTAAAGTTTGTTTCATCTGATGTAAGAATAGCTCCTCCTGCTTGCTTTGGGTGTTCATTTGCATGGAATATCTTTTTCCACCTTTTTACCTTAAGTTTATATGAGTCCTTATATGTTAGGTGAGTCTCTTGAAGACAACAGATGCATGGTTTGTGAATTCTTATCTGTTCTGCCATTCTGTATCTTTTAAGTGGAGCATTTAGGCCATACATTCAGTGTTAGTATTGAGACGTGAGGTACTATTCTGTTCATCATTGTGGTTGTTGCCTGAATACCTTGTTTGTTTTTTTCTCATTTGCTATTGTTTTACAGGTCCTGTGAGATTTATCCTTTAAGGAGGTTCTATTTTGGTGTATTTTGAGGTTTTTGTTTCAATATTTAGAGCTTTTTTTTTTTTTTTAGCAGTTATTTTAGTGCTGGCTTGGTAGTGGCAGATTCTTTCAGCATTTGTTTGTCTGAAAAAGACTATCTTTCCTTCATTTACGAAGCTTAGTTTTGCTAGATACAAAATTCATGACTGATAATTGTTTTGTTTAAGGAGACTAAAGATAGGACCTCAATCCCTTCAAGTTTATAGGGTTTCTGCTGAGAAATCTGCTTTTAATCTGATAAATTTTCCTTTATAGGTTACTTGATGCTTTTGCCTCACAGCTCTTAAGATTCTTTCCTTCGTCTTGACTTTAGATAACCTGATGACTGTGTGCCTGGGCGATGATCTTCCATTCTGACTGGTGTGAGATGGTATCTCATTGTGATTTTGATTTGCATTTTTCTAGTGATCAATGATACTTTTTTTCATATGCTTCTTGGCCACATGAATGTCTTTTTTTGAGAAGCATCTGTTCATGTCCTTTGCCCACTTTTTAATGTTTTTTTTTGTTGTTGTTATAAATTTGTTTAAGTTCCTTGTAGACGATATTAGACCTTTGTCAGATGGATAGATTGCAAAATTTTTCTCCCATTCTGTAGGTTGTTTACTCTGTTGATAGTTTCTTTTGTTATGCAGAAGCTCCTAAGTTTAATAAGATCCCATTTGTCAATGTTTGCCTTTGTTGTGATTGCTTTTGGTGCCTTTGTCATGAAATCTTTGCCTGTTCCTATGTTCCGAATGGTATTGGCCTAGGTGATCTATTACAGTTTTGGGGTTTACATTTAAGTGTTAAATCTATCTTTTTTTTTTTTTTTTTTTTTTTGAGACGGAGTCTTGCTCTGTCGCCCAGGATTGAGTGCAGTGGTGCCATCTCGGCTCACTGCAACCTCTGCCTCCCGGGTTCAAGTGATTCTCCTGCCTCAGCCTCCCAAGTAGCAGGGACTACAGGTGCACGCTACCATGTCTGGCTAATTTTTGTATTTTTAGTTTCACCATGTTGAAATGGGGTTTTACCATGTTGGCCAGGTTGGTCTGGAACTCCTGACCTCAGGTGATCCACCCGCCTCGGCCTCCCAAAGTGCTGGAATTATAGGTGTGAGCCACTGCACTTGGCCAAATGTTTAATCTGTCTTGAGTTGATTTTTGTGCATGGTGTAAGGAAGGGGTCCAGTTTCAATCTTCTGCATATGGTTAGCCAGTTATCCCAGCACCATTTATTGAATAGGGAGTCTTCTTCAATGCTTGTTTTTGTCAGGTTTGTTGAAGATCAGATGGTAGTAAGTGTGTGGCCTTGTTTCTGGGTGCTCTGTTGTTTTCCATTGGTCTCTGTGTTTGTTTTTTGTACTAGTACCATGTTGTTTTAGTTTCTGTGGCCCTGTGGTATAGTTTGAAGTTGGGTAGCATGATGCCTCCAGCTTTGTTCTTTTTGCTTAGGATTGCCTTGGCTATTCGGGATATTTTTTTATTCCTTGGCCATTCGGGATTTTTTTTTGTTCCATGTGAATTTTAAAATAGATTTTTCTAGTTCTGTGAAGAATGTCATTGTAGTTTGATAGGAATAGCATTGAATCTGTAAATTGCTTTGGGCAGTATGACCATTTTAATGATATGGATTCTTCTCTGTTAGCATGAAATATTTTTCCATTTGTTTGTGTCATCTCTGATTTTTTTTTTTTTTGAGCAATGTTTTGTAGTTCTTTTTGTAGACGTCTTTCACTTCTCTGGTTAGCTATATTTCTAGGTATTTCATTCTTTTTATGGCAGTGAATGAGATTCTGTTCCGATTTGGCTCTCAAGTTGGCTGTTGTTGGTGTATAGGAACTCTAGTGATTTTTGCACGTAGATTTTGTATTCTGAGACTTTGCTGAAGTTGTTTTTCAGCTTAAGGAGCTTTGGGGCTGACACTGTGGGGTTTTGTAGGTATAGGACATGTCATCTACAAATGGGTAGTTTGACTTCCTCTCTTCCTATTTGGATGCTGTTTATTTCTTTTTCTTGCCTAATTGTTCTGGAAAGGACTTCCAATACTATGTTGACTAGGAGTGGTGAGAGAGAGCACCTCTGTCTTGTGCCGGTTTTCAAGGGGAATGCTTCCAGCTTTATAGATTGGTTATGACGTTGGCTGTGGGTTTGTCATAGATATCTGTTACTATTTCACCAAGCTTATTGAGAGTTTTTAACATAAATGGTGTTGAATTTTACCAAAAGCCTTTTCTGCATCTGTTGAGATGATCATGTGGTTTTTGTTTCTAGCTCTGTTTATGTGATGAATCACGTTTATTGATTTGCATACGTTAGAGCAATCTTGCATTCCAGGGATAAATTGGTCATAGTGGATAAGCTTTTTGATGTGCTGCTGGATTTGGTTTGCGAATATTTCATTGAGGATTTTTGCACTGATGTTCATTGAGGATATTGGCCTGTTCTCTGCCAGGTTTTGATATCAGGATGATGCTGGCCTCATAGAATGAGTCAAGGAGAAGTCCCTCCTCCTTAGTTTTTTAGAATTGTTTCAGTAAGAATGGTACCAGCTCTTCTTTGTACATCTGTTAGAATTTGGCTGTGAATTTGTCTGGTCCTTGGCCTCTTTTGGTTGGTTGGAAGTTTATTAAAATTTAGTTTCAGAGCTCATTATTGGTCTGTTCACATATTCAGTTTCTTCCTGGTTCAGTCTTGGGAGGGGGTATGTGTCCAGGAATGTAAACGTTTCTTCCAGATTTTTTGGTTTATATGTATAGAGGTGTTCATAATAGTCTCTGATGGTTATTTGAATTTTTTTGGGGTCAGTGGTAATATCCCCTTTGCTGTTTCTAATTGTGTTTATTTGGATATTCACTTTTTTCTTCTTTATTAGTCTAGCTAGCCATCTATCTGTTT
The DNA here is from genome assembly GCF_000001405.40 of Homo sapiens. NCBI lineage: Eukaryota > Metazoa > Chordata > Mammalia > Primates > Hominidae > Homo > Homo sapiens. The sequence goes on from NC_000003.12 coordinate 50,793,336, forward strand.
TATTAATTTTCTTTTTCTTTTTCTTTTTTTTTTTTTTTTTGAGGCAGAGTTTTGCTCTTGTTGCCCAGGCTGGAGTGTAGTGGCATGATTTCAGCTCACTGCAACCTCTACGTCCTGGCTTCAAGTGATTCTCCTGCCTCAGCCTCCCGTAGGTGGGATTACAGGCATGTGCCACCACACCCAGCTAATTTTTGTATTTTTTAGTAGAGACGGGATTTCGCCTTGTTGGTCAGGCTGGTCTCGAACTCCTGATCTCACGTGATCCACCTGCCTCAGCCTCCCAAAGTGCTGGGATTACAGGCGTGAGCCACCTTGCCTGGCCTATTTTATTAATTTTCTTTTCAAAAATTCAACCCCTGCCTTCAATGATCTTTTGAATGGTTTTTCATGTTTTCCTCTCCTTCTGTGCAACCTCTGATTTAGGTTATTTCTTGTCTTCTACTAGCTTTGGGCTTGATTTACTCTTAGCTCCCTAATTCTTTTAGTTGTGATGTTAGATTGAGACAGATCTTTCTTTTTGGTGTAGGCATTTAGTGCTATATATTTTCCTTTTAACACTGCCTTAGCTGTGTCCCAGAGATTTTGGGTATATTATATTTTTGTTCTCATTAGTTTCAAAGAACTTGTTGATTTTTGCCTTGATTTCATTATTTACCCAGAAGTCATTTGGGAGCAGTTTATTTAACTTATGTGTAATCGTAAGGTTTTGAGTGAATTTCCTGGTGTTGATTTTTAATTTGATTGTGCTGTGGTCTGACAGAGTGGTTGTTATGATTTCACTTCTTTTGCATTTGCTGAGGAGTGTTTTGTGTCCGAGTATGTGGTCAATTTTAGAATGTGTGTGATGTGGCAATGAGAAGAATGTATGTTTTGTTGCTTTTGGGTGGAGAGTTCTGTAAATTTCTATCAGATCCATTTGATCCAGTGCTGAGTTCAAGTACTGAATACCTTTGTTAATTTCTGCCTTGATGATCTATTGAATACTGTCAGTGGCATGTTGAAGTTTCCCACTATTGTTGTGTGGGAGTCTGTGTCTCTTTGTAGGTCTCTAAGAACTTGCTTTATGAATCTGGGTGCTCCTGTGTTAGGTGCATATATATTTAGGATAGTTAAGTCTTCTCGTTGAATTGAATCCTTTACCATTATGTAATGCCCTAATTTGTCTTTTTTGATCTTCGTTGGTTTAAAGTCTGTTTTGTCTGAAATTAGGATTGCAACCCCTGCTTTTTTCTATTTTGTCTTGCTTGGTAGATTTTTCTCCATCCCTTTATTTCAAGTCTGTGGGTGTTTGCATGTGACATGGATCTCTCGAAGACAGCATATTAATGGGTCTTGGTTCTTTGTCTAGCTTGCTACTCTGCACCTTTTAATTGGGGCATTTATCCTGTTTACATTCAGGGTTATTATTGATATGTGTAGATTTGATCTTGTCATCATGGTGTTAGCTAGTTAATATGGAGACATGTTTGTGTGGTTGCTTTATAGTGTTACTGGTCTGTGTGCTTAAGTTTGTGTTTGTGGTGGCTGGTAGTGGTCTTTCCTTTCCATATTTAGTGCTTCCTTCAGGAGCTCTTTTAAGGCGGGTCTGAGGGTAACGAATTTCCTCAGTGTTTGATTGTCTGAAAAGGATCTTATTTCTTGTTGGCTTGTGAAGCTCAGTTTGGCCAGCTATGAATTCTGGGTTTGAATCTCTCTTTTTTTTTTAAAGAATATGGAATATTGGCCCCCAATCTCTTCTGGCTTGGGTTTCTCCTGAGAGGTCCACTGTTAGTCTGATGGGTTTGCCTTTGTAGGTTACCTGATCTTTCATTCTAGCTACCTTTAACATTTTTTCTTTCATTTTGACTTTGGAGAATCTGATGATTATATATCTTGGAGATGATCTTCTTGTGAAGTATGTTACTGGGGTTCTCTGCATTTCCTGCATTTAAATGTTGGCCTGTCGAGGTTGGAGGAAGCTCTCATTGTTCATATCCTGATATATGTTTTTCAAGTTTCTTACACACTCCCTGTCTCTTTCAGGGACACCAATGAGTTATGGATTTTGTCTCTTTTTTATTTTTTTGAGATGGAGTCTTGCTCTGTTGCCAGGCTGGAGTGCCGTGGCATGATCTCAGCTCACTGCAACCTCTGCCTCCCGGGTTCAAGTGATTCTCCTGTCTCAGCCTCCTGAGTAGCTGGGACTACAGGTGCGTGCCACCACACCCAGCTAATTTTTGTATTTTTGGTAGAGATGGGGTTTCACCATGTTGGCAAGGATGGCCTTGATCTCTTGACTTCGTGATCTGCCTGCCTTGGCCTCTGGATTTGGTCTGTTTACATAAGCCCATATTTCTTGGAGATTTTGTTCCTTTTCATTCTTTTTCTCTGTTATTTTCTGACTGTTTTATTTCAGAAGCCCAGTCCTCAAGCTCTGAGATTCTTTCCTCACCTTGGTCTGTTCTGCTGTTGATACTTGTGATTGCATTATCAAATTCTTGTAGTGTGTTTTGCAGCTCTTTCAGGTCAGTTACATTCTTTTCTATACTGGCTATTTTGACTTTCAGCTCTTGTATCATTTTATTGTGATACTTAGCTTCCTTGGGTTGGGTTTTGACATACTCTGTTATCGCAATGGTCTTCCTCCCTAACCATGTTCTGAATTATATTTCTGTCATTTTAGCCATCTGAGCGCCATTGGGAACCCTTTCTGGAGAGGTGGTGTGGTTATTTTTTTTTTTTTTCAGACGGAGTCTGGCTCTGTCCCCCAGGCTGGAGTGCAGTGGTGTGATTTTGGCTAACTGCAAGCTCCGCCTCCTGGGTTCACGCCATTCTCCTGCCTCAGCCTCCCGAGTAGCTGGGACTATAGGCGCCCACCACCATGCCCAGCTAATTTTTTTTTGTATTTTTAGTAGAGACGGGGTTTCACCATGGTCTGGATCTCCTGACCTCGTGATCCGCCCCCCTCGGCCTCCCAAAGTGCTGGGATTACAGGCGTGAGCCACCATGCCCAGCCATTTTTTTTTTGTTTTGTTTTTTTTGAGATGGAGTTTTGCTCTTCTTGCCCAGGCTGGGGTGCAATGGTGCAATCTTGGCTCACTGCAACCTCTGCCTCCCGGGTTCAAGCTATTCTCCTGCCTCAGCCTCCCTAGTAGCTGGGATTATAGGCATGCGTCACCACGCTCGGCTAATTTTGTATTTTTAGTAGAGACGGTGTTTCTCCATGTTGGTCAGGCTGGTCTCGAACTCCCAACTTCAGGTGATTTGCCCACCTTGGCCTCCCAAAGTGTTGGGATTACAGGCGTGAGCCACCGCGTCCAGCCAGTGTGGTTGTTTATATGAAAGAAGGCACTCTGACTTTTTGAGTTGTCAGAGTTATTGCACTGATTCTTTTTATCTTTGTGGGCTGATGTTTTTTCAGTCTTTGAAGTTGCTGACCTTTAGATTTTTTTTTTTTACTTTTATCCTAGTTGATGACCTTGAGGGTTTTGATTGCGGTATAAGGTGAATTCAGCCGACTGGCTTAGTTTGCAGAAGATTTTAGGGGGCTAATGCTCACTCACAACTTCTGGGCTGCATGCTCTAACTCTGGGTGACTTTTGTTGTATCCTGACTTTGCTCTCTGACTCCTTGAGGTTAGGAATCCACTGTGCTGGTGGGGGTGGGGGCTGAGGTGCTCCTGGAACACAGGTCACTTACACTCCAATTGGAGTGCATTTTGTAGTGTGGTGGCAGCAGGATCCATGTTTGTTTGCATGTGCTGCCAGCAGCAGCATTGACAACATGGCAGAGTGCACACTGCTGCATCAGGGTGCTAGTGAATGCCGAGGTTCTTGCCTTTGTGCAGGCATTCACCACAGTGGAAGAGGCGGTATGGCTGGGGGGAGGTTGGGGGCTTCTGCTGGTGACTGTGCAAATGGTTGTGCTGGTGGTGGTGTGAGGATGGAGGTGGGGCGCTGTCAGGCGCAGGCCTGTGTGTTATGGGGTAGTCACTCAGAAAGTGGGAGAGTCCGCTCTTCTCTAGGTCTAGTTTCACTCCTGTGGCAGCGTTGGTGCAAGGGCAGGGCATTGGAAGGGATGGGTCTGCCTTGCTTTGTGCCCTGCAAGGCTCTGACTGCACTGGTGGTTCAGCTGTGTCTGGTTGGTCATCTTGTCCTCTCTGTTGTCCCGGACAGCAGATGAGACCTAAGGCGCAGCACCTTTCCAGCTAAATGTCAGCACTGCAGAGGCTTCTCTGCTTCTGTGTTCTGGAAGAGCCACTTGTAGTATTTTTGAGGCACCTCCGTACTGTTCTCCATAGTGGTATACTAGTTTACATCTCCAGCACAGCATATAAGGGTTCTGTTTTCTCTGCATCCTTGCCAGCATTTGTTACTTTTGTCTTTTTGATGATAGCCATTTTAACTGGGGGTGAGATGATACCTCATTGTTGGTTTTGTTTGCAATTCTGTGATGATTAATGATGTTGAGCATTTTTTCATACATTTATTGGCCATTTATATGTCTTTTTTGAGAATGTTCAGATTATTTGCCCATTTTCAATTTTAATTGTTTCAACCTTTAATATGAACATTAATCGTATTTTCAAATCTAATGACGAATTACAGATAGAGAATTTATGAAAATTATGGGGCACAGCAGTCAGAGAATTAGGCAAAGAATACAAAAAACTGTAACACATATGTAACTCTTCTTGTAATGATGAACAGAGAAAGAATAGCTCATTTTGTATTCTGACCACAGTATAAATAAATGCAAAAATATACGGCAGTTAAGCGATAGCTGTTAGGTAGAAAGTATTGATCACAGGTGGAATCTGTTACATGCGAGGGGGGAAATATATCAAGAGATTTAGTTAACAATGCTGGAAAAACCATGCCAGGCAACCAGATCTTGAGGCAAGAGTCATACTTCACAGAGAAAAAGAGCAAAATGTAGAGAAAAACCAGGTCTCGCTATGGAATGGTCTGTAGTCTTTTAACCACAGTGCCATAGAAGGAACTTGACCAAGCACTGCCCATGATCTGCAGAGTTATGTGCATAATACTCAGTTTTCCTGCTAGGGATACCCCAGTTCATGACAATGACAAGAGAATGAGAAAGGCCACCTACAAATGAAATGAGATCATCCCACCTGCAATGGCAGATATGGTCTTATTAGTGCCATCTCTCAGAAAGAACAGTGTCCTGGGGGAAGCAGATCAGATATTAGGTCAAGCCTGTGTTCTTACAGGAGCTCATTTGCCCATTTTGTAATTGGATTTTTTTTTTTTATTTTGCTTTTGAGATGTTTGAGTTTCTTGTATATTTTGGTTATTAAGTCTCCTGTCAGATGAGTGGTTTCAGAATATTTTCTCCCATTCTGTAGGTTGTCTTTTCACTTTATTATTTCCTTTGCTGTGCAGAGCTTTTTCATTTTATATAATCCAGTTTGTTTATTTTTGCTTGTGTTGCTTTGAGGTCTTATTTATAAAATCTTTGTGTAGACCAATGTCCTGAAGCATTTCTCCTGTTTACTTATAGTAGTTTTATAGTTTTGGGTTTTACATTTAGGTTTTTGATTTACTTTCAGTTGATTTTTGTATAGAGTGAGAGGTAGAAGTCTAGTTTCATTGTTCTGCATATGGATATCCAGTTTTTTCAGCATAATTTATTGAAAAAATGGTCCTTTTGCCAATGAATGTTCTTGGTACTTTTATCAAAAACTAATTGGCTATAGATATGTGCATTAATTTCTGGGTTGTCTATACTGTTTTAGTGGTCTGTGTGTCTGTTTTTATGCCAGTATCATGCTGTTTTGGTTACTATTGCTTTGTAGTATGTTTTGAGGTGTAGTAGTATGAGCTTTGCTCTTTTTGCCCAAGATTGCTTTGAGTATTTGGGATCTTTTCTGGTTCCATGCCAATTTTAGGATATTCCCCCTTATTTCTGTTAAGAATGTCATTGGTATTTTGTTAGGGATTGCATCGAATCTGTAGATTGCTTAGGGTAGTATGGCCATTTCAACAATATTAATTTTTCTGATTCATGAACTTGGCCTTTCTTTCCATTTCTTTGGGTCCTCTTCGATTTCTTTTATCAGTGTTTTGTAGTTTTCCTTGTAGAGATCTTTCACCTCCTTGGTTAGATTTATTCTTAGGTATTTTTTTTTGTAGCAATTGTAAATAGGATTGCCTTCTTCATTTTTTTGGCTCCTCCATTGTTCCTGTATAGAAGTGATACTGATTTTTGTTCATTAATTTTATATCATGCAAGTTTACTGAATTAGTTTATCAGTTCTAAGAGTATTTTGGTAGAGTCTTTAGGTTTTTGTATATATAAGATCATGTCATCTGCAAACAGGGACAGTTTGGCTTTCTGCTTTCCAGTTTTGATGCCTCTTATTTATTTTTCTTGCCTGATTGCTCTGGCTAGGACATCTAGTGCTATGTTGAATAAGAGTGGAGATCCTTGTCTTGTTCCAGTTCTTAGAGGAAAAGCTTTCAGTTTTTTCCCCATTCCAGAAGATGCTAGCTGTGGGTTTGTTATATATGGCCTTTGTATATTGAGATGCTTTTTTTCTACACATAATTTATTAAGTGTTTTCATCATGAAGGGATGTTGAATTTCATTAAGAGCTTTCTCTGAGTCTACTGAGGTGTTACGGTTTTTGTCCTTCATTTTATTGATATGATGTATGATGTTTGTTTATTTGCATGTGTTGAATTATTCTTATATTCCTGGGATTTATCCCACTTGGTTATGGTTATCTTTTTGATATGTTGTTGGCTTTGGTTTGCTAGTATTTTGTCGAGGACTTTTGTGTCTGTGTTCATCAGGGATATTGGCATGTAGTTTTCTTTTCTGATTGTGTCTTTATGTGGTTTTGCTATCAAGGTAATGCTGGACTTGTAGAATGAATTAGTGAGAATTCCCTGCTTCAACATTTTGAAGTAGTTTGAGAAGACTTGGTATTAATTCTTCTTTAAAAGAATGATAGAATTCTTTGGTGAAGCCATTATTTTTGGACTTTTCTTTGTTGAAAGACCTTTTATTACTGAGTTGTCTCATTACTTGTTATTATTGTTATTGGTTCAGATTTTCTTTCTTCTTAGTTTACTTTTGGTATGTTGTAGGTGTCCAGGAATTTATCTGTTCTAGGTTTTTAAATTTATTGACATATTTCATAGTAATCACCAATGAGCCTTTGTATTTCCATGGCTCCTGTTGTGCTGTCTCATTTTTCACTTCTGATTTTATTTGGATCTTCTCTTTTTTCTTAGTCTAGCTAATGGTTTACCAATTTTATTTATTTTCAAAAAAAACAACTTTTAGTTTTGTTGATCTTTTGTTTTTAGTCTCAATTTTGTTTATTTCTGTTCTGGTCATTATTATTTCTTTACTTCTGCTAACTTTTTGTTTTGGTTTCTTCTTGCTTTTCTAGTTCCTTGAGGTGCACCATTAGGTTATATGAAATCTTTCTAGTTTTTTTAATTTCAGCATATATTTCCCTGAAGTTTCCTCTTAATACTGCTTTTGCTGTGTTCCCTAGCTTTTGGGATCTTACGATTCTATTTTCATTTCAAGAAATTTTGAAATTCATTCTTAATTTCTTCTTCCATCCATTGGTCATTCAGGAGCATGTTGTTTAGTTTCCATGCATTTATATAGTTTCAGATGTTCCTTTTCTTATTGATATCTAGTTTTATTCCATTTTGGTCTGAGAAGATACTTGGTATGATTTTGATCTTGTTATAAATAAAGTTTCAGTGTCGTAAAAGAAATAGTGCTTGAATATAAAATTTTCTGTTTTTTTTCTTCTCAGCAAGGCAATTTACTTCTATAGAAGGGTGCACCCTCACAGATGGAGCAATGGTGAGCACACACCTGGACAAGGGAGGGGAAGGGGTTCTGATTCCTGACACATGTGGCCCCTGCTGCTTGTTATTCCTCCTATTAGCTAGGGTTAGGCCGCACAGGCTAAACTAATTCTGATTGGCTAATTTAAAGAGAGTGACCTGGTGAGTGGTTTGGCAGGAAAAATGGTTATGGCAGAGCAGGTAATTGGAATGAGTTAGGGTGCAGCAGGTAATTGGAATGAGTCAGGGTGGAGCAGATAATTGGAATGAGTCAGGGTGGAGCAGGTAATTGGAAGGAGTCAGGGTGGAGCAGGTGATTGAAAAAGGTTGCTTTATGAGGAAGTTAAGTTTAAAAGTAGAAGGCAAAGAATTGAACATACTGACATATTGATACTTTGAAGAGAAATTTAGAACTCATATCTAACAATCTTAAAGTTTTTTTTGAGACTTGTTTTGTGTCCTAACATATAGTTAATCCTGGAGAATGTTCAATGGGCTGATGAGGAGAATGTGTATTCTATAGCTGTTGGGTGAAATGTTCTACAAATATCTGTTACATCCATTTGGTCTGTGGTGCAGTTTAAATCTGATGTCCCATTGTTGGTTTTCTGTCAAGATGATCTGTCCATTGCTGAGAGTGGAGTGTTGAAGTCCACAGCTATTATTGTATTTGGATCTATTTCTTCATTTGGGTCTAATAGTATTTGTTTTATATGTCTGGGTGTTCTGATGTTGGGTGCATATATATTTATAATTGTTATATTCTCTTGCTAACTTGATTGCTTTATTACTGTGTTGCCTTGTCTCTTTTTACAGCTTTTAACTACAGGTCTTTTTCGTCCAATATAAGTATAGCTATTCATGCTCACTTTTGGTTTTCTTTTGCATGGAATATCTTTTTTATTCCTTCAGTTACAGTTTTTGTGTGTCTTTATAGGTGAGGTGAGTTGCTTGTAGGCAGTATATCATAGGGTCTTTCTTTTTTATCCATTCAACCTATCTATGTCTTCTAAATGTATATTTAATCCATTTATATTCAAGATTATTATTGATAGGGATTTACTCCTATTATTTTACTGTTTTCTGATTGTTTTGTATATTCTTTGTTTCTTACTTCCTCCCATTATTTTTACAGTTGAGTGGTGTTTTACATTGATAAGGTTTTATTTGTTTTTCTCTCTTGTTTGTGTATGAGTCCTACCAATGAGTTTTATTGTTCCGTATGTTTTATCGATGGTGGTTATCATCTTTTTTACTTCCAGATATAAGACTCTCTTGAGTATTTCTTGCAAGATCAGTTTAGTGGTGATGAGTTTTCTTAGTTTTTCTTGTCTGTGAAAGATTTTATTTATTCTTCATTTTTAATGTGTAGGTTTGCTGGGTATAATATTCCTCATTGCCATTTTTAATTTTTATTTTTTCTTTCAGTACTTTGAATATATCATCCCACTCTCTATTGGCCTGTAAGTTTTCTCCTGAGAAATTTACTGTTAGTCTAGTGGAGTTTCCTTTGTATGTGACTTGACACTTCTCTCTTGCTGCTTTTAAAATTATTTCTTTGTCTTTGACTTTTGAAAATTTGATATATAATATATGTCTCTCAGTGAGGACCTGTTTGGGTTGAATCTGTTGGGGTTCTTTGAGCTTCCTGGTTCTGGATGTCCATATCTCTCCCAATGCTTAGGGGAATTTTCTTCTATTATTTCATTAAACATGTTTTCCCCACCTTTCCCTTCTCTTCTCCTTCTGGAACATCTGTAATACTTTATTCACATGATGGTGTTTCATAAATCCTGCAGGCTTTCTTCATTTTTATAATTTAGTTTTTGTCTGCCTATGTTATTTCAAAAGACCTGTCTTGAAGTACAGAAATTCTTTTTTTTTTAAGATTTTATGTATTTATGTATTTATTTATTTATTTATTTATTTATTTTAGTATTTATTGATCATTCTTGGGTGTTTCTCGGAGACGGGGATTTGGCAGGGTCGTAGGACAATAGTGGAGGGAAGGTCAGCAGATAAACATGTGAACAAGGGTCTCTGGTTTTCCTAGGCAGAGGACCCTGCAGCCTTCTGCAGTGTTTGTGTCCCTGGGTACTTGAGATTAGGGAGTGGTGATGACTCTTAACGAGCATGCTGCCTTCAAGCATCTGTTTAACAAAGCACATCTTGGACCGCCCTTAATCCATTTAAACCTGAGTGGACACAGCACATGTTTCAGAGAGCACGGGGTTGGGGGTAAGGCCATAGATTAACAGCATCCCAAGGCAGAAGAATTTTTCTTAGTACAGAACAAAATGGAGTCTCCCATGTCTACTTCTTTCTACACAGACACAGCAACAATCTGATTTCTCTTTCCTTTCCCCACACTTCCCCCCCTTCCACTCAACAAAACTGCCATCGTCATCATGGCCTGTTCTCAATGAGCTGCTGGGTACACCTCCCAGACGGGGTGGCGGCCGGGCAGAGGGGCCCCCCACCTCCCAGACAGCGTGGCTGGGCAGAGGTGCCCCCCACCTCCCAGATGGGGCGGCTACCAGGCGGGGGCTGCCCCCCACCTCCCTCCCAGATGGGGCGGCTGGCCGGGCGGGGGCTGCCCCCCACCTCCCTCCTGGACAGGGCGGCTGGCTGGGCGGGGGCTGCCCCCCACCTCCCTCCTGGAAGGGGCAGCTGGCCGGGTTGGGGCTGCCCCCCACCTCCATCCTGGACGGGGCGGCTGGCCGGGCGGGGGCTGTCCCCCACCTCCTGGAGGGGGCGGCTGCCGGGTGGAGACGCTCCTCACTTCCCAGATGGGGCGGCTGCCGGGCAGAGGGGCTCCTCACTTCTCAGACAGGGCGGCCGGGCAGAGACACTCCTCACCTCCCAGACGGGGTGGTGGTCGGGCAGAGACACTCCTTAGTTCCCAGACGGGGTCGCGGCCGGGCAGAGGCGCTCCTTACATCTCAGACGGGGCGGCGGGGCAGAGGCGCTCCCCACATCTCAGATGATGGGGGGCGGGGTAGAGGCACTCCCCACATCTCAGATGATGGGCGGCCGGGCAGAGACGCTCCTCACTTCCTAGATAGGATGGCGGCCGGGAAGAGGCGCTCCTCACTTCCCAGACTGGGCGGCCAGGCAGAGGGGCTCCTCACATCCCAGACGATGGGTGGCCAGGCAGAGACGCTCCTCGCTTCCCAGACGGGGTGGCGGCTGGGCAGAGGCTGCAATCTCGGCACTTTGGGAGGCCAAGGCAGGCGGCTGGGAGGTGGAGGTTGTAGCGAGCCGAGATCACGTCACTGCACTCCAGCCTGGGCAACATTGAGCACTGAGTGAGCAAGACTCCGTCTGCAATCCCGGTACCTTGGGAGGCTGAGGCTGGCGGATCACTCACGTTTAGGAGCTGGAGACCAGCCCGGCTAACACGGCGAAACCCCATCTCCACCAAAAATATACGAAAACCAGTCAGGCGTGGCGGCTGGCGCCTGCAATCCCAGGCACTCGGCAGGCTGAAGCAGGAGAATCAGGCAGGGAGGTTGTAGTGAGCCAAGATGGCGGCACTATAGTCCAGCCTCCGCTTGGCATCAGAGGGAGACCGTGGAGAGAGAGGGAGAGAGAGACCGTGGGGAGAGGGAGAGGGGGAGGGGGAGGGGAGAAATTCTTTCTTCTGCTTAGTCTAGTCTGTTCTAGAAGCTCTTGATTTTATTTTTTTAGTCATTGAATTCTTCAGCTGTAGGATTTTTGTTTGGCTTATCTATCTTTTTTGAATTTCTTATTCAAATCATGCGTTGATTTCCCCAATTTTGTTGAATCATCTGTCTTCTCTTGTATGGCACTGAGTTTCCTTAAGATTAACATTTAATTCTTTTTCTGGCATTTCACATATTTTCTTATGATTGAGATCTGTTACTGGATAATCGTTTTTCTTTGTAGGTGACGTGTTTTCTTGCTTTTTCTTGGTTGATATGTCCCTATATTGATTTGTATCCATCTAGTGGAAAAGTCGCCTCTTCCAATTTTATGGTGTAGGTTTCTTAGGGAAATTCTTATTTGCATGAGTCTTGGGGTGTTGGTTTGGTGGAGTGTGTTGACCTAGTTTCCATGTAGTTTTTTCAGCTGTAACCCATAGTAGTGGAATTTGCATGTTTCTGAGTGGCCTAGGCTGAGAGAGTTTGTGGTGATGATGGTACAGGTTTTCCAGGGGTGGGCTTGCTGGGGCTGTTTCTCTGGGTGGGGACATGTGTGTGCACACAGTAGATCAGCCAACTTGGGGTATGGTCAGCTGGGGTTGGGGCCATGAGCCATTCCTCTGGCTTTGAACATAGGTATACAGTTGCTTGGCTGGTCGGTGGACATACCTTCCAGGAATGGCTTGTGGGGCTGTTTCTTAGGCCCAGGATGCAGGCACACCGCTGCTTAGCTGACCTGGGGACATGTCTGCCAGGGTCGGCCTGCAGGGCCATTTCTCAGGCTCTGGATGTGGACACAAGACTTCTTGACTGACCTGTGGGCTTGTCTATCAGGTGCAGCCCACAGGGCCTGTTTCTCCAGCTTAGGATACAAGGCTACTCATCTGATCTGGATTTTGCCCACCATGGACAGCCCATGGAGCTATTTCTTTGGCCTCGTATGTGGGTGAGTGGCTGCTCAGCTTTCCTGGGTGCATGTCTGCTGGAGGTGGTTTACTGGGTTTCTCTGGCTTATGTTGTGGATGTGCACCTGCTTGGCTGGCCTGGGTCTGGGTCTGTCATTGGCAACCTGTAGGGCTGTTTCTGAGGCCTGGTATGTGCAAGGCTGCTTGCCTGGCCTGGGGGAATATGTCAGGAGCTGGGGGGCAGACTTAGAGCTGTTTCTCAAGCCTGTGACATGGCTGCAGCTGCTCAGCTGGCCTGGGGGTGCTTCTGTAGAGGGTGGCCCACAGGGCTGTTTCATAGACCTGAGATGCAGACACAGGATTGCTTAGTTGGCCTGGGAGCATGCCTGCTAGAAGTGGCCCATAGGGCTGTTTCTTGAGGCTGGGATGTGGAAATACAACTGCCCAGCAGGCCTGGGGGTGTGGTGTGTCTGCCAGGGGTGGCTCATGAGGCTGTTTCTCAGGTCTGGGATGCAGGTGTAAGGCTGCTCAGTCAGCTCAGGGGTGTGCTTACTGGGTGTGGCTTGCAGGGCTATTTTCACATCCAAGAGTTGAGCTCTTTGCTGCCTGGCTGACCTGGGGGCACACCTGTGAGGGCGGCCTGTGGGACTTTTCTCAAGTCCTTATTGGGAGCATAGGACCTTTGGGTAGGCCAGGGGCATGTCTGTGTTGGGTGGGAATGCTGTGGCCATGTAGCCAGGCCACTGGCCCCAGGGAATATTGGCTCCTTGTAGGCTCAGGGACCTCTTCTGCTTGGGGGAGGGTGGGTAAGGACATGGCTGGCTCTCAAGGGCATGTTCACCCTGGGTGGGAATGGAAGACTGTTCTTCTGGCTGAAAGTGTAGCAGCGGGGGTTGGTTTCCCTGCTGTGCAGGACTGGAGTCACAGGCAATCTTGAGCCCAAGCTTTGTGCATCTGGGGTTATGGCATTTAGCCATCTGTGGGTGCTTGGCATAATGAAGATGGAGCCCCATTGGTGGAGAAGTGCAGTGGCTACTGTACCCAAGAGGAGGGAGCATTCCAGAGGTGGCTCTAGTCTCAAGATGGTGTCTTGCTGCAATAGCTTGGCTCACAAGGGGTGGGTTAGCACACGTTGTGTTCCCAACCTGGAGCAGTGCAGTTGCATGAATTTCTGGTGGCTTTCCAAACTGGACTCAGGGGGTGTAAGGACTGTAGGCCTTTGCAGTGGTGGTAGGGGATGGTGGGGATCTTCTGCTTACTTTTCCCTTACAATGGGAAGTCCCTCCTGTCTCTGGGCCCCAGTCTGATCTGGTTTGGCGAGACGGTGCTGCAGAGGTCAGATGCCTTTACACTGCATTCTTCGGAATCCAGTCACCACAGATGCATCTCCACTCCTCTGTGGCATTCCACTTTTCTTTCTTCAACACTTCAGTCAAATCTTAGCTATTTATTTTTTACCTTTGTTGGTTCTTGTGGAGGAGACAAGCACCAGGTGTTTCTAGTCAGCCATCTTGCTCTGCCACGCTCTTTTTTTTTTTTTTTTTTTTTTTGGAGACAGGATCTTGTTCTGTCACCCAGGCCAGAGTGCAGTGGTACAATTATAGCTCACTGCAACTTTGAACTCCTGGGCTCAATCTTTTAACAACCAGCTATCCCAGGAACTAACAGAGTGAGAACTCACTCACCTTCCCTCTCCTGAAGGGCGTTAATCTCTTCATAAGAGAACAGCCCTCATGACCCAGACACCTCCCATTGTGGCCCACTTCCAACATCGGGGATCAAATTTCAGCATGATGTGTGGGAGTACAAATATTCAAACTACAGCACCTGCTATCACCACATCTGTTGAACATAGTATTATAAGTACTAGCTAGTATATACAGTAAGGTAGGAAACATACAGAATGGAAAGGAAAAGTTGAAATAATCATATGTATTTGATATGATTTTATGTGTAAAATGTGCAGTAGAATCTGTAGAAAATATTGAGAATAACTAAGGGAATTTGATGGCTACAGTGTCAGTATTGTGTTGATTGATCGATAGATACAAAGTCTTGCTCTGTTGCCCAGGCCGGAGTGCAGTGACACAATCACAGCTCACTGTAGCCTTGGCCTTCTCGTGTTCAAGCAATCCTTTCACCTCAGCCTCCTGAGTAACTGGGACTACAGGTGTGCACCACCATGTCTAGGTAATTTTTAATTACTTTTATAGAGATAGGATTTCGCCATGTTGCCCAGGCTGGTCTCAAGCAGTCCTCCCACCTCAGTCTCCCAGAGTGCTGGGATTACAAGCATGAGCCACTGCACCTAGTCATAATGTCAGTATTTTAAAAACACATTTTTTCTCTATGTTTGCAAAGAAGAATTAGAAAATGAATAAAACAATGCTATTTATAGTAGTATCAAATGTATCAAATGCTAAGGAATGAAATCTAATAAAAATACAAGACATTCATGTTGAAAACTATAAAAATCTTGATAAAAATTAAGATCTAAACAAATGGAAAGATTTACTATGTTTATGAATTGAAAGACTATCATAAAGATGCCAGTTCTCTCCAAGTTAATCTAATGATTTAATGCAATCCTGATAAAAATCCAGCAGGCTTTTTTTGGGTATGGAAATTGAACAGCTGATTATGACATTCATATGAAAATGCAAAAGGTTACAAAGAATATGATAATCTTGAAGATTATCTCAACTAGAGGACTTATGGTACCAGATATCAAGATTTATTATACATTAAGACTGTGATTTGGGGTAAAAGACTACTGAAACAGAATAGAGGGGCCAGAAATAGACCCTGGAGAGCCACACCTATGGGCTAACTCTGGCTCACTCATGTGTTTCCAAAAGTTTCTTTGCCAATCAGCAGGTTGTTACTAGAAACCAGCTCCAACCCAAGTGCTCTGGGAAGTTGTGCCATCACCAGCAGGCTCCATGTTCTTGTGGAAGCCATTCTCTTTCCCACAGATTCTGGATCTTACCCTTGAAGGGAAAGGGGTTCTTTTAAGTTCTTAGTTTCTTGCTTGTCCACTCCGTGGAGATATATCATCCACTGATGTATGAGAGAAGTGACATTGTAGTGCAGTGGAGAAATGATGCTCTTTACAATAAGTGATGCTATGCCAATTGAAATTGAAAATGATGGCCTATCCAGTAAATGATACTGGACCAATACCGAAAGCAATGAATATTGATTCCTGCCTCACAGAATATACTCCAAACTCAATTCCAAGTAGATGGTAGAACTGAATGTGAAATGTAAAAATAATTCACCTTGAAGAAAGCATAGGAAACTATTCTTGACATTGGTGTATACAAAGATCTTTTATAAAGATACAAAAAGCACTAACTATAAAGGAAAAGATTGGTAAGTTATACTTTATTAGAATGAAAATTTTCTTGTTCAAAAGATCGTTAAGTAGAGGGAAAAAGAAGTCACGATGAGTTATTTTACGAAAGGCTTGTATTCAGAGCATGTAAAGAATGATTACAAGTCAAAAATTAAAAGATAATCTAATAGAAGAGCAGGCAAAAGGCTTGAGTAGGCTCCTCAAAAAACACATATCCTAGTGGCTCAAAAACATATGGAAAGGTGCTTAATCTCAGTCATCAGGGAAATGCACGTTTAAACTGTAGTGAGCTACCACCAGATGGCCACTAGAATGTCTAAGAATTAAAACACGATACCAAGTGCTAGTGAGAATGTCGATCGGTTGTTACTCCCAGACATTACTGATGGTGGGGAAAATGTTATTAGCACTTTGGAATACTCTTTGGCACTATATACTATAGCTGAATATACACATACCTTATAATTTAACAATTCTACTCATAAATATGAACCCAACAGCAAAATACCTATAAAAATGTTAGTATCAGCTTTGTTCATAATAGTCTCAAACTGGAAAAAATGAAAATGTTCATCAGCAGTAGAATGGGCAAATATGTGGTATATTCATACAACTGAATGTGATATAGAAAGGAAAATGAGTTAGTTATTGCTACATACAATACGATGACCCATCACAGACATATTATTGAAAAAAGAAGCCAGATATGAGAATTAGTGTTATTATGATTTTGTGTACAAAAAGGACAGAATCAGGCAAAACTGAATCAGGTGATATTTGTCAGAGTAGTGGTTATTGGCTGGGATCTCAGCACTTTGGGAGGTCGAGGCAGGAGAATCACTTGAGGCCAGGAGTTTGAGAACAACCTGGGTAACATAGCGAGATCTTGTCTCTACAAAAAATTTAAAAATTAGCATGGTGGTGTGTGCCTGTAGTCTTAGCTACTCAGGTGGGTAAGGTGAGAGGATTGCTTGAGCCCAGGAGTTCCAGGCTGCAGTGAGCTATGATTGTGCCACTACACTTTAGCGTGGGCGACAGAGGGAGAACCTGTCTCAAAAAAATCTTTTTAAGGGTGTGTGTGTTGATGACTGGAGGAGGTACAAGTGGGTTTTAGGATGCTGCTACTGTTTTTATTTATCTAAGTGGTGGGCAGACAGGTATGTATACTCTTTAAAAATTTATTTAGCTGGCGGGGTGCGGTGGCTTATGCCTGTAATCCTAGCACTTTGGGAGACCGAGGCGGGCGGATCACTTGAGGTCAGGAGTTTGAGACCAGCCTGGCCAACATGGTGAAACCCTGTCTCTACTAAAAACACAAAAATTAGCTGGGCGTTGTGATGGGCACCTGTAATCCCGGCTACTTGGGAGGCTAGGGCAGGAGAATCACTTAAAACCTGGGTTGCAGTGAGCCGGTATTGCACCACTGCACTCCAGCCTGGGCAACAGAGCGACACTCCGTCTGAAAAAAATTTTTTTTTAAATTTAGCCGTACACTAATGATTTGCACACTTACGGATGTTACATATTAATAAAAAGTTTATTTAAAAAAGTAAAACAACTTTGTAAAAAAGTTGATAAAAGTATAAAACTAAACAATATGGAAGAATCTGAAAAATATATTAAATAAAAGAGCCCAAATAGAATTTTACAGTCCATATTGATTCCATTTATATGAAGTTCAAGAATAAGTAACACTACAAATCTGTGGTGATAGAAACCAGAACAGTAGTTGCTTACTGGAAAGGATTGACTGGAAAGAAGTATGAGGAAACTTTCAGGGTGATTAAAAAGTTCTATATCTGGATGAAATATGGGTTTCATGGTTATTACATTTGTCAAAGCTCATTGTACTGTATGTTCATGATCTGTATTTTTTACTATATGTAAATTATGCATCAGTGAACTGGATGAAAGGTTTAAAAATAAAAAATCTAGTCACAGATAAAAACATTTTTGCAGTGATACAACAAAGATAAGCAATCAGAATATAAAAGATCTCTTACAAACCAAGAAGAATAAATAATAGGTGAGGACCAGGTATGGTGGCTCATGCTTGTAATCCTCAGTGGAGGCTGAGGTAGGAGGATCACTTGAGGCCAGGAGTTCAAGACCAGCCTAATCAACAAGTGAGAGACCCTGTCTCTATAAAAAAGAGAAGAGAGAAAAGAAAAAAATTAGGTGGGTGTGGTGGTGCATGCCTGTAGTTCTGGCTACTCAGGAGGCTGAGGCAGGAGGATCACTTGAGCCCAGGAGGTCAGGGCTGCAGTGAGCTATGATTGTACCACTGCACTCCAGCCTGTGTGACAGAATGAGAACCTGTTAGGAAGGAAAGAAGGAAGGGAAGGAGGGAGGGAGAGAATAAAAGAAAAAAGAAAAGAAAGAAAAAGAGTCATTCATGGAATAGCAAGTTAAAATCAGAATGATAAATGATTTTATACATATCAGTTTGAGAAAACTGAAATGTCTCACATATTCAGATATTGGCACAGATATGTTTCCATTGGAATGCTTACATGCTGGTTGCATCTTGTGAAGTTAGATGTGCATATCCTATGACCTAGCCATTTAATTCTTAAGTATATACCTTAGAGAAATGTTTTTCAAGCTGTCTTCATCAAATCATTAGGGGGTTATTACAGTTATATTTAGTGGCTCACTTATCTGCATGAATAAAAAAGAATAGAATAAGAAATATCTAAATATATTGTTATAACAGTTATGATCCAATCAAGAGAGAGAAATCACACTAATTGGAATAGAGAATATTTAATATAAATAATTGTTAACTAGTAAAAAAGTAGTTAACTGCTAAAAGGGCTAAAATAAGACTCAAAGGGATAGCAAATGCAGAAATCAACTGCTACCTGTAGGGCTGAGAGAGGGTGGACAAGCAAGAAACTAAGAACTTAACTCCTATCCCTTCTAGCCTAAGATTCAGAATTTATGGGAAAGAGCATGGATGCCATAGGAACGTGTAGCCTGCTGGTGGCGGTGAAACTTGCCAGAGGGCATGCGTTGGAGCTGGTCTATAGGAGCAACCTGTTGGATGGTAGAAAAACTTGTGGAAAGGCATGAATGAGTCGAGCAGATTCATAGGTGTGGCTCTCCAGGTGGTAGAGAAACTTGCCAGAGAATAAGGGCCATAGCTAGTCTGTGAAGGTGGCTAAGATAAGCACTACTGGGCCTCCAACGTGCAAGTCCACTGAGTAGAGTGCTCACAATAAAACAATAGCACACCAGATCCCTTCAGCACCCTCTCTTAAAGCCCAACTCCCATGAGCTGGCAAAAGAAAGATGTTTATAGGGTTGTATTAGTCTCTTTTCAAGAGAAGCGTTTTGTGTGTGTGTACTCTGGAATATTTGTTTCTATGGAAAACCCAGACTAATACATCTATATATAAAAATAAAAGATATTATGGAGACTGAGAAGTCCCAAGATGTGCAGTCAGCAAGCTATAGACCCAGGAGAGCTTGCGGTATAAGTTCCAGTCCAAGCCCAAAGGGCAGAAGACCAGTGTTCCAGCTCAAAGAGAATCAGGCAGGCAGAGCAAATTCTCTCTTACTCTGCCTTTTTGTTCTATTCAGGCTTTCAAAAGATCAGATGTGGGCCACTCACAATGGGGCGGGCCGTCTGCTTTATTCAGTCTACTGATTCCAGTGTTAATCTCATCCAGAAACACCCTCACAGACACATCCAGAATAGTGTTTAATCAAATATCTGGGCATCCTGTGGCCCCAGTCAAGTTGACACATAATAGTAACCATCACAGGCCCCAACTCAGGTATTACTAACCAGGGCAAAGAAAGGTGAGTTTAGTTTTGAGGGGCAATAAATTGGTAACTGGCGCAATTGCATGTAGCATCATTAAGTGTTTTTTCTTCATGAGATTTGTTTCAATTTTATGTGTATGGGGTTATGATCTAAAGCATATTTCTAAGTCTGAGCCATGGTAAGAAAAAAATATACAAAAGCCATTGATCTGGAGAAACTTCTACACATGTACACATGAAGACATCCACAGAATTGTTTGTAGTAGCAAAAAATTGGTAATGTCTTAAATGTCTACCAACAAGACATAGTTGGAGAACTACAGATGCTCCTTGACTTAACAATGGAGTTATGTCCCAGTAAACTCATGATAAATTGAAAATATCATTAAGTAAAAAGTGCATTTAAGTGTTGTGGCTCACACCTGTAATCCTAGCACTTTGGCACACTGAGGCGAGAGAGAATCACTTGAGGCTAGGAGTTTGAGACCAGCCTGGGCAACATAGTGAGACCCTGTTTCTACAAAAACAAGAATTAGGTGTGGTGGAGCATGTCTGTAGTCCCAGCTACTCAACAGGCTGAGATAGGAGGATTGCTTGAACCCAGAAGTTTGAGGGTGCAGTGAGCTGTGATCATCACTGCCTCCAGCCTGGGTGACAGAGTGAGACCTTGTCTTAAAAAGAAAGAAAGAAAAAAGAAAATGCATTTAATACCTCAATAAATATATTTTAAAGTTGAAAATCATTAAGTTGAACCACCTTAAGTTCAGATGCTTCTTGACTTATGATGGGGTTATGTCTTGATAAACCCATCATGAAGTTGAAAAATTTTAAGTAAAACCTGCTTAAGTCAGGGACCATCTGTGAATCATGGGATATATTTTACAATGAAATAGTATTCAAAAATGAAATGAATGAACTGTAGCTCACATATTAATACAAACAGACCTCATAAATGTAATAACATCAATCAAAAACCTAAGTATGCAGAATACTCACTATATGAATCTATTTCTATAAAGTGTAAAAACATGCAAAAGAATACTGTGTGTATGTATGATGGCTATACCTATGTAATAAAAGTAGAAATAAACAGTGCATAAGAATAGTAAATACTAAGTGCAATGTATCTGGGTAGGGGATACAAAATGTATGGGCACGGTTTCTTTTCTTAGTTGTGGAGTGGGTACCTGGCCTTATTATAATACTAATACTAATATAATACTAGTATTTTCTTTTCCAAATACTTCATGATAGATTTTAAAATAAAACTTTCTATTTTGGAATAATTTTAGACTTTTAGAAGAGTTATAAGATAGTATATAGTTCCTGAATATCCTTGTTCATTCAGCTTCCCTTAAATGTTATATTTTTCCATAACCATGATAAAATTATTAAAAGGAAGAAATTAATATTTGTAAATTATTATTATTATTAGGACAGGATGTAGCCCTGTCGCCCAGGCTGGAGTTCAGTGGAGCAATCTAAGCTCACTGCAACCTTTGCCTCCTAGGCTCAAGCCATCCTTCCACCTCAGACTCCTGAGTAGCCGGGACTACAGGCACACCCCACCATGCCAGACTAATTTTTTTTTTTTGGTAGAGACAGGGTTTCATCATGTTGTCCAGTTTTGTACGGAGCTCCTAGTGTCAAGTGATCTGCCTGCCTTGGCCTCCTAAAGTGTTGGGATTTACAGGCATGAGCCACCGCACCTGGCCTGGTACAATATTATGAACTTAACCATAGATTTTGGTTGAATTTGCTCACTAATGTTTCTTTTCTGTTCTATAATCCAGTCCAGGATGATAGATTTTTGAAGAGGCATTAAAACCGGACTATAAAATGCCTTTTCTCTTTCAGTTGTATTTATCTTAAAGAATTATATTTCAGAAGTCAAATTTTTTTAGTTTTTTGTTTCTGCTGGGATATACTTTCATATTTTAAAATAACATGCTTATATTTCTATTTCTTACTTTTTTTCATTCTTTTTTTTTTGAGATGGAGTCTCGCTCTGCCGCCAGGCTGGAGTGCAGTGGCACAATCTTGGCTCACTGCAACCTCCGCCTCCTGGGTTCAAGCAATTCCCCTGCCTCAGCCTCCCAAGTAGCTGGGACTACAGGTGTGCACTAGCATGCCCACCTACATTTTGTATTTTTAGTGGAGATGGGGTTTCACCATGTTGGCCAGGATGGTCTTGATCTCTTGACCTTGTGATCTGCCTTCCTTGGCCTCCCAAAGTGCTGGGATTACAGGTGTGAGCCACCGCGCCCAGCCTCATTTTATTTTTATAGATTCACTCTGCAGTATAAATCAAGACTTCTACTCTATTATTATTTCCTATTCCAAACATACTTCTTTCATTCTTCCAATATATTTACCTTTTTTGGTTAATTTAGTATTTGGCTTATATGTCATTATGATTAATTCATAGCTTATCTGTATAGCATATTATGATTATATCTTGCATTACTTTTTGTTTTCTTTGGAATTAATATTTGACTTATTTTTTCATTTACCTAGTTTTTCATGTACATATCAATTTCTCCCCAAATTCTTTGCTGGAAATGAAACTATTAGACCATACAAATGTTTGGGATTTTGGTTTTTGTACCTCACTTCATAATCATGAAATTGACCTTCGTCTCTTTTCATCTTGAACCCTCTCTACTTCCTAGGTCCTATTCTAAACTTTTTCTTGGTCAGTTTTCTAATTTTTATCCTCTGGGAAATCCTCTGGGAGTTTCCTAAGAGAAAAATGTCACGGAAGGCAATTTTTTTTTTTTTGAGTGTTTGAATGCCTGAAAAGATCTTTAGTTTGCTCTCATGCTTTATTGATAATTTCAGTGGGTATAGAATCCTAGGCTGGGAATTATTTGTCCTACATTTCAAGGCATTGCTTCAGTCAAAAGACAAAATTACAACGGATTTACTTACAGATCTCTTTGGCCTTTATTTGTGAGTCATGAATTGGGGTAGCCTTCATTCTACAAAATGGAATGAGAGCTCCAACTAGGCAGTAGCAGAATGTGCATTTTGTAAGGTCAGAACAGAGAAGTGGAAAAATAGAAAAAACACTTGACTGGTTAACATCAGCTTACTTTTTTGTAAGGGTTAAAGCAGAGAGGACTTTTATTAAACACTGACTCAGGTAGGCTGGAATCTTCTGTGTTCAGGAAAAACTGGTTTTTTTTTTTTAGATCTGTCTGCTTCATTGAAGTTTCAGTCTGAGTATGTGGCACTTAACATGAGTAACTTCATTTTGATTTGGTTGATCTGTTGGGGCCTAGTGCAGGAGCTCAGTCCAAAACAATGACCTTTCATAATTTCATCTAACAGGTATGTACTATTTTTCCCCTTATTATTTTTTGTGTTGAATACTCAGTCTGGAAACTAATGTTTTTCCATTCTCAGATTTTTTTTTCATTGTTTTTAGGATTATTTTCTCCCTTAATGTTTTTTTCTGTTCTTGTAACTCTTTTTTTTTTTTTTTTTTGAGACACTCTCACTCTGTCACCCAGGCTGGCGTGCAATGGTGTGATCTTGGCTCACTGCAGCCTCTGCCTCCCGGGTTCAAGTGATTCTCCCGCCTCAGCCTCCTGAGCAGCTGGGATTACAGGTGCCCACCACTACGCCAGCTAATTTTTGTATTTTTAGTGGAGACGGGGTTTTGCCATATTGTCCAGGCTGGTCTTGAACTCCTGACCTCAGGTGATCTGCCCGCCTTGGCCTCCCAAAGTGCTGGGATTACAGGTGTGAGCCACTGTGCCCGGCCTCTCTTAACTCCTGTTACTTGAATGGTGCCTCTCCTATCTAGGCTGAGTCTGTAATTGATCATTTTTTTCTAATCTTTTCTATGTCTTTATCTTTTTATTCTTTGTTCTGGTGTATATAGGTAATATCTCCCAAGCCTTCTATTGGATTTTTGTTTCTCTCTTATATTTTCATTTCTTTTCTTTCTTCTTTATTTCTTTTGAGATGGGATCTCACCCGTCACCCAGGCTGGAGTGCAGTGGCGTGATCACAGCTCACTGCAGCTGTTACAGGAAAGGGGTCCCAATCCAGACCCCAAGAGAGGATTCTTGGATCTTGTGCAAGAAAGAATTCAGGGTAAATCCATAGACTCGCCCTAAAGTGAAAGCAGGTTTATTAGGAAAGTAAAGGAATAAAAGAATGGCTACTCCATAGACTGAGCAGCCCAGAGAGCTGCTGGCATTTTTATGGTTATTTCTTGATGATATGCCAAACATGGGGTGGATTATTCATGCCTCCTCATTTTAGACCATATAGGGTAACTTCCTGATGTTGCCATGGCGTTTGTAAACTGTCATGGCACTGGTGAGAGTGTAGCAGTGAGGACAACCAAAAGTCACTCTCATGACCTGTATTTTGTGTTAACCTCCTATCTCGTCCTGTGACTTAGAATGCCTTAACCATCTGGGAAATGTAGCTCAGTAGGTTTTAGCCTTATTTTACCCAGCTCCTATTTAAGATGGAGTTGTTCTGGTTCATACGCCTCTGACACAGTCTCAACCTCCCAGGCTCAAGCCATTTGTCCTCCTCAGCCTCCTAAGTAGCTGGACAGCAGGCATTGAGCCACCATGCCAACTAATTAAATTTTTTTTTTTTTTATAGAGACAGAGGTCCCCCTGTGTTGCGCAGGCTAGTCTTGAACTCCTGGGGTCAAGTGATCCTCCCAGTGTGGCTTCCCAAAGTGCTGGGATTATAGGCGTTAGCCACTGCTCCTGACCATATTTTCATTTTCTAAGAGCATTTTCTCACTATCTAAACGTTATAACTTCTCGTTCTTGCTTCATGGATGTAAATCTACTTTTTCTCTTTGGGGCTATTTTTTTTTTCCCTTGCTGGATTCTTTTTCCTCTGAGTCTCCTTTTTCTCTCTTCCTCAACTCTTTCTGTTTTGACTTTTGTGCTTTGTGCTAAAGGCTTTGTTTAAATGGCTGCTGAGCCTTAGTTTTGCAAATTTGAGGCTGAGAAGAGGGCTTTATACTAGTACTTGATTAGCTACCTTGACATTTTCATTTCATTTGAAGTTTTTGCTTCAACCCCAGCCCAACTGCTACTATCCTTGTCTTTTTCTCTTTACCTAGTTATCTTGACTAATCCTTCAGTATTATGCATGGAGGTAGAAGCCTCTGCCGTTGTCCTGGCTGCCCAGTAGGAACAGGGGTTGGAATCTGTTTTCAGATTGGTGCCCATCCCTGATACTGAGCAAAACCTAGGTTCCTGAACCTTGAGCCTGCCTTGTCCAAATTCTCTAGGAGTAATTATTCTCTTTTCAGATTGGTGGTGGACACATGTTTAGCCCTACTTGCTGGGCAGAATAGAGGAAGAACCATAGAGTTCTGATTGTTTTTCTTCAACAGTTTCAACTAGTTCTTTTGTTTTCAGCCCCATACCGTACTCAGGCCTCCTGAATTGTCTGATGCCTTGAATTCCTAATATTTTCTGGGGTTTTGTAATGGGAATTGACTCTTGTTGACTTCTCTGCATGTGGGCTTAGATTTCAGTATTTGTCTTTTGGGTCTTACACTTCCAAATGTTTTAAGTGCTTCTTGTTTGCTGTCATCTAAATTATTTTGCCCTAGGCAGATGCCTGATGCCTACCACGTGTAAACCCTTGCTGGGCTGGCTCTGGTGATACAAAATGTTATAGTTCCTCTGTCTGCCTACAAGAAGTGCATGTCAGCTTGGGGTGACAGATATATGAAGACATATTTATATTTGAACATGTTAGGAAGAAGTCAGGTGCAGGGTATTATGGTTACTACACAGATGGTCTGAGCTGTTGGCTTCACTGGGACAGGAAGGGAGAGGGGAGAAGAGCAGAGAAGATTTTAGAAATTATTTGGTATTGAGCTGCCTTGAAAGAAAAGTTTACTATGTCTTAGAGGTTGAGGGTATTTAGAGTAGTTAGAAATTGTTTGTGGTGGCAGTCAGGTGTCCTCAGACCATTGCATGATGTTTGTTGTTTATTTAATGTCATTTTCCCTATCCCAATTAGTGTTAGAATCTGTTTCAAGAGCCAATTCAAGTAGGTATCTTGTCTTCATTACATCACCTCTAAGCCAGGATTCTTCTTAATATGCACTTCCTGGGCTCATAATTCTAAAGTATGTAAAACATTCTCTAGCTTAAATATTGAGATATTATTTGTTTTTTAAAAAAATGCTTTGTGCTGGAAGACTGGTGCCAGTGATCCAAACTGCATGAGTTTGTTGGTTTTTTCTCCGTATAGCTCCCTGAAGCCATCTTTTTCATGTCCTAGTTTAATCTAGAATTGAGTTTTGTATCATGCTTTGACTTTGGCACCTGCATGTACTTCTGCTATAGATTTTTTGCTTGATTCCAGCTTCCAGTTTACCTGGAGCATTTCCATTTTCCACCTCTTCTTTCTTGTTCTCTTAGTGTGATTTGACTTAGCTGCCTATTCCTGTGCTGCCTGTAGCACTAACATTGATGTTGGCTCTTCTGTAAGAACATTTCTACCATCAAGCTGGAGAGTATAAATCTGATTTTTTTCTGAATCATATTATAGATAGTTTCACACATATTTGATAGCAGATTTCTCTTTTAAAGTGTATTGAACACACTATTCCTTAGATTAGCCAAAGTTTTAAGAATAACAGAATCTAGGTGGGGCATGGTGGCTAACACCTTAATCCGAAAGAAGCCAGTCAAAGCTCACCAGAACCAGATGGCGACAAAAGCGACCTCTAGTTGTCCTCATTTCTCATTATACACTAATTATAATGCATTAGCATGTTAAACGACACTCCCACCAGTGCCATGACAGTTTATAAAGGCCATGGTGAGCCAGGCACAGTGGCTCATGCCTGTAATCCCAACAATTTGGGAAGCCAGGGCAGGTGGATAACTTGAGGTCAGGAGTTTGAGACCAGCCTGGCCAACATGGCGAAACCCCGTCTCTACTAAAAATACAAAACTTAGCCAGGCGTGGTGGTGCACACCTGTAATCCCAGCTACTCAGGAGGCTGAGGCAGGAGAATCGCTTGAGCCTGGGAGGTGGAGATTGCAGTGACCCGAGATCGCATCACTGCACTCTAACTTGGGCGAGAGAGCAAGACTCCGTCTCAAAATAAAAAACAACAACAACAAAAAATGCCATGGCAACATCTAGAAGTTACAGTATATGTCTGAAAGGGGGAGAAAGCCTCAGTTCAGGAACTCCCCACCCCTTTCCCAAAAAACTCATGAATAATCCACCCCTTGTTTAGCATATAATGAAGAAATAACCATAAGTTTACTCAGGCAGCCCATGCCGCTGCTCTGTCTGTAGAGTAACTGTTCTTTTATTCCTTTATTTTCTTAATAAACTTGCTTTCACTTTACTCTGTTGGCTCACTCTTAAATTCCTTCCTGCATGAAGCCAAGAACCCACATGGCCTCCCAGCTAAACCCCAATTTTGGGGTTTGCCCTGTGACAAGTAGGAGCGATCATGTATCATTTTTTATCAGTGGGGTCTTTGTGACCCTTACGTTGCAAAATCAGTCCTGCCAAATTGCTGTCTCACACTTATAAGTGAGAACATGTGTATTTAGTTTTCTGTTCCTGTGTTAATTTGTTTAGGATAATAGCCTCCAGCTGCATCCATGTTGCTACAAAGGACGTGATTTCATTCTTTTTTTATGGCTGCATAGTATTCCACGGATTATATGTTTCACATTTTCTTTATCCAATCCACCATTGATGGGAACCCAGGCTGTTTCCATGTCTTTGCTATTGTGAATAGTGCAGTGATAAACATGCAAGTACGTGTGTCTTTTTGGTAGAATGATTTGTTTTCTTTTGGAAATAGTAATGGGATTGCTGGGTCGAATGGTGGCTTTAAGTTCTTTGAGAAGTCACCAAACTGCTTCCCACAGGGGCAGAACCAATTTACATTCCCATCAAAAAGTGTATAAATGTTCCCCTTTCTCCACAGCCTTGCTGGCATCTTTTTTTTTTTTTTTTTTTAAGCTTTTAATAATAGCCATTCTGAGTGGTGTGAGATGGTATCTCATTGTGATTTTGGTGATGATGAGCATTTTTTCATGTTTGTTGGCTGCCTGTGTGTTGTCTTTTGAGAAGTGTCTGTTCATGTCCTTTGGCCATTTTTTAATGGGGTTATTTGTTTTTTGCTTAGTGATTTAAGTTCCTTATAGATTCTGGATATTAGTCCTTTGTCAGATGCATAGTTTGCAAATATTTTTTCCCATTCTGTATGTTGTCTGTTTACTTTGCTGATAGTTTTCTTTCTTTCTTTCTTTTTTCTTTTTTTTTTTTTTTTTTGCTGTGCAGAAGAAGCTCTTTAATTTAATTAGGTCCCACTTGTCAATTGTTTTTGTTGCAGTTGCTTTGGAGACTTAGCCACAGGTTGTTTTTGCCAAGGCCAATGCCGAGAAGGTATTTCCTAGGTTTTCTTCTAGGATTTTTTTTTCTTTTTTTTCTGAGACTGAGTCTCACTTTGTCGCCCAGGCTGGAGTGCAGTGGCGTGATCTCAGCTCACTGCAAGCTCCGCCTCCCGGGTTCACGCCATTCTCCTGCCTCAGCCTCCAGAGTAGCTGGGACTACAGGTGACCGCCACCACACCCGGCTAATTTTTTTGTATTTTTAGTAGAGACGGGGTTTCACCGTGTTAGCCAGGATGGTCTCGATCTCCTGACCTCGTGATCCGCCTGCCTCGGCCTCCCAAAGTGCTGGGATTACAGGCCTGAGCCACCGTGCCTGGCCGCCTTCTAAGATTTTTATAGTTTGAAGTCTTACATTTAAATCTTTAATATATCTTGAGTAAATGTTTATATATGGTGAAAGGTAAGCATCCAGCTTCATTCTTCTGCATATGGCTAGGCTAACCATTCCAGCACCATTTATTGAATAGGGAGTCCTTTCCCCATTGCTTGTTTTTGTCAGCCTTGTTGAAGGTCAGACAGTTGTAGCTGATCTTTATTCTGAGTTTTACAGCTTTATTTCTGAGTTTTCTATTCTGTTCCATTGATCTATGTGTCTGTTTTTGTACCAGTACCATGCTGTTTTGATTACTGTAGCCTAATAGTATGAAGTCAGATAATCAGGTGCTTCTGGCTTTGTTCTTTTTGCTTAGGATTGCTTTGCTATTTGGGCTCCTTTTTTTAATTCCATATGAATTTTAGAATTATTTTTTAAATTCTATGAACAATGACAGTAGTTTGATAGGAATAGTGTTGAATCTGTAGATCGCTTTGGGCAGTATGACCATTTTAACAATATTGATTCTTTCGGTTCCTGAGCATGGAATGTTTGTGCATTTATTTGTGTCATCTCTGATTTCTTTCAGCCGTATTTTGTAGTTCTCCTTGTAGAAATCTTTTACCTCCTTGGTTAGCTATATTCCTAGGTATTTTATTTTATTTTTTTGTGGCTATTGTAAGTGGGATTGTGTTCTTGAATTGACTCTCAGCCTGGATGTTATTGGTGTATAGAAATGCTGTTGATTTTTGTACATCGATTTTGTATCCTTAAACTTTGATAAATTGGTTATCAGTTCCAAGAGCCTTTTGACAGAGTCTAGGATTTTCTAGGTATAGAATTACATTGTCACAATGATATTGAGAAATTATACAATAAAGATTTAAGGAGATTTCTAGCTCGGATACTTTTTTTTTTTTAGAGTCAAGGTTTTGCTCTGTCACCCAGGCTGGAGGGCAGTGGTGCAATCATAGCTCACTGCAGCCTCAAACTTCTGGGCTCAAATGATCCTCCCATTTCAGTCTCCTGAATAGCTAGGACTACAGGCATGTGCCACCATGCCCAGCTAATTTTTAAATTTTTTTCATAGAGTCTTGCTGTGTTGCCCAGGCTGGTACCATACTCCTGGGCTCAAGTGATCCCACCTGCCTCGGCCTCCTAAAATGCTGGGATTATAGGCATGGGCCACTGTGCCTGGCCTTGGGTACCATTTTCATTAATCTCTACTTTACTTTGGTGGATAAATATTCCTGCCACTTACTAATGACACTTAACATTTCAAATTTTAATGAGATTATATGGAGAATTGACATTTTCATCTTTTCGGTAAGAAAAAAGGCTTCTTGTAGCTATAAAGACTTCATTTCTGTTAGCTCTGGGAACTGATTTGTGTTTGAATATTGTCACAGAATTTGAAATCAGAATACTTAGTATACATTTGTAAAATATAGTTCTAAATACTTAACACTATTACTTTTAAATGCCTTTGACAGATTTTTCATTATACTTGCAACTTAAGTTAATTTTTAAAAGTAAATTGGAATTTTATTTTTATTTTATTTATTTATTTATTTATTTTTTTTTATTGATCATTCTTGGGTGTTTCTTGCAGAGGGGGATTTGGCAGGGTCACAGGACAATAGTGGAGGGAAGGTCAGCAGATAAACAAGTAAACAAAGGTCTCTGGTTTTCCTAGGCAGAGGACCCTGCGGCCTTCCGGCCTTCCACAGTGTTTGTGTCCCTGAGTACTTGAGATTAGGGAGTGGTGATGACTCTTAACGAGCATGCTGTCTTCAAGCATCTGTTTAACAAAGCACATCTTGCACCGCCCTTAATCCATTCAACCCTGAGTGGACACAGCACATGTTTCAGAGAGCACAGGGTTGGGGGTAAGGTCACAGATCAACAGGATCCCAAGGCAGAAGAATTTTTCTTAGTACAGAACAAAATGAAAAGTCTCCCATGTCTACCTCTTTCTACACAGACACGGCAACCATCCTATTTCTCAATCTTTTCCCACCTTTCCCCCCTTGCTATTCCACAAAACCGCCATTGTCATCCTGGCCCATTCTCAATGAGCTGTTGGGTACACCTCCCAGACGGGGTGGTGGCCGGGCAGAGGGGCTCCTCACTTCCCAGTAGGGGCGGCTGGGCAGAGGCGCCCCTCACCTCCCAGACGGGGCGGCTGGCCGGGCCGGGGGGCTGACTCCCCCACCTCCCTCCCAGTAAATTGGAATTTTATAATAGTTACTATTTGCTCATTAACCACCATGTCCTAGGTACCAGAAGTAGATATTATACATTCATTATTTTAACTAATCTCACAGTAGTCTTGTGAAATATTACTACCTCCATTTTTTAGTTGAGGAAGCTAAACTTAAAGTGGCTGAATAGAACACAGGTTATATGTGACAGAATGTGTGTTCAGACTCTGTTGATCTGCCTTGAGTATTAAGCTATTTGGAACTCACTGAGTGACTAAGTTTAGAAAGACCACTGAGAGTCTAGACCAGTATATTTTGAGAGCCATTTACAAATTCTGTTGGGTTGTATGGGGCTTGCTCTTTACTCTACTAGGCTACTTTAATAAGTGAATAAATGAATGCAACATATTTCTGAGGTTTTCTATTTTTGAAGACATGAGCAATAGAGGTAACTTTTAACTATAGTTCTCTGGTCACCTGGAAAGCGTTTCATTCATGGGGAATTATATAAGAGTTTGCTAAATTAGTAATAGACTGTGGGCTATTGGAAAAAGAAGCCTCAGGGTTTGAAGGTTTGTATTGATATGTTTTTGCCTACTCCTGGGTCTTGAAGATAGCCTGTGGTAGGCAAAGGAGGGTTGTAATTTGTTTTGTGATTTTGTTTACATATTTGAAACCAAATTTTTTAGGGGGTCAAAATGATGTAGATAACTTAAGTCTCTCATGGCCTTTGATGAGTGGCCCACAGGCAACTCAAACTGGTATGTATCTTTTCCTTGTGTTCCCAAGTCTTGCCTGTTCACTGCCATTTCCTAGTGTACCTTTTTCTGGATATATTATTGGCTTTGTAGAGATGATAATGGACCAGGGTCTATTTCTAGCTCTGTTTTAGATGATTTATGACAGTGAGCATGACTTTCTGATGCCTTAAGTTATCCTCTGCAACATAGCTATTTTTTCATGTAAATTTTAGGTAGATGAATGGACTAATAACCTTTGAGCTACGACTAGGAAGATCATATCTGTGCCATGGTTGGTGTTCATTCCAATTTTTCTCTTACATTTATTTCAGTGCTACTGTTAGGACTCAAAAAAGAACATGTATCTTTGTATTAATCTTTAATCCTTCTTGCAATTTTGTTTAATATTAAATATCATAAATTAGCAAACAGTTTAAAAGCACATGTTAACAGCATGTACATCTAGATGAATGTTGTACCTACAACAGGCACTTGGGCAGATTATATAATTATTTTAATAATATTGGGCTTTTATAAAAAATATTTGGAATTTCCCTCAGAGTAAGCTTACAAACTGTCAAAGGATAAAAATTTGCTACCACGTTGAAAATAACATTTGGAAGTTTTGGGATTACAATGGAGTATTGAATATCTGCATTTAATTTTGCTTCTCTCTGAAACACTACAAAAAAGAAGATACAGAGATTATAAAATGTCATATACCCATAAGGACAAGGAAATTGGCAAGGCATTGAAAGAGTGGAAACTGTCGCTTAGTAGAGCTGAGACAGCCGAATCCCAAGGTGGTAGCAGGAATAGCTGAGAACTAACCTTGTTTACACAACATATCCTCAAAAGGCATAATGACTTTTAGCACCAGATACCTTTGGAACTGAGGATGAATATATTTTTAAGTGGTTCTCCTTTACTTCATCTCATTTGATGGCCACTCTTGTCTCCTCCTGGTAGAAGTTTTGAGGTTTGTTTTCAATGGGGGGTTAAAATAGAGCATCTCTGGATTGGGAGATTTCATGCACAGTTGAGGAAAAGGGTTCCATATTAAAACTGGGTGGGGGGCAGTTAAGTGACAGTATGCCTACTGAGTATTGAAGACTGACAGCCTTCATCCTGTACTTGGCTCTCAAAATCCTGGCAGCCAGTCCTTTCCCCTTTCAAGTAGGAGACTAGAAGACTTTTGTGTGGGCAATCCATGACAAGGGGAAGGCCTTAAAGATGCTAACTGTGCCAGTTGTTTATTGCCTCTGAGTTCCAGACCCACCCTTACAACCCCTTGTTATGATGCTGAAGTTGGACTTGCAAACTATATTTTTTCTTTGTCAGCTGAATCTATGTTAGTCACTGCCAATAAAGGAGTGTAGTAGGGAGATTACTAGGAATAAGAAGGGTTGTGGTTCTTCATGTTTTTTTTTTTAATCACAGTGGCAGACTGCTCTGCAAGTAGTTGATACCCACAGTATTTCCCATGGCAAGCAGTGGTCTTTGTTCTGATGCATGACCTTCAGCAACATTCTTTCTCACTGAGCAGTCAGTGGATAGCATATTTCTGCAGTAGTCCAACATTTCCTTATAGATCTGTATTCTTAGCCTTTTGGGGCCCCTTTTGTAAGTTGCTAAGCCTTTTTTTTTTTCCTTGTTTACTTTTCCCTCAGCCTTAAATGTGGCAGCTGCGTTCTGTAGTTGCTACCTCTGTTATATCTTAGAGCTGTCTTCCATTTTCAGTTGTTTACCATCTTTTTACCTATTTAATGTTCTTTATAGTAAATTTTTCCTGTTTGAATGATTGGTATATTTTCTGTCTCCTGACTTTACCCCACTTGATACTCTTGAAGTCTGGGTCTCCACAACAAATGATACGGTGAGATCTCTGTGCAGTGAACCATAAGGTCAGCAAGCTTCACCCATCTATTTGGAGCTTCCAGTTAACTTTTTATTTCCTTTCCCTTAAATATGAACTGGCAACCAAGGATACAGGATATTTGAAGATGCCTCTAACATGAAAGATGGCCACATTTCACTATCTCCCATTCTACTCCCCAAAATGAAAAATCACTTTGTAGGAAACAGACTGCACAGGGTGAAGAAAGATTACCATTAATATCCTCTGAGAGATAAAGGAGATATTGCATCTGTGAAACAGGAACTGGATACTGTAGAAAAAGAAACAGTCAGATACCACAAAAGAGCTCTTGGAAATTAAAAATATGATAGCAAGAATGAAAATCTCAGTAGGAGGGTTGGAAGAAAAAGTTGAGGGAATTTGCTAGAAAATAAAGTAAAAAGACAAAGTCGTTGAAAATTAGAGAAGATACAATTAGGGATCAGCTTCAAGAGGTGCATTATTTGGTGGGGATTCAGAAGCACATAAGAGAGAAACTGAAGTATAAAAATTCACTGTGAAGTAATTTGGGAAAATTTTCCAGAATGTAAGGAGACGGGCTTCCAGATTGAAAGGGCCCAGGAAGAAACTAACACTAATAAATGAAAATAGACTAATTTCATTGTGAAATTTCAGAATATTGGACCAAGAAGATTTAACAAGCATTCAACTACAGGAAAAAGCATGCCATGTAAAAAGGACCAGGAATCAGACTGACATTGGATTTTAACCATGGAGACTAGAAGAGTAGAGGAGGGTCTTCAAAATGCCGAAGGAAAATGTGTGTTATATGTTATCTTAGTTCATTTAGGCTGCTATAACAATACTATAGGCTGGGTAGTTTATAAGCAACAGAAATTTATTTCTCACAGTTCTGGGCTGGGAAGTGCAAGAACAAGGTGCCAAACAGATTTAATGCCTAGTAAGAGCATATTTCATGGTTCATAGATGGCTGTCTTTTTGGTGTGTCCTCACATAGAGGAAGGGAGCAAGCGAGATCTCTGGGGTCTCTTTTATAAGGGCATTAATCCTGTTTATAAGGGCCCTGTCCTCATGATCCAGTCACCTTTTCAAAGGCTTGACATCTGGATACGCTTATATTGGGGATTAGGTTTCAACATATGAATTTGCAGGAGGAAGACAAAACATTCTGTCTGTAGCATATATAAATATTAGAATGGTGCAAAAGTAATTGTGGTTTTGCCATTGGAAGTAATGGCAAAAACCCCAATTACTTTTGCATCAACCTATAGCTTGTGGTTTGGGAGTTTATTTTTGTTTAAACTGACAATCTGGATTATTTAGTCCATTTGCACTTTGATATAGTTAGGTGTAGGTGTATCATCTTGGTCCTTGTTTTCTTTTTGTTCCTTAGTTTCTCAACTTATCCTTTCTTATTTTCCTTGAATTAACCCAGCATTTTAATGATTTCATTTAGGCTCCTCTATTAGCTTGTTGGTTTTACAGTGTTTTGCTTTTCCCTTAGTGATTATCCTAGAGTTTGAAACATGCACTCTTTTTTTTTTTTTGAGATGGAGTCTTGCTCTGTCCCCTAGGCTGGAGTGCAGTGGTGCGATCTCGGCTCACTGCAGCTTCTGCCTCCATGGCCTCAGCTTCCTGAATAGCTGGGACTACAGTTGTGCGCCACCATGCCTGGCTAATTTTTGTATTTTTAGCAGAGACAAGGTTTCATCATATTGGCCAGGCTGGCCTCGAACTCCGGACCTCAATTGATCCACCCACCTCGGCCTCCCAAAGTGCTGGGATTACAGGTGTGAGCCACCACACGTGCCAGAAAACATGCACTCTTATTAGAGTCTACCTTAAATTTGTTCTTTTACCACTCCCCAGATCGCATGAACTTTACAATGATTTAACTACATTTGTCCCTCTTGTCTTTTATGCAACTATGGTCTATATTTTACTTCTGTCTACATTCATTCGTTTGCCCACATTTTTTACCCTTTTCTTTTCTTTTTTCTTTTTTTGAGACAAAGTCTCACTATGTCACCCAGGCTGGAGTACAGTGGCATGATCTTGGCTCACTGCAAACTCTGCCTCCTGGGTTCAAGAAATTCTCATGCCTCAGCCTCCTGAGTAGCTGGGATTACAGGTACCCACCACCACGCCCAGCTAATTTTCATATTTTTAGTAGAGATGGGGTTTCACCACGTTGTCCAGGCTGGTCTCAAACTCCTGACCTCAGGTGATCTGCCCGCCTTGGCCCCCCAAAGTGCTGGGATTACAGGTGTGAGCCATGGCGCCCAACCTTTTACCCTTTTCTTTTATTTTTTATTGAGACGGAGTCTCACTCTGTCGCCCAGGCTGGAGTGCAATGGTGCCATCTCGGCTTACTGCAACCTCTGCCTCCTGGATTAAAGTGATTCTCCTGCCTCAGCCTCCTGAGTAGGTGGGATTACAGGCATGTGCCACCATGCCCAGCTAATTTTTGTATTTTTAGTAGAGACGGGGTTTCACCATGTTGGTCAGACTGGTCTCGAACTCCTCTCCTTGTGATCTGTCTGCCTTGGCCTCCTAGAGTGCTGGGATTACAGGTGTGAGCCACCGCGCCTGGACCCTTTTACCCTTTTCAATTATCTCTTTACCATGCTTTTACATGGTTCTATCTGGGATTTATTTATTTATTTATTTATTTGCCATTTAGATACATCTTTTAGTAGTATTTCTTTCAGCGCTGGTTTGCTGCGCATTGTTTCAGTTTCTGCTTATATGAATCTCTTAAATTTGTCATCATTTTTGAATGATATTTTTCCTCAGTATAGAATTTTAGGTTCATGGGTGTTTTCTTTTAGCATTTTAAAGGTTTCATTTAGTTAATATTTGACTTGCATAATTTCTTTGAAAAGTCACTGTGTTATTGATTTCTCCTAAATGTAATGTGGCTCTGCTCAGCTTGTCAGCCTCTCAGCTGCTGCTTTTTGTGGGGTTTCTTGGAATCCTGTATGCCATTTTGGGAACTGGGAA
Source organism: Homo sapiens (assembly GCF_000001405.40). Lineage (NCBI taxonomy): Eukaryota > Metazoa > Chordata > Mammalia > Primates > Hominidae > Homo > Homo sapiens. Next base: position 50,829,420 of record NC_000003.12, read on the forward strand.
ATCTCAGGAGTGGAGATTAATATAAAATTTTGGATTTACTGTAATTCACTTCTTTCTGAGATTTTTATCCCTAAGGCTCAGTTGCTTTGGTAGCCCTCAATGTCAACATTTTTCTCTTATTTCAATGGAACTATCATTTTCTGCTGGTATGCCCTCAGAAAAAAAAAGTCAGGTGAATGAGGAGCTCACCTTGATGTGGTTTTCCTTCTCTTGGAGATTATAGTGTCTGAAGTTCTGTCGAGGATAGTTGCTTTCTAATGCCCTTACACAGCTGTTTCATGTATTTTGTCCAAAGCAAAGTTTTTGTCAGGACTAGAACCAGAAGTTCACAAATATATAGTATTTTAATTCCAAAAGAGTTTAAAAATATCTTGATCAGTGGCAGTATTATTGAAATTCGCTTATGGCCCTCCAGAGTGACTAATTTTAATGAAATAATGACTCATTTGCAAGTAAAAATTCTCAGTTTTTTAATGTACATTTATTTATTGGTGATTATTATCTTTAAATTTACAGCTCACAAATGAAGATTTAATATAACTAAACTGTGCAAATAAATGCAGATGATTATTGTGTAAATTTTTCAGTGCAAATAATGGAAAGAGGATTTTGAATGTAGACCTTTTGAATAATTACATTTTTCTGTTTTGAGGCTGAATTATCTTATAAGTTTCTTATTTTTACAAGTGATTGGCACATTGTTTCCTGCCTATTATTAGTTATATAACTGGAAAAGGGATCCATAATTGGGTGAACTCCATATATTTTTATTGATGCACCAAAGTGAAAAAAATCAGTATTTTTAAAAGGGTGTAGATTTTGTTTTTGGCTCTTGAATTTACAATTGGTTGCTTAAATGATGTCTAAAGTGGGTCCTCATGCAAGTCTTTACAAAGAACCATGATTTGTTATTAAACTACTTTTAATCATGGTATGGAATGGAAGAGAAATTGTGCTTATCTTCTACCTGTCTCTACTTCCTGTGCAGCTATTAGCCAGGTATTGGGTATAAATAAATTTTCATTTTTTCCATTCATCGGTGAGGAATATATGTTACACCTTTGGAATAAAAAACTTTCACCTTTGAAACTTCTTATCAAAGGGGTATTTTTTTGTTGGACTGCATTTGATGCTTTTGATCTGGTTTGATTGGTTTGCACCTGGAATCTTTGTAAAGGGTTGCTGATTGTTGACTGTCACATGGCCTGATCTGTATAGAGGCTTCATTCTTTTGGGTTCACACTGCCGACACTGTTCTGCAGCTTCTCTGTCAGTACCAATTGTAGTGGTACTGTTGGCTCTTTGGGATAGTATAACTTCACTTGCATTGGGTGACTGGCAAGGACATTTCACAGTCTAAATAAGAATGCGTATTATTTTTATTTTTTTAAAGTGAAAGCAAGTTTATTAGGAAAATAGAGGAATGAAAGAATGGCTACTCCACAGGCAGAGCAGCCCTCCTGGTTGGCTATTTTTATGGTTATTTCTTGATTATATGCTAAACAAGGGGTAGATTATTCAAGAGTTTTCTAGGAAAGGGGTGGGCAATTCCTGGAACTGAGGGTTCCTCCCCTTTTTAAACCATATAGCATAACTTCCTGACATTGCCATGACATTTGTACACTGTCATGGCACTGGTGGGCATGTCTTTTAGCATACTAATGCATTATAATTAGCATATAATGAGCAATGAGGACAACCAGAGGTCATTTTCATTGCCATCTTGGTTTTGGTGGGTTTTGGCTGGCTTCTTTACTGCAACCTGTTTTATTTATTTATTTATTTATTTATTTATTTATTTATTTATTTTTAATTTTTTTTATTTTTTAAAATTATACTTTAAATTCTGGGATACATGTGCAGAATTATTACGTAGGTATACATGTGCCATAGTGGTTTGCTGCACCCATCAACCCGTCATCTACATTAGGTATTTTTCCTAATGCTATCCCTTCCCTAGTCCCCCACCCTCTGACATGCCCTGGTGTGTGATGTTCCCCTCCCTATGTCCATGTGTTCTCATTGTTCATCTGCCACTTGTGAGTGAGAACATGTGGTGTTTGGTTTTTCTGTTTCTGTGTTAGTTTGCTGAGAATAATGGTTTCCAGCTTCATCTGTGTCCCTGCAAAGGGTGTGAACTCATCCTTTTATAGGGCTGCATAGTATTCCATGTTGTATATGTACTACATTTTCTTTATCCAGTTTATCATTGATGGGCATTTGGGTTGGTTCCAAGTCTTTGCTATTGTGAATAGTGCTGCAATAAACATATGTGTGCATGCATCTTTATAGTAGAATGATTTATAATCCTTTGGGTATATACTCAGTAATGGGATTGCTAGGTCAAATGGTATTTCCGGTTCTAGATCTTTGAGGAATTACCACACTGTCTTCTACAATGGTCAGACTAATTTATACTCCCACCAACAGTGTAAAAGCATTCCTATTTCTCCACATCCTCTCTAGCATCTGTTGTTCCCTGACTTTTTAATGATCGCCATTCTAACTGGTGTGACATGGTATCTCATTGTGGTTTTGATTTGCATTTCTCTAATGACCAGTGTTGATGAGCTTTTTTTCATATGTTTGTTGGCCACATAAATGTCTTCTTTTGAGAAGTGTCTGTTCATATCCTTTGCCCACTTTTTGATGAGATTGTTTCAACAAACCTGACAAAAACAAGTAATGGGGAAAGGATTCCCTATTTAATAAATGGTGTTGGGAAAACTGGCTAGCCATATGCAGAAAGTAGAAACTGGACCCCTTCTTTACACCTTATACAAAAATTAGCTCAAGACGGATTAAAGACTTAAACGTAAGAACTAAAACCATAAAAATCCTAGAAGAAAACCTAGGTAGTACCATTCAGGACATAGACATGGGCAAAGACTTCATGACTAAAACACCAAAAGCAATGGCAACAAAAGCCAAAATTGACAAATGGGATCTAATTAAACTAAAGAGCTTCTGTACAGCAAAAGAAACTATCATCAGAGTGAACAGGCAGCCTGCAGAATAGGAGAAAATTTTTGCAATCTATTCATCTGACAAAGGTCTAATATCCAGAATCTACAAGGAGCTTAAACAAATTTAGAAGAAAAGTGCAACCTGTTTTATTAGCAAGGTCTTTGTGACCTGTATCTTGTGCTGACTTCTTGTCTCATCCTGTGACTTAGAATTCCTAAACTCCTGGGAATGCAGCCCAGTAGGTCTCAGCCTTATTTTACCTAGCCCCTATTCAAGATGGAGTTGCTTTTATTCAAACGCCTCTGACATATTTTTCTTCTCCCTTTTACAAGGGAACTCTTAATCCTAAGGTTAGTAGAGGGATGAAGATCTAGCTTCTGAAACTTCTTCAGGCTGAATAGGGGTGGTGATATTCCTGCCTAACTATCAGGGTCTCTTGTATTCAGGTTTGAGAGGAGCTCAGTCAGAAAGCATTGGTTTGTCGAGGGCCGTTCATAGCTCTGAGTTTCAACAAAGGTGATATCTGGAAGATTAATAAGTCTTCAATTTAAGAAAACATTTAGTAAGCTTATCCTGCATTCCTATACAAGGAGTATAACAGCAATATATTCCACCACAGTAAAGCAAAGTAAGTAAAATTATCCCAAGTAAACTAAATAAGAAAGCTTTTCATGAACTGGGCAGTTGTTGGAACCAAGCTGATATGGGGCTGCTAGCTGATCCCAATATGTGCCCAGAATTAGAATATTGATACAGAGTTTTGCATTACTCATCCCTCTGTTTCTTCTGAGCAGCAGTCAGAGATCACTGGTTGGTTCACAGGATAAGCAGGGTTAATCTAAAATGCAGATAAAACTTCGAAACAACTGATGAGAGTAGAATCTAATAACAGGCATACCATAGTTCTTGAAACATATTTTTTTCTCTTTAGTCTTCCATTTTTACTAAAGACAAATCATAATAGGACCAATTTGTTTGCAAAAATAAACCTTACTCTTATTCTTGGCCTGATTATTTGTTTAAAGTACAGCAAGAATAATTATTTTTCACATAGGCTTTTTAAATAGGCTTTGATGGAACTGTGTTCCATAAGGAATCTCAGATAAAACTTTTTTTAAAAGCCAAGCCCAGCCATGGGTTTGTACCCTCAAATACCTATGAATTGGGTAAACTCATCTCCTCTTGGGGTCTCAAGACTATTTGAGGCCCCTGGGCCTTTCAGGAATTGACATTCTTTACCTACCACAGGTCTGGAATCTTGTACAGGGACTGTGTAGACAAGATATGAGGTCAGTTTTCCCATGAGGCTTTTATTGCTCTACACGTCAAGTTTGATTCCTTAAAGGAAAGCACACCATTCCAGTCAAAACCTTGGTAAAATAACCAATTTCTCCAATTGTGTCCTGTTGCAAAAGAGAACATTCTTACTGCACTTATGCAAATAACTATATTGCCATAAATTAAGAATACTCAAATAGTTTCCAAATTCTGGAGAAATCAGGTAGAGAGAGACAAATATGCTTCAAATTTTTTTCACAGGAGTATACTTCACTTAATTGTTAAAAGCTGTAAGTAGCTCAAAAGAAAAGTTTTCTTGACTCTGTAAAACAAAACAAGGGATCAGCAACATTTTAAGCAAAGTCAAAAAGATTACTTTGAACTTTTATTAGTTTAATCCATGCAGTTAACTCCTCTTCTGCTTGATATTCATGAACATTTCAGCTCTCCAGGAGAGTCCTGAAAGTTTTTCCTGCATTCTGATGTCACAGTCTCCAAACTTACCAGAAACCTGCATTCAAGAGCACCTGTCAAAGTTCTATAGCTGATTTTAAACCTTGAAGAGGTTTTTTCAAGGGATCAAAACAAGAAAATAATTGTTTTTGAAGAGGATCTAAACAAGAAAACAATTGTTTGTGGATGACCAAATTGTTTAGGGAAGCCCCTATTAAAGCCACAATTGACTATTAATTTTAGTTACTTCTGTGGCATACAACAATTTTACATAACAAGTTATAATTATTAATAACACACACTAAATCATATCAGAATTATAGGAGTTTTTCATAATTTTAGAACACATACCAATAATATTTACACAAATACAGCCCAAAGAAAGCCAAACACCATTTCATATTTGACAGTGCTTCCCGTATGATTTGTATACCAAATAAGCTGAATATGTCATTTTTGGACCTTAGGTGACCTAATAGCTAAAATATTAATTAAGTCAGAGAAAGTCATACTTTATAATTTGATTTTGGAAAGTTTGTCAAATATCAAAGTTTTTAGACACTTCATATTAGAAAATAGAGTTCCATGTCACTATAAGTCATTCATTTAGCCAAAATGGTAACTCAAACATTTAAAAAAGGCAAAAACTAAGAGGGAAGACTTAGCTTTCCAAAGTGTCTTTTTTCTTTCCCTTCTTTTTCCTGTGGTTATTCAAAAGGGGCAAACAAAAATCCTTCTTTTTATTAAATGTAACATGAAAATCTTGTTCAAGACAGAAAGCCATATTTCATTATTGCATTAGTGTACTATTAATGTCACACCCAATTCTTAAAACCTTATAGACAATTCAATTCAGTCTTAATCACTTTGCCCATAAGGTAGATTCTCATAAACCTTTTTTATAACCATTTAAAATTTTTGTTACAGAAGGCAGATTAGTGCTCTGAGAAAACCCTGTTGTACTTTTATTCCATTGTTCACACACAGACTTTTTTTACAAGATTAATTTTTCACAAATGTTTCACAACTTGCACAAACCTTCAGCTATATCCTGTCTAACTTAAAACAATTATTTAACCCTTTAATCTAGGCAAAATCACCTCACATTCACATGCCTTTTTATGATCTTTTACCAAATCACCTGTCACTTTCTTTACACACCTTGCATGCAAAACTGTTTTTATTTCCCAAAGATTACTTAAGTCACATGAACTAAAAGGCATTGCACTTTTTACTTTTCTGACAAAATATTTGATATAAGTGCTTATTACCTTTAAACCAATTAATTAAAATCACAGTCTTCAAACTTATCAGAAACTTCCATTCGAGAGCACCTGTCAAAGTTATATAGCTGACTATAAACCATCTTTTGAAGAGGATCAAAACAAGACAACAATTGTTCATGGATGACAAAATTCCTTAGGGCAGCCTGTATTAAAGCCTCATATCCTACATAGAACACATATAAATACACAGACAGAAGAAGAACCAGTACTTGTAAGATTTTTTATTAGCCAGTTTTTAGGTTTCTCTTTAAAGTATGCAGTTTTTAGGGCCTAATAAGCAGGCACAACTGGAAGGCAAAACAGATTAACAAAACCCAAAATTAAGGGTTCCATTTTTGTAGCAGATTCTGGATCTTCAAAAGGGAAACCTTATGGAACAAGACAGTGCAATGATTTTACTGTGCATTTCATTGCAAAGCAACCCAAAGCCAATCAGCTCATTCTGTGATTAGCCAAACCCCATGAGATCTTATCTCTCAGTGGTGGGAGAGGAATATCTTCATTCCTTCCAGGTGGCCCAAGAGCTTGCTTCTCTTATCCAAACATGCAAAGAGCCAAGTATCCCCCCATAACTGCCAATAGCCATTGCTAAAAATATATTTCCTACCAAAGTATATTTTGTTTATTACACACCAAAATTCTCTCATAATGTGAATTTCTGATACACCCAAAAGTAAAAAAATCAGATAAAACAATGCAAAACAGAAAAGAGCCTTATATTTTGAGAGGGATCTATTACTTCTAATTCCTGGGGATCCCATTCTGGAGGACGGTGGCTGTCTTCTGACAGCTCCACTAAGCAGTGCCCCGGGGGGGACTCCATGTGGGGGCTCTTACCCAACCTTTCCCTTCTGCACTGCCCTAGCAGAGGTTCTCCATGAGGGCTCTGCCCCTGCAGCAGACTTCTGCCTGGACACCCAGGCATTTTCGTACATCCTCTGAAATCTAGGCGGAGGTTCCTAAACCTCAATTCTTGTCTTCTGTGTAGGGCCAATACCATGTAGAAGCTGCCAAGGCATGGAGCTTCCACCCTCTGAAGCAGCAGCCTGAGCTGTACCTTTCACCCTCTGAAGCAACAGCCTGAAGTATACCTTTAGCCATGGCTGGAGCTGAAGAAGCTGGGACACAGGGCACCAAGTCCTTAGGCTGCACACAGCAGTGGGGCCCTGGACCTTGCCCAGGAAACCATTTTTCCCTCCTAGGCGTCTGGGCCTGTGATGAGAGGGGCTGCCACGAAGGTCTCTGACATGCCCCAGAGACACTTTCCTCATTGTCTTGGTGATTAACATCTGGCTCCTCATTACTTATGCAAATTTCTGCAGCAGGCTTGAATTTCTCCCCAGAAAATGGGTTTTTGTTTTCTACCACATTGTCAGGCTGCAGATTTTCCAAACTTTTATGCTATGTCACCTCTTGAAAATGCTTTGCTCTTTAGAAATGTCTTCCGCCAGATACCCTAAATCATCTCTTTCAAGTTCAAAGTTTCACAGCTCTCTAGGGCAGGGGCAAAATGCCACCAGTCTCTTTGCTAAACTATAGCAAGAGTCACCTTTATTCCAATTCCCAACAAGTTCCCCTTCTCCATCTGAGACCACCTCAGCCTGGACTTCATTGTCAATATCACTATCAGCATTTTGGTCAAAATCATTTAACAAGTCTCTAGGAAGTTCCAAACTTTCCCACATCTTTCTGTCTTCTGAGCCCTCAGTCTCTAGGAAGTTCCAGACTTTTCCACATTTTCCTGTCTTCTTCTGAGCCCTTCAAACTGTTTCAGCCTCTGCCTGTTATCCAGTTCCAAAGTTGCTTCCACATTTTTGGGTATCCTTATAGCAGCACCCTACACTCTGCAGTACCAATTTAGTGTATTAGTCTGTTCTCATGCTGCTATGAAGAAATACCCAAGACTGGGTAATTTATAAAGAAAAGAGATTTAATTGACTCACAGTTCTGCATGACTGGGGAGGCCTCAGGAAACTTACAGTCATGGTGGAAGGGGAAGCAAACACGTCCTTCTTCACATGGTGGCAGATGAGAGAAGTGCTGAACAAAGGGGAGAAAGCTCCTTATAAAACCTTCAGATCTTGTGGGAACTCACTATTATGAGAACAGCATGGGGGTAACCGCCCCCAGATTCAGTTACCTCCCACTGGGTCCCTCCCTCAGCATGTGGGGATTAGAATTGAGATTACAATTCAAGATGAGATTTAGATGGGGACAGAGAGCCAGGCCATATTAGTGGGGAAGTGGGTGCGGGAAAACTTCTCTCTTCTGTGTATTTATATAGGATGATTGGAGATGGCCTTTCTGAGAAGATAACATTTGGGCAGAGAACAGATGGATATGAGGAAGCAATCCTGAGATACTCTGGGTGGAAGGGGTTTGGGGAGGGGAAGAACAGTCCAGAAATATGGTGCAAAAAGTATAAAGGTGCTGAGGCGGGAGCCTGCTTAGTAAGTTGAAGGAATTGCAGAGAGACTATTATGGCTGCAGTGGATGGATGGGATGGGGAGAAGCAGAGAGAGTGGTGGAAGTTGAGATCAGCAGAGGCTCTAATAAAGACTTTGAATTTTATTTTGATCTGGGATGCTTTTGGAGAGCTTAGAGCAGAGGAGTAACTAAGGCTCAAAAAGTTAAACTTTTCTTTTGGAATTTGAAGTTAATACCCAAACCATTTCCAATAATTCTTTCATTTCCATTCATTTGGGTAAAGTGGAAAAAGTCTGTGTTTCTTGCAATCATGCCCTGAGTAACATGTCCCTAGCTTAGAAGTTGGAGAGTTGCAGCAAGTTACTGAGGAAGGGAAGAGCTGGTTTTTATAGGTAGAAGGGATAGAAGACCAATAGAGAACTTTTGGAGGCAATACAACAGCATTTTATAGAATTCAGTTATATTTTTCTGACTTAAGTTAAAGTTAGACGTAAGTCTTTATAAACTTGAGTGTTGTAAGAATGCCTTCCTTTCTTTAATTTTCTACAAAAATTTATATCTGAAAATATTAGAGTATAAAACTTTGCCTTAACCTTAAGTTCCTAGTAGTAATCAAACCAGCAGATGTTTTACTCACCAAATGAGACTCTGATGTGTTCTTCAGTTAAATGCATATGATGACATTGAAATTGATGAACACTCAATCTGAACATCAAGGGGAGTTTCACTTTCTTTGCTAGTATTCTGAAATTTTGTAAAGTCAAGATATTAATGATGAAACTGAAAGGGGAGAATATAATTGCAGAGGTAGATTTTCCAGAGTTCTTGGACAGTAGGTAAATTGACATTTGGAAGATACTTCAGTGTACTGGTTCATTAAAAGCATATATTTCCTGTTGATTCATAATGATTTGGGAGATATTTTAGTTGTTTCTTTGAGAGCTTATGAACTTTTTTGGTTCATATGTAAGAAACAAAAATAATGGGTTGTTCTTCCCTTTCTCTTTTCCTTACTGTCTTCAATTCTTCTTAGTCATGGAACGGATACATTTGGCAAAGCTTGTAGCAGAGTTGCAGTTTTAAGAAAAGGTGATGGCTGAAGTTCACTGAGCAGAATTCTCATGTGCACCTGATAATGGTGGCCTCCCTTAGAGATGATAATGTGGTTTTGAAACTACTTAGATCAGTGATTGTCAGGGCTGGGGCAAGAGGTTGGGGAGGAGGGTTGACTACAAGAGAGCATGGTGTCACATTTGCATTATCATTATATGGTGTTAAATGTATCCACAGTATGCATTTAAGATTCCTTCAGTGTCTTCTCATGGCTTGTTAGCTCATTTCTTTTTGTCTCTGAATAACATTCCATTGATTGGATGTGCCACAGTTTTATTCACTCATCTGCTGAAGAGTGACATCTTAGATGCTTTTGAGTTTTGGCAGAAAGTATGATAAAGCTGCTGTAAACATCAATTTGTAGTTTTTTTGTGTGGATGTAAGTTTTCAACTCATTTGGGTAAATATAAGGAATGGATTACTCAATCGTATGGTAACAATATGTTTAGTTTTGTTAGAAACTGCCAAACTGTCTTCCAGAGTGCCTTTGTACCATTTTGGATTTCCATCAAGAGTGAATGAGAGTTCCTTTTGCTTTACATCTTCATCAGCATTTGGTTCGGGACAGTGTTCTGGATTTTGGCCATTGTGATAAGGCATGCAGTAGTATCTCATTGTTGTTTTAATTTGCAGTTGCTTAATCACATAATGATGTTGAGCAGCTTCTCATATTCTTATTTGTCATCTCTGTATCTTCTTTGGTGAAGTGTCTGTTTAGATGTTTTGCATATTTTTTAATTGGGCTGTTTTCTCCCCTCCCCTCCCCTCCCCTCCTCTCCCCTCCCCTCCCCTCCCCTCCCCTCCTCTCCCCTCCCCTCCTCTCTCCTCTCCTCTTCTTTTTTTGAGATGGAGTATCACTCTGTTGCCCAGGCTGGAGTGCAGTGGCACCATCTCAGCTCACTGCAACCTCTGCCTCCTGGGTTCAAGCAATTCTCCTGCCTCAGCCTCCTGAGTAGCTGGGATTACAGGTGTGCGCCACCATGCCTGGCTAATTTTTGTATTTTTAGTAGAGATGGGGTTTCACCATGTTGGTCAGGCTAGTCTCAAACTCCTGACCTCATGATCCACCCACCTCAGCCTCCCAAAGTGCTGGGATTACAGGTGTGAGCCACTGTGCCTGGCCGGGCTGTTTATTTTCTTATTGAGTTTTAAGAGTTCTTTGTATATTTTGGATAACATTCCTTTATCAGATATGTCTTTTGTAAGTATTTTCTCCCAGTTTGTGGCTTGTCATTTTGTTCTCTTAACAATGCCTTTCACAGAGGAGTTTTTAATTTTAATGAAGCTCTGTGTATCAATTATTTCTTTCATGGATCATGCTTTTGGTGTTGTAGTTAAAAAGTCATTGCTGTACTCAAGGTTACTTAGATTTTCTCCTGTGTTGTTGGAGTTTTATAGTTTTGCATTTTATGTTAAGGTCTACGATCCATTTTGAGTTTATTTTTGTGACTAGAGTAAGATCTATATGTAGATTCATTTTCTTTGCATATGGATGTCCAGTTGTTCCAGCACCATTTGTTGAAAACTTTTTTTTCCATTTTATTGCTTTTGCTCCCTTGTCAAAGATCAGTTGATTGTATTTATGTGGGTCTATTTCTGGATTCTCTATTCAGTTCTCTGTTTGCCTAATCTTTCACCAATATCATACTGTCTTGATTACTTTAGCTTCATAGTGTTCTCATTGCTTTTATGGAGGAGAGGCTCTTTGAAGAGACTTACTCTGCCACACCTCATGATGTCATTTTCTGTTACGTTTCTTAAAATACTGTAAAGTGTCACATTGGTAAGTTATCACCATTTTTCAAAAATAAATGGAGAAATGAGACTCAAGATATAAAATGAGTTAATGAAATTTATTTTTTCAGCTATTGTTCTAAGTAGGAGCAAGGCTCATCTCTTTTGTTGTTTGTTATGTTTTCAGGTGAAAAAAGTTGATTCTTTTTTTTCATAGCTTTGTTATTTTAAAAGTTAATACGTAGGACAAACTCTCAACGATAACCTCTCAATTAATTTAGCTATCATCAGCAATCTCTTCTTTATCTTCCTTCTTTAAATACAACTCTTGGCTTCCTCTCCTACCCATTGGAGCTGCTTCCTTTTAAACCCAAATAAAGAAACTATAGCAAACCTCTGAAAATAATATATTGAAATTGAGAAGAGTTGGCAGTAAAATTTTCTTTTTTCTGAAAATTGTTTTTTGTTGTGTAATTGAAACTTTTATTAGTATTGCTGAATGTGAATGCTGAAAGGAAATAAATCAAGAAGGTGATCTGCACTAGCAAGGATGTTGACTTTAGCAGCTGGAAGGCAAAGAAATGAGAGTAGTGTAGTATACTGTATGGGAGATTGAATGAGACTGCGAAACAGAAAGTCTGGGCTGTACTCCCTATCTGCCATGAAAAAAGTGATACAATTTTAGCATTTCTCTGCCCCAACACCTTTATGTAGGAATTTTTGTGCTGTTGAATTACATGTCCTCTGAAGTCTTTTCTAATTGCATTTTACTCAGTTGAAAGGGCTTTATGCCTTGTAATGAAAATTAGAAATGTTTTATTCACCATATGACTGTTCCTTTTGGAGTAAGCTGCTATGACAACTCTAGATCCTAATAAAGCCACAGTGGGTGTTTTAAGGAAAGATGTGCATTTATCTATTTTTTTCAAAAAATACTATTGTGTCTCTTATTGAACATGACATTGTGATTTTAATATTCTCTTATGCTTTGTTTTAGGTTGGTACAGAGGAGTTTCAACAAAGAAGCCAAATGTGAAGGTAATGAAAAGTTTATTGTTACCTTTTCTAATGTAGGAAGGAACTACCTTGTATGTTTGTTTGATATAACAACTCTTAGTGGTTCATCTTTTAATCTTTTACAGTAGCCACAATGATTCTTTCCTTTACAAAACTGTAGCAAACTCTTGTCTGTCTCAGCATATTAAAGTGTTTCTTCTGAAAGGACAGGAAATGCAAATATCATAGCTGCAAAGCTTATCTTGAAAAAGCCTATTCAGGCTTTTAAATATTTTTTTCTTTAAGGTATTTGACAAAAAGTACATTGACTTATTCACAGGCCTAGTCCTGTGGAACCATATAATTAGATGAATTGTTTCTAAAAGCACAATGGAAAATATTTTCAAATAATCCAATTAGATATTTCTCTAATCATAATTTATTGAAATATGAATTTAAACAAGTTGTTAGTGTAGAATACTAATTTTATGTACTAGATTTTATGTTTATTACAATTAATATTAATGAAACATAGTTTAATTAGCAGTTATAATACAGTTAGAAATAATCTTTCCCAATAATGTATTTGCAAACACTTCTTTCTGCATATTTTTTCATGTAATTAATATTATCAGCTTTTCTTGTATGTTTCTGTAGCTTAATATTTGATGCAGTATGTTTTTGTTTGTATAGAAAAATACCAAAATTATCACTTTTTTCATTCAAAAAGAAAATTGTTTAGAGTTCTAATAATCAGTTTTGCCAGTAGAATCATTCAGTTTTATTAGTTTTAAGGTAATGATTATAAGGAAACAGTATCTTTACATTTTAATGCCTCCTAGCTGTGGTTTCTCATTCTTGGCACTGTTGGCATTTTGGGCCAGATAATTCTTTATTGTGGGAGACAGTCTTGTGCAATGTGAGATGTTTAGCAGAGTATATGGCTTCTACCTACTAGATGCCAGCAACCCTCTGTCCCTTAGTGTGACAACAAAAGAGGACTTCAGACATTGCTGAATTTGTCTTGGGGACAAAATGACCCCTGGTTGAGAACCACTGCTTATAGGTAATTTTTCTTATATTTCTGATTTTGAAATACATTCATGAATGCTTACGTGGGAATAGTTTCTACTTGTGGTTTATTTTTTAAATTTTGATTTAAAATTGTTGAAAAGTTAGAACTGGAATAAATGAGGAATCTTATAAATGAATAGTTGTAATTTGTGATATTGCGTGCTATTTATTTATTTTAGTAATATTTGTGGTCTTGGCCACCTCCCACTATCTTATTTCCAATACTAGTGTTTGAGGATCAGCGCGTGGACTGTGCTCATTAAAATTATTGTATGTTTGTGGTTAAAGTATGAAATTGATGCAAAGTTTGTGGCTTGAAAACATTATTGAGACAGGAATGATGGTACCCTTAAAATATTAAACATCACTGTTTTGATTATATCTTCCTACACAATGAAGTACTCCAAATTTGTGGATTAAACTAATAAACATTTTATCTCTTATGCTTTTGTGACTTGACTGGGTCAGCTGGGTAGCCAGTTATTCTGGGATGTGTGAGGTTACCTGTGGCAACAGTCAGCTGTGGGGTCAGTGTCCAAGACATTCTGGTAGGAATGTCCAAGAGAGTTTACTTGTATGTCTGGCATCTTGGCAGGGTTGGCTGGAAGACTGTCTTCAGCTAGGCCACCAAGATAACCAGACTTCTCTATGTAGTCTCGGGGTTTCTCTATTTCCATGTGGCTTCACATGGTTTATCCAGCAAGTAATTAGAGTTTTATTTTAGAGTTAAGGAAAAGTACCTGGAACCTCATACTTAGTTCTTAATTCTCTTTCCTACAAAAAACAGTTTTTGGATTCTGTGGGAGAGGCCATTTTGTGATTACTCTTAGCAGTGTTTTGACAAGCTGTACAAAATGAGGAACCTAACTCACACTACTCTAAAGAATGTTAGAGCTCATTTTATCTCATCAGACTCCTTTAATTTCATTATTTTGGGGGCTAATGTGGTATTCAGAGATTGTATATTTTGGTAATATCTCTATTCTAGAATCTTAGGTTATTACAGCATTTATTAGCAACATGTATCTATATATCTCTTAATAGCTTGTATCTGTACTCTTAAACTTAAAAAAATATGGAAAGACAGTATTACTAACTGAATTTCATCCTGCGTCAGTGATATTTTATGGAACCAGTTATTTAGTGTTTGTAAAATATAATCATTTAGGGATACCACATCCTTAAAATGATACAAAAATAAATGCGTTTCTATATATCCTTTATTTGTGCTAATATTATGGTCCTACTACACTTGATCTTAGCCAAAAGGCTAAGAAGTGATCTTATTTCAGTCATAATAAGTAAAATTTTCTATAGGTTTTTCATAGATATTAGTGGTTAAAGGAAAAAATAAAGATGACTTATTAAAGTTTGTCTTTAGTCGTTTATGATTTATACTAATAAGTAAAACACAGAATAGCTCAAATAATATCTGAACTAGACAGTGAATATAGTTATTTATTTATTTATTTGTGAGTGAATGAACGAGATTGAGTCTCACTCTGTCATCCAGGCTGGAGTCCAGTGGCATGATTATAGCTCACTATAGTCTCGAACTCGTGAGCTTAGGCTACCGTCCTCCCTCAGCCTCCTGAGTAGCTGGGACTACAGGTGCATAGCACCACACCTGGCTAATTTTTTTTTTCCACTTTTTGTAGAGATGGGGTATCTCTATGTTACCCAGGCGGGTCTCGAACTCTGGAGCTCAATCGATGCTTCTGCCTCAGCCTCCCAAAGTGCTGGGATTACAGACATGAGCCACCGTGCCTGGCCAGCACTTAGATATATAAGTAAATGATGAAACAGTTCTTCCTATAAAAGTTTTTCAAAATTGGCAAAGCTTAATCTTTTTGTTCCCTGTATTATTTTGTAGTAAAACATTTAGAAGGAGAAACTGGGGTGATTATAAAATACCCTTTCTGTTATGACTACATACTAAAATTTTGCAGTTTAAGAGAAGCATGATAGGCAGGAAGTATAACTAAATTTTATGCTAGATGATTTTCAGAATGATACTTTATTGTCTTTTCATTTTTTGAGGACTTTGTTTTTTCTGCATACACTTCTACAGTAGAACTTACTTTAGTTTTATAATTTTAGAGACCAAAGCAAGGTTTTGAGACATAGTGTTCTGTTCCATTGCCAAAATGCCATGTTATGTATTTGTTAGAGTCATCAAAATATTAACTTTCTGGCCAGGCACGGTAGCTCTTGCCTATAATCCCAGCACTTTGGGAGGCCCAGGCAGGTGGCTCACTTGAGGCCAGGAGTTCGAGATCAGCCTGGCCAACATGGAGAAATGCTCTCTCTACTAAAAGTACAAAAATTAGCCTGGCTTGGTGGTGCACTCCTGTGATCCTGGCTACTCGGGAGGCTGAGGCAGGAGAATCGCTTGAACTCGGGAGATGGGGGTTGCAGTGAGCCGAGATCTCGTGGACAACAAAGGGAGACTCTGTCTCAAAAAAAACCAACCAAACAAAAAAACTTAAGAGCATACATGAAGAATTAAAGAATAAGACATAAAATTGAGAAAAAAGGACAACAGATACTTGATTTTATTTTTGTGCTTTTTATAAAATATATGCTCAAGAGGAATAATGAAATTCAGTACAGTTTATATTTACTTCCATTTTGTGATTTCAGGATCAGCTTTTATCAATAATTGTGAACAGAATGCGTAGTATTCTGTGAGATAGGAACAGGGCCTTATGGAATGTTTTGCACAGCAAAAAATTGCAAGACATATTCATGGAATAGTAAATATTTTAAGCTGGGTAAGGCATAGTGCAGGAGAGAGTGATGGATGGTAAGGCAGGAAAGGCAGATTGGACCTATATATTTAGAGTCATACGCCAAAGAAATCTAAGGAATTTACACTTTGGCAACAGGGAATCTGTCATTCAACAGAGATGTGGACCCATTACTGTCATACAGTATAACTATAAAATAGGGTTTATCAGGAAAACAAAAGGTAAATATTGAAGATATTTACTGTCAAGAGAATCGCTTGAACTTGGGAGGCAGAGGTTCAAGCGATTGAACCTCCTTGAATATTTAAGGTAAATATTGAAGTATTTGTGGATAATTTCTGAAATTTTCTCTAAAAATACTATAATGGGTAAAATGTATGTAGATTGATGAGTCAAGATTGGCAAAATGTTGATAATTGTTGAAGCTGAGTGATGGATTTGTGGAGATTCATTATACTGTTGTCTAATTTTGTCTGTATTTGAAATGGGTTATTACTTATCTCATGGAATTGTAATGAGGAATCAATGAGTTGATATGAAACCGTTATTGCAGTGCCTAGCACATAAGAACGTGATAATTCTTTTGCACTATCGTCTTTTACTATTAAAGAATAGCACTGCAAATGAGACTGTAAAGACTGCCAACACTTTGGAGGACAGAGAAAGAGGAACTGGCAAAAAAAGACTAATGGAGGTCATAGTTGGCCAAGGAGAACATTTTTTAAAAACAGGGGTAATTAATGGTTTCAGGTACTGTGGAGTAGAATGAGTACTGAATAGGGGCATATAGTTGTACTCACAGTTATGAATTATTACAGTGAAAAAATAGAAAGAAAAACCAGCAAAGGGGAAAAGGTGTTGGGGCAACAGTCTGTGATGAATTATCTTTTGATGTGCTGCTGGATTCAGGTTACTAGTATTTTGTTGAGGATTTTGGTCTGCGTTCAGGGATATCGGCCTATAGTTTTCTCTTTTTGTTGTGTCTTTGTAAGATTTTGGTGCTAGGATGATATTGGTTTAGTAGAATGAGTTAAGGAAGGGTCCCTCTTCCTTGATGTTTTGGAATAGTTTCAGTAAGATTGGTGGCAGCTCTTCTTTGTACATCTAATAGAGTTTGGCTGTGAATCTGTCTGGTCCAGGACTTGCTTTGGTTGATAGGTTTTTTATTACTGATTCAATTTTTGAACTTGATATTGGTCTGTTCAGGGTTTCAGTTTCTTCCTGATTCAATCTTGGGATCTTGTGTGTTTTCAGGAATTTATCCATTTCCTCTAGATTTTCTAGTTTCCAATTTGCTGTAGATCTTCTACGTGTTCCTAATGGTGTTTGAGGATCTTTCGTATTTGTGTGGGATTGGCTATAATGTCACCTTTGTCATTTCTGATTGTACATATTTGGATCTTTTCTCTTTTTTCTTTCTTAATCTACCTAGCAGTCCATCAATCTTGTTGATTCTTTGTGTGGATTTTGGGTTCTCAATTTTGTTCAGTTCTGCTCTGATTTTAGTTATTTGTTTTCTTCTGCTATCTTTGGGGTTACTTTGTTCTTGTTTTTTCTAGTTCCTTCAGGTGTAATTGCTATTTTTTTTTCTAACTTTTTGAGGTAGGTGTTTAGCATTATAAACTTGCCTATTAACTCTGCTTTTGCTTCATACCAGAGGTTTTGGTATGTTGTGTCTGTTCTCATTTATTTTAAAGAGTTTTTTGATTTCTGCCTTAATTTTGTTGTTTACCCAACATTCATTCAGGAGCAAGTTTTTAAATTTCCATGTAATTATGTGGTTTTGAGCAATCTTCTTGGTATTCATTCCTGTTTTTATTCCATTGTGACCTGAGAGTATAGTTGGTATGACTTCCATTTTTTTGAATTTATTGAAACTTGCTTTATGGTTGAGCATGTGGTCAATCTTGGAATATGTTCTGATTCCATTCTCTTCTGTAGATGAGAAAAATCTGAGAATGTCCCGTGGTTGATGGGTGGAGTATTCTGTACATGTCTGTTAGGTCTGACTAGTCAAGTGTTGAGTTTAAATCCAGATGTTATTTGTTAGTTTTCTGTCTCAGTGATCTAATGCTGTCAGTGGGATATTGAAATCCCCCACTATGGCCAAGTGCAGTGGCTTATGTCTGTAATTCTAGCACTTTGGGAGGCTGAGGTGGGCAGATCATTTGTGGCCAGGAGTTCAAGACTAGCCTGGACAACATGGTAAAACCCCATCTCTAGTAAAAACACAAAAATCAGCCGGGCATGGTAGTGTATACCTGTAGTCCCAATTACTCAGGAGGCTGAGGCAGGAGAATTGCTTGAACCCAGAGGCAGAGGTTGCAGTGAGCCGAGATTGTGCCACTGCACTCCAGCCTGGGTGACAGAACGAGGCTCCATTTCAAAAAAAAAAAAAAAAAAAAATCCCCCACAGTTATTGTGAGGTTGTCTAAGTCTTTTCGTAGGTCTAGAGGTACTTATTTTAGGAATCTGTGTGTTCCATTGTTGGGTGCCTATGTATTTAGGATAGTTAAGTCTTGTTGAATTCAACTCTTCATCATTATATCACGCTCTTCTTTGTCCTTTTTTTATTGTTGTTGGTTTAAAGTCTCTTTTATCTGATATAAGAATAGTAACCCCTGATCTTTTTTGTTTTTTATTTGCATAGTAGATCTGTCTTCAGCCCTTTACCTTGAGCCTATGGGTGTTGTCACATCTGAGATGGATCTCCTGAAGATGGCAGACAGATGGGTCTTTTTGTTGTTGTTGTTCAACTTGCTACTCTTTGCCTTTTAGGTTGAGTGTTTAGACTATTTACATTCAACATTAATACTGATATGCGATGTTTTGATCCTATCGTGAAGTTGTTAGCTGGCTGCTTTTTAGTTTCTAATGTGTAGTTGCTTTATAGGCTATATACTTAAGTGTGGTTGTGTGACAGCAGGTATCGCTCTTTTTGTTTCCATGTTTAGAACTCTTAAGGATCTCCTGTAAGCCTGGACTAGTGGTAACAAATTTCCTTAGTGCGTGCTTGTCTGGGAAAGATTTTGGTTCCCCTTTGCTAATGAAGCTTAGTTGGCAGGATATGAAATTCTTGGTTGGAATTTCTTTTCTTTAAGAATGCCTAAAATAGGCCCCCAATCTCTCCTGTTTGTAAGTTTTCTGTTGAGAAGTCCACTGTTATCTTGATGGGGTTCCCCATTGTATGCGGTCTGATGTTTTACCCTAGCTTCCTTCCAGATTTTTTCTTTAGCATTGACCTTGTTCAGTCTTATGGACTATATGCCTTGGTAATTTTCATTTTGTATAGCACCTCACAGGTGTTCCCTAGAGTTCTTGTGTCTAGATGTCTTCCTTGCTAGTAAGATTAGGGAAATTTTCTTTAATTATTTCCTCAAATGTGTTTTCCAGATTGTTTACCTTTTCTCCTTCTTTCTTAGGAATGCCAGTAATTTATAGATTTGTTTGCTTTACATAATCCCATATTTGTTGAAAACTTTGTTCATTTTTAAAAAGTTCTTTTTTCTTTATTTTTGTCTGGATGAGCTCAAAAAACTTTTTTTTTCTTTTCTTGAGATGGGGTCTTGCTCTGTCACCCAGGCTAGAGTACAGTGGTGTGATCATGGTTTACTGCAGCTTTGACCTCCCAAGCTCAAGCGGCCCCTCCACTTTAGGCTTCTGAGAAGCTGGGACCACAGGCACATGCCATCATGCCTGGCTAATTTTTTAATTTTTTGTAGAGACAGGGTCTTGCCACATTACTAGAGCTGGTTTCGAATTCCTGGGCTCAAGCAATCTTCCTTCCTCAGCCTCCCAAAGTGCTGGGATTACAGGTGGGCGCCACCATGCCTGGCAAAAAAATATACATATATACACACACACACATACACACGCACACATACACATATATACACACACACACACATACACACACACATATATATATGGCAGCAAATATATATACATTTGCTTTATTTATTTATTTATTATTTTGAGACAGGGTCTCTCTCTGTCACCCAGGTTGGAGTGTGGTGGCATGATCACAGCTCACTGTAGCCTTGACCTCCTAGGCCTTAGTGATCTCCCACCTCAACGTCCTGAGTAGCTGGGACTACAGGCACATGCCACCATGCCTGGGATACAGTAATTAAACAGGCACAGGAATTGATAAAGAATAGCAATGAAGACTAGAATATTCAAAATCAGAGTAAATGCTATTGAGAAAATCAGATACACTTTTGGAAAATGTAAAAATTAGATGCCTTTTTCACAGCTTGCAGAAAAACAAATTCCAGAAGGATACAATTAAAAGCATACTTGTCAGCTAGGCAAGGTGACTCATGCCTGTAATCTCAGCACTTTGGGAGTCCGAGGTGGTGGGATCACTCGAGCATAGGACTTTGAGACCAGCCTGGGCAACATAGCGAAACCTCGTCTTTAAAAAACCAATATTTAAGCTCTGACGTTCTTTCTTCTGCTTGGTTCAGTCTACCGATAAAGCTTTCAATTGTATTTTGAAATTCTTTGAGTTTTGAATTCTAGAAGCTCTGATTGATTTCCTTTTAAGATGTTTATCTCTTCCGTCATTGCTTGGATTGCTTTAGAAGTTTCTTTGTGTTGGCTGGGCGTGGTGGCTCACACCTGTAATCCCAGCACTTTGGGAGGCCGAGGCGGGTGGATCACCTGAGCTCAGGAGTTTGAGACCAGCTTGGCCAACATGGCAAAACAGAAATTAGTCGGCATGGTGGCACGTGCCTGTAGTCCCAGCCACTAGGGGGGCTGAGGCAGGAGGATCACTTGAACCCAGGAGGCAGAGATTGCAGTGAGCGAAGATTGTGCCACTGCACTCCAGCCTGGGAGACAGAGTGAGACTCCATCTCAAAAAAAAAAAAAAAGTTTCTTTGTGTTGATTTTTAAGCTCATTTTGGATCTTGTTGAGCTTCCTTACAGTCCATGCTTTGAATTCTTTATCTGTCATTTCTGAGGAATTCTTTATCTGTCATTTCTGAGTCTCCATTTTGGTTAGGGACCATTGTTGGAGAGGTTGTGCAATTCTTTGATGGTGTCACTATATGTGTATTTTTCATGGTGCCAGAATTCTTGCCCTGGTTCTTTCTCATCTGGAGACACTGGCACTTCTAATTTTAAAAATTATTTTTGTGTGAATAGGATTTTTTCTTTTTCTTTCTTTCCCTATGATATTGTTTTGTTTGTTTTCCCTCTCTCCTTCTCCTCAGGATGTGCAATAGTAGAGAATGCTGGGTAGGGACTTTTGGCTTTGCTTCTGTAGTCCTATGCACACACTTTGGCAGGTTTTATATTCAGCTGTACAGTTCAACCTACAAGCCAATAGATGGCACTTATAGGTAAGAGCCACCTGTGACCAATGGGTCTGACTATGTACTTGATCCTTGTTTACTGGCAGAAGTCTCTCTTGCTTCAGGCAGTAGACTGATTCATGAAATACACAGTGGTCTGAGCTCCCTGCTCAGTCCCAGGGAAGTGGGGTCCATGATGGGTAGGGTGGACCATGCAGGTCTGCCTATAGGTCCTCTAGTGCTGGCACAAGCACCAGCACTGAGGGAGAATACAGTGGGTGGCCACCAAGCACTCAGAAGAGTGCCTAGGTGTGGAGATGGGAAACCTCCTTGGCCCCAAATTCTCTGCACATGAATGGTGGGGTTGAGGGTGGCCTAAACTCCTAATCCAGGAGATTGAGTACTCTAAATGCCTGGAGATCTGCCTGGGCATGTAGCAGGGAAGGGCCCCTTTGCACCAGGATTTATGCACAAGAGGGGTGGGGCAACTCAGGCTGCCAAACCAGGCAAGCAGGTGCTCTGAATGCCTGGAGATCTGCTTGGGTGTAGCAGAGAGGGCTTCCCTGCACCAGGATCTCTGCGCAGTAAGGGTGGGGCAGTTCAGGCGGCTGATCCAGATGAGCTAGAACTCCAAATGCCTGGAGATCTTCCTGGGCGTGGAGTGGAGAAGGTCTTGCTGCACCATGGTCAATGTCCATAAAGGATGGGATAGCACAGGCTGCTGGTCTAGGCAAGCGGATGCCCCATATGCCTGAATTTCTGCCTGAGAGTGGAATGGAGAGGACCCTGCTGCATATTGATCTTAGGGAAGCAGGCTGGGGCATCCAGCAATGGCACATGCAGAATGGTTCCAGGTCACCAAGCTGGCCCTGGCTGCCTGTCTCATTGCCCTGGAGAAACTGCAGTTGTAGCAGTTCTCCCACCACAGGCTTGTGACAGGGTAGAGCACACTTCAAGTACCTATTGCTAATGTGCTTTCCACAGTTCTGTCTGTGGAGGCCACTACCCTACTTCAGAACAGGTACTCTGATCTCTGGTTCAAGACTAAAATTCCTAGATGGTCATGCTGCCAGATTGCCAAAGAATGGCTTTGTATGCACCTGGATTAAAAACGACATTCTGCTCTTGGGCCTGGGCCTGGAAAACTGTATGCATCTTTTCCTGGTGTCTTTTTCTCACAGCATCTCCAAGACTCTCCCCAATTTAACTCCAGTGCTTGGGAGAAACAGAGTACTTTCCCTTGGCCTGGCTTGCTTAGATCCCCAGTGGAAAGGTAAGTTACAGAGGGAGATTTCTCTGCCTCTTGCACGTACTAGGGCTTCACTCACTTTTATCAGCTGGACACTGTCACAGGAGTTGTTTGCTAGTATTTTCCTCCCTGGGATCTGAGGTTTCTTCACAATTCTGGTGGATTTGTATTTTCCTTCTTGAATTAAAGCTCAGAGAGTTGATCTTTATGCATGATCTTGCTGTTTCCAAATGGCTAAGGCATGCTAAAAGCCTCTAATCTGCCATTTTCTGAATTCTTCATTCTAAATACTAGTCCTTCTTTCAATATATGTAGCCTGCGTTTTTGTTTTCTTAATGTTGTGTTTTGAGGAGTAGATATTAACTTCAAGGAAGTCCAATTTGTCATTTTAAACTTTTTGTTTATTGTTGAGGTTTCTTATGTTTTGTCTTTATTATGGTTATCTAACTTATCATCTGTTGGTTTTGGTCAGTTTATATTTTAAGAAATCTGTCCACTTTACATTTTTGGATTTGTTTTAATTAATCATACTGTTATTTTTTAATGCATGTGAGGTATTTAGTGATAATTCTCATTTATTTCAGATTTTAGGAATTTGTGTTCTCTCTTTTTCTTGATCAAGTCTAACTAGGTTTTTGTTGCTTTTGTTGATGTTTTAAAAAATCAACTTTTAACTTTCTGATTTTTTTGTGTATTATTTAACATGTATCTGCTGTTATCCTATTCATTTTACTGACTTAGGGTTTATTCACTTTTATTTTTAAAAGATATTTTTATTGGATATACAATTCTAGGTGAAAATTTAAATACATCAATTTATTGTCTCCTGGCTTTACAGTATTTCTTTTTAAAAAAATTGATATATCATAGTTGTACATATTTATGGGATACATGTGATGTTTTGGTACTTGCATACAATGTGTAATGATCAAAACCAGGGTAATTGGGATATATCCATCACCTCAAACATTCATATTTCTTTTCTGTTGGAAACATTACAGTTTTTCTCTTCTGGCTATTTTGAAATATACAATAAATTATGAACTGTAATTTCCCTACTGTACTATCACATACTAGAACTTATTCCTTTTAACTGTATTTTAGTACCTATTAATCAACTTTTCTTCATTGCCTTCTCTCCCTTCCCTTCCAGCTTCTGGTAACCATCATTGTACTCTGTCTCTTCACGAGATCCACTTATTTAGCTCTCACATAAGAGTAAGAACATACAGTATTTTTCTTCCTGTGACTGTTTTTTTTTTTCTTTAAAATTATGGATTTGGAGGGATACATGTGCAGGTTTGTTACATGGGTATATTGTGTAATGAGGGATGGGGTTTGGGCTTCTAGAAAACCCATCATCCAAATAATGAACATAGTACTCAAGAGGTAGTTTTTCAATTTTTGCCTCTCTCCCTCCTTCCTGCTTCTTGGAGTCCCCATTGTCCACTGTTTTCCATCTTCATGTTACGTGTACTCATTGATTAGCTCCTACTTATAAGTGAGAACTTGTGGTATTTTTTTTTCTGTTTCTGTGTTATTTCATTTCAGATAATGGCCTCAGCTGCATCCATGTTGCTGCAAAGAACGTGATTTCATTCTGTTTTATGCCTGCTTAGTATTTCATGTATTATATATAACCACATGTTCTTTATCCAGTCCACTGTTGATGGACACTTAGGTTGATTCCATGACTTTGCTATTGTGATTAGTTCTGTGATAGACATATGTGTGCAGGTATCTTTTCGATAAAACAGTTTCTTTTCCTTTGGGTAGATACCCAGTCGTGGGATTGCTGGGTTGAATGGTAGTTCTATTTTTTTTGTTTTTGAGAAGTCTCCAAATTGCTTTCCACAGGGGCTGAACTAATTACATTCCCACCAAAAGTTTGTAAGTGTTCCCTTTTCTCTGCGTCCTCGAGAACATCTGTTATTATTTGACTTTTTAATAATAGCCATTCTGACTGGTATGAGGTGGTATCTCTTTGTGGTTTTAATTTGCTTTTCCCTGATGAATAGTTACATTGAGCATTTTTTCACGTATGTTGGCTGCTTCTGTGTCTTCTTTTGAGACGTGTCTATTCATGTCCTCTGCTCACTTTTTAATGGGGATATTTGTAATTTTCTTGTTGATTTAAGTTCCTTATAGATTCTAGATAGTAGTCCTTTGTCAGATGCATAGTTTGCAAATATTCTTTCCCACTCTTAGATTGTGTGTTGATTCTTGATTGCTTCTTTTGTTGTGTAGAAGCTATTTAGTTTAAACCCCATTTGTCTATTTTTGTTTTTTTCATATTTGCTCTTAAAGTCTTAGTTATTATAATTACTCGCCTAGGCTAGTGTGTAGAAGTTGTTTCTTTTATTCCCCTCCCCTCCCCCCATCTTTTTTTTTTTTTATTTTGGCGAACAGGGTCTTGCTCTGTCATCCAGGCTGGAGTACAGTATTGTGATCATAACTCATTGAAGCCTTGAACTCCTGGGCTCAAGTGATCCTTCTGCCTCAGCTTTCAGAGTTGCTTGAGCTACAGATGAGCACCATCACACCAGTTTTTTTTTTTTTTTTTTGGTGGTCTCATTTCACTATGTTGCTCAGGCTGGTCTTGAGCTCCTGACCTCAAGCAGTCCTCTTTGTTTTGGCCTCCCAATGTGCTGAGATTACAGATGTGAGTCACTGTGCTGGGCTTTTCCTATGTTTTCTTCTAGGATTGCTATAGTTTCAGGTCTTAATTTAAGTTGTTAATCCGTGTTGAGTTAACTTTTGTAAGTGATGAGAGAGATCTATTCAGTATCATTCTTCTGCATAGGGCTAGCCAGTTTTCCTAGCACTATTTATTGAATAGGGTGTTCTCTTCCCGTTGTTTACTTTTCTCAACTTTGTCAAAGATCAGTTGATTGTAGGTATGTGGCTTTATTTCTGGCTTTTCTATGTTTCATTAATCTATGTGTCTATTTTTGTACCATTACCACGCTGTTTCACTACTATAGCTTTGTAGTATAGTTTGAAGTTAGGTTATGTGATGCTCCTGGGTTTGTTCTTTTTGCTTTGGATTACTTTGGCTATTCAGGTGCTTTTTTGGTTTTAAAAATAATTTTTCAATTATTTTTTCTAATTCTGTGTAAAATGATATTGGTAATTTGATAGCAATTGTTCTGAATCTGTAGATTATTTTGGGCAGCATGGTCATTTTAATGATACAGATCTTTGAATTAGCAATGAATGTTTTTCCATTTGTTTGTGTCATCTATGATTACTTTCATTAGTGTTTTGTAGTTTTCCTTGTAGAGATCTGTCACCTCCTTGGTTAAATGTATTCCTAGGTATTGTATTGTATTATGTTGTGTTGTGTTGTGTTGTGTTGTGTTTTATTTTTGTGGCAGTTGTAAATGGGATTGAGTTCTTGATTTGGTTCTCAGCTTGAATGCTATTGAAGTATAGACGTGACACTGGTTTTTGTATGTTGATTTTTGTATCCTGAAACTTTACTGAAGTAATTTATCAGGACTAGGAGACTTCTGGAGGAATCTTTAGAATATTTTAGGGATAGGGTCACGTAGTAAGTGAACAGATAATTTGACTTCTTCTTTTCCTATTTGGATGCCTTTTATTTCTTATTTATTTATTTATTTATTTATTTCCTTCAACTTTTAAGTCCAGGGATACATGTGCAGGTATGTGGAGGTTTTTTACATAGGTAAACATGTGCCATGGTGGTTGGCTGCACGGATCATCCCATCACCTATGTATTAAGCCCAGCATCCACTAGCTATTCTTCCTGATGCTCACCCTCCCTTTACCCCCACCCCTGACAGGCCCCAGTATGTGTTGTTTCCCCCCATGTGTCCATGTGTTCTTATCATTCAGCTCCCACTTATAAGTGAGAACATGCAGTGTTTGGTTTTCTGTTCCTGTATGAGTTTGCTGAGGATAACAGCTTCCAACTCCATCCATGCCCCTGCAAAGGACGTGATCTCATTCCTTTTTATGGCTGCATAGTATTCCATGGTGTATATGTATCACATTTTTTAAAATCTAGTCTGTCACTGATGGGCATTTAGGTTGATTCCATGTCTTTGGTATTGTGAATAGTGCTGCATTGAACACGTGTGGTTGTATTTTTATAATAGAATGATTTATATTACTTTGGGTATATACCCAGTAATGGGATTGCTGGGTCAAATAGTATTTCTGATTCTGGGTCTTTGAGGAATCACCACACTGTCTTCACAATGGTTGAACTAATTTACACTCCCACTAACAGTGTAAAAGTGTTTCCTTTTCTCCTCAACCTTGCCAGCATCTGTTGTTTTTTGATTTTTTAATAAATAGCCATTTTGACTGGCATGAGATGGTGTCTCATTGTACTTTGGATTTGCATTTCTCTATGATCAGTGATGTTGGGCTTTTTTTTTTCATATGTTTGTTGGCCACATGTATGTCTTCTTTTGAGAAGTTTTTGTTCATGTCCTTTGCCCACTTTTTAATGGGGTTATTTGTTTTTTTTCTTGTAAATTTGTTTAAGTTCCATGTGGACTCTGAATATTAGACCTTTTGTCAGATGGATAGATTACAAAAATTCTGTAGGTTGTCTGTTTATTCTGATGATAGTTTCTTTTGCTGTGATGGCCTTTTATTTCTTTCTCTCACCTGGTTGCTTTAGCTAGGAATTCCAGTAGTATGTTGAATAGAGTGGTGTAGGGGGACATTCTTGCCTTGTTCCAGTTCTTAGGAGGCATGCTTTCAACTTTTGCCTACTATGATGTTGGCTGTGGGTTTGTCATCTATGGCTCTTATTATTTTGAGGTGTGTTCCTGTGATGCCTAGATTGTTGAGGGTTTTTATCATGAGGGATGTTGAATTTTATTGAATGCTTTTTCTGCATCTATTTGAGATGATCACATGTTTTCTAAAACAAATTTATGTTAACCACATTTATTGATTTGCATGTGTTTAATCATCCTTGCATCATAGGAATCAAACCCTTTTGATAGTGATTAATTATCTTTTGATGCGCTGCTCGATTCAGTTTGCTAGTAGTTTGTTGAGGACTTTTGCATCTATGTTTATCAGGGATATTGGCCTATAGTTTTCTATTTTTGTTGTGTCCTTGCCAGATTTTTGTTCTAGGATGATAATGGTTTAGTAGAAGAGTTAGGAAGGAGTTCCTCCTCCTTGATATTTTGGAATAGTTTTGGTAAGATTGGTCGCAGCTCTTCTTTGTACATCTGTTAGAATTCGGCTGTGAATCTGCCTGGTCCAGGGCTTTTTTTGCTTGGTAGGTTTTTTATTACTGATTCAATTTTTAAACTTCATATTGGTCTGTTCAGGACTCCAGTTTCTTCCTGATTCAATCTTGGGAGATTCTTTTCAAAAATTATTTATTTCCTTTAGTTTGTGCACAGAAACTAAAGAGCTTCTGCACGGCAAAAGAAACTACCATCAGAGTGAACAGGCAACCTACAGAATGGGAGAACATTTTTGCAGTCTACCCATCTGACAAAGGACTAATATCCAGAATCTACAAATAACTTAAACAAATTTACAAGAAAAAACACCATCAAAAAGTGGGCAAAGAATATGGACAGACACTTCTCAAAGGAAGACATTTATGCAGCCAACAGACACATGAAAAAATGTTCATCATCACTGGTCATCAGAGAAATGCAAATCAAAACCACAATGAGATACCATCTCACACCAGTTAGAATAGCAATCATTAAAAAGTCAGGAAACAACAGATACTGGAGAGGATGTGGAGAAATAGGAATGCTTTTACACTGTTGGTGGGAGTGTAAACTAGTTCAACCATTGTGGAAGACAGTGTGGTGATTCTTCAAGGATCTAGAACTAGAAATACCATTTGATCCAGTAATCCCATTACTGGGTGTATACCCAAAGGATTATAAATCATGCTGCTATAAAGACACATGCACACGTATGTTTATTGCAGCACTATTCACAATAGCAAAAACTTGTAACCAACCCAAATGTCCATCAATGATAGACTGAATTAAGAATATGTGGCACATATATACCATGGAATACTATGCAGCCATAAAAAAGGATGGGTTCATGTCCTTTGCAGAGACATGGATGCAGCTGGAAACCATAATTCTGAGCAAACTGTCACGAGGACAGAAAACCAAACACCACATGTTCTCACTCATAGGTGGGAACTGAACAATGAGAACACTTGGACACAGGACGGGGAACATCACACTCTGGGGCCTGTTGTGGGATGGGGGTCAGGGGGAAGGATAGCATTAGGAGAAATACCTAATGTAAATGACGAGTTGATGGGTGCAGCATACCAACACGACACATATATAAATATGTATCAAACCTGCACGTTGTGCACATGTACCCTGTAACTTAAAATATAATAATAATAATAATAATAATAATAATAAAAATAAAATGTTTAGTATAGGCTCCCAGTCTCTTCTGGCTTGTAGGGTTTCAGCTGAGACGTCTGCTGTTGCCCTGATGGGGATCCCTTTGTAGGTGACCTGCACTTTCTCTTTATCTGCCTTTAACATTCTTTCTTTTATTCAAACCTTGGAAAATCTGACAGTTATGTGTCTTGGGGATGATCTTCTTATGTAGAATCTTGCAAGAGTTCTCTGTATTTCCTGAATTTGACTGTTGGTTTCTCTAGCAAGGTTGGGGAAGTTTTCATGGATGATATCCTGAAATATATTTTCCAGGTCGTTTGCTTTCTCCCCCTCCCTTTCAGGGATGCCAATGATTCATAGATTTGGCCTCTTTTTTACATAATTTTATACTTCTCAGAGGTTTTGTTCATTTCTTTTTATTCTATTTTTCTTTATTTTTCTCTGTCTTATTTTAGAGAGCCAGTATTCAAGTTCTGAGATTCTTTCCTTAGCTTGGTTATTCTCATGTTAATACTTGTGATTACACTGTGAAATTCTTGTATTGTGTTATTCAGCTCTGTCAGACCCGTTAGGTTCTTTTTTATATTGGCTATTTTGTCCTTTAGCTCCTGTATCACTTTATTGTGGTTCTTATTTTCCTTGGGTTTCATATTGTCATCCTCCTGACTCTCGATTATTTTTGTTTCTACTTGTATTCTGAATTCTGAATTCTATTTCTGTCATTCCGGCTAGTTCAGCCTGGTCAAGAACTCTTGTTGGAGAACTGGTATGGTTTTTTTTTTTTTTTTTTTTTTTTGAGACGGAATCTGACTCTGTCGCCAGGCTGGAGTACAGTGGCATGAACTTGGCTCACTGCAGCCTCTGCCTCCCAGGTTTAAGCGATTCTCTCCTGCCTCAGCCTCCCAAGTAGCTGGGACTACAGGCACATGCCACCATGCCCAGCTAATTTTTGTATTTTTAGTAGAGACTGGGTTTCACGGTGTTGGCCAGGATGGTCTCAATCTCTTGACCTCGTGATCCACCCCCCTCGGCCTCCCAAAGTGCTGGGATTACAGGTGTGAGCCACTGCGCCCGGCCCGGTGTGGTTTTTTTGTAGGACATATGACACTCTGGCCAGAGTTCTTACATTGATTTTTTCTCATCTCTGCATGTGGGTGTTCCTTTAACTACAGTGTAGGTTGAGTACAGTCAGTTGACTTTTCTGGATGTTTTCACCAAGCTGAGGCTTTGTGTGGGGGTTTTATTTGAAGCTGACTTCTTGTCTCTAGTTTCAGAGGGAGTTATGTTAGTGAGGTATTTTTGGTGTTGAAGTTTTGGGATATAATCCAGAAGGCGACACTTAGGCTCATTGGTCAGTTGGTAGACTCTTGCTCAGTTGTGTGGCTCCTCTGTGTTTCCTCATAGTTGCAGCAATGTTCCCTCTCAATGCTGTGGAAGTGTGGGTTTCTCTCTTTCTTGAGTGCTGGCTGTAATTTATGACTTTGTACTTCTTGGCTGCCCACTGCAGCTCTGTGCCGAGTGTTTATGTTTCTTTCCCAGCTTAGAGGCAGCAGAGGAAGAGATCTTGGTACTGGTTGTGGCCAAGGGTCATTTGGTTGACTCTTGGGGACCCCAACCCAGAGAGATGCAGGTCAGAATTTGCTCAGTGCAGTCAGTCCATGATGGAGGGTTTGTACTGTGGGCCCAAGTCAGGGGTTCCTTGTCTGGTGATGAGCCATGGGGGTTGTATGGGACCTGCAGGAGACAGAATGGCCTGCTCTTTTTGGGTTGACTGCAGCTTGTTGGAGGTGTGGATAAGGCCCTTAGGGTCTTTTCTTCCTCTTTTCTGAGGATAGGAAGGGCACTTCCATTGCAGAAGCAGTGCCAGAGAGGCTTTCAGATGCCCCTGGAGGCTCTGCTTAGGGAGTTGCTGAGTTGGTACTGGCTTGATAGTTCTGGCTCTATAGTTGATAGTTGAGGCTTAGGCCTGGAGGACTTACCCAGTGAGGAGATATGGGAACAGGTACTCATACAATAATCTGGCCACTTTTCCAAAGGGCTGCTACTGTATGCTTGGGGTATACTCAACTGGCTGCTGGCCCAAAGCCACTTGTAGGAGTTGGCTGGAGACCACGGTTGAGAGGTCCTGTTTGGTGAGGAGTAATGGGTCAGGACCTACTTAAAAAAGCAGTCAGGCCATGTTTTGGTAGAGCAGATGTGCTGTGCTTGGGGTCCTGTTCAGTCCCTGCTCACTTCAGAGACTCCAAAGCCCAAAGTCTGGAATGGCCAAGTCGCCCAAACAGCAAAGATGGCAGCCTGCCCCTCCCCCTGGGAGCTCCTTCTTAGGGAGGTTTAGTGCCACTACTTGTAGCTGGCTGGAATTCCAAGCCAGTGGGTCTTATCTTCTGAGGTGCCATGGAAGTGGGGCCTGCAGGCCGTTGCTGCTGAGCTTTCTGGATTCAGTCTCTTTCCTAGGGGTACATACAGCAGTCTAACCTTCCACTTTGCTGTAGCTCTAGTTACTTTTGCTGGAAGCCCAAGTATCTAGGGCTCCAGGGTCTCCATGCATGCCTGAGTGGCTGCTCTGCCGAGACTCTACGTAGCTCAGACTGAAGACTGAAAGTCCTGGTTTAGTGGGATCTCCTGATCCGAGGGTTGCAAACATCTGTGGGAGAAGCATGGTTTTCCAGGGTTGCTCATTCACTCACCACTTTGCTGGGTGGTGGAGGATCTCCTGGCTCTATGTTGCTCCCAGGTGGGTCGTTGTCCTGTCTTGCTTTTCTTTGTTCTCTGTGGGTCAAGTTGTTTCCTTGATTAATCCCAATGTGAGTACCTGGATGTTTCAGTTGAAGGTGTTGTATTTACTCACCCCTTTTGTTCCTGTGAGAGCCACATACACTAGCTTCTTCTAGTCAGCCATCTTTGCTACTCCCCAATGGTCAATTTTTAAGAATGTCCCATGCGCAGATGAGAAAAAGGTATATTCTGTGGTAGTTGCTTGGAGTATTCTGTAGATGTCTATTAGGTCATTTGGTGAAGAGTTTAATTTAAGTCCACAGTTTCTTTTTTCTCTGCCTCAGTGATGTGTCTAGTTCTGTCTGTGGGTATTGAAATTCTCCACTATTGCTGTATGGCTCTCTGTCTCTTTTTGTAATTTTGGTAGTATATGTTTTATATCCTGGGTGGTATGATATTGGGTGTGTATATATTTGAGATAGTTAAATCTTCTTTTGAATTGAACCGCTTTATCATTGCATGATGGCCTTCTTTGTCTTTTTTTTCCTGTTGCTGGTCTTAAGTCTGTTTTATCTCATAGAATAAGAGCAACCCCTGCTCTCTCTTTTTTTTTTTTTGCTTTGCATTTGTGTGATCTTTATCCCTTTATGTTGAGCCTTTGGGTGTCATTACATATGAGATGGCAGCAGAAGGTTGGGTCGTTTTTTTTTTTTTTTTAAATACAAATTGCCACTCTGTGTCTTTTAAATGTGCCATTTCATTTATTTATGTTCAAGGTTGATACTGCTATGTAAGGTTTTGTCCTTGTGATAGTATTGTCAGCTAGTTGCTTTGCCGTCTCAATTGTATAATTGCTTCATATGATACGTGAGCTTTATACTTACATGCACTTTTATGGTAGCAGGTATCTTTCATTTTCATCTTTAGAACTCCTTTGAGCATTTCTTGCGAGATTGATTTGGTGGTGATTATTTCTTTTAGCAGTTGCTTGTCTGGATGTGCATAATTGTTTGGCTTAGTTCCTGGGTGCTTTCAGGGGGCCAAAGCTCTGTATGTGTTCCCTAGTTGTGGATACCTTCTGTGTGGCAGCTTTCTCAGATACTGTTTGTTGTAGCCATGTATTGGATGAATTAGCTTACATATATCGTTCAGGGCAG
The DNA here is from genome assembly GCF_000001405.40 of Homo sapiens. Lineage (NCBI taxonomy): Eukaryota > Metazoa > Chordata > Mammalia > Primates > Hominidae > Homo > Homo sapiens. Next base: position 50,862,311 of record NC_000003.12, read on the forward strand.
AGGATAGGGAGAACTCAGGAAACTTATCTAGCACCAAGCCCTTCGGGCAGCATATCTTTTATTTGGTGGTACAGTTCAGGCCGAAATCCAGAAGGTGGTGCTTAAGAGTAAGAGCTGGTTCTCCCTTAGGTAGGCTGATGGTAAGTGGAAGCACCTGCCTTGATGTGGGGTTGGTGGAAAGTGATCCTGTTGGAGTGTGCTTAAGTTCTTAGGGGAGGGGCTGAGGAGTGCATCAGCTCCTTGTCATTGTTCAGTGGGAATGCAGTCTGCTTCCCTATCATGACTTTGTTGCAGGACTCATGACCTTCACTTCATAAAGACTTTGTCTTTTTCATTCCTGGCTGCAGTGTGGCTGCAGGCTCTGGATATGCCCTTCTCATGGCTACCACCAAAATGAGCCCTGGGCACAGCCTTTCCCCCTAATCCAGAGCAGGCAACTCCATGAATTGGCTGTCCTTTATTGCCAGGACACTGCCATTTTGTGTAGGGAGGGGGAGTTGGACCCTTCCTTTCATGTAGGCCCAAGTGGCACGGACTCACATTCAGCAAGGGTGGAGCCACCATGAAAAGCACAAACCACAAACAACACTTTCTCCAAGTACACACGTGTCACCCTCCAGTGGGAAGAACTACTGCTGCTTCTGCAACAATCGATGGGAGCAGTTAGGGTGGGAGAGGGCCCATTCTCCACAGCCATTTCCGGGTGTTGGTGCTGGCCCCCGCAGTGATTGGCACTACTCCTATGTTTTATTTGTGCCAACGAGGGCTTTGGTGGGCTGCACTTCCCCCTCCCTTATGGGTGGCCCACACTGAGGGTTAGATCTCCAGGCATCCTGCAGCTTCCCAGGGACTTGATGGTTCTCTGTGTTTGTCAAAGTCACAGTGGATTGTAGGGTATATTTGCAGGGGATCTGGTGGTGCTGTGACTCAAGGGCAGAGAGTCCTTGGGCATGGTAGTGGCTTATGACAAGTGCCGAACCTGTATGGCATGGTCTGTCTCAGTTCAGGTCTGAGGGGAATGCAGATAGCCTGTGTGAGCTGGCTACCCGGTTCTTTGTGCTTGACAAGTTCCCAAATAATCACCAATAGCATAGCTCTGGGTTACAAGGGCAGAGGGTCTTTCCAACAGTTTGGTGATTCATAGAATGTTACAAGGGTGAGTGCAGCAGAGAAGTACTCCCACCTACCCTTTCCATGAGACTCCAGTTTTCCAGGGGTCGATCTTTGCTAGACTCTCGATGCTTTCCTTTTTGCATCCCATGTCCTTCCCATGGCTACTGTGACAAGTCCTGGCTACTTTTTCTCAGTTTTTCTTTTGGGATTTGTCCGTTCACCAGTAACTTTGGTCTTCTTTCTGAGAAGAGCTGGCACCTGACATCCCTGGTCAGCCATCTTGAGAACAAACAAACTCTGTGACTGTGTTATTTCACTTAACGTAATGATCACCGGTTCCATTTATGTTGCTGCAAATGACAGGATTTTATTTGTTTTTATCATTGAATAACATTCAGTTTTGTATATATACTATATTTTCTTTATCCCTTCATGTGTTGATGAACACTTAAGGTGATTTCACATCTTGGCTATTGCCAATAATGCTCCAATAAACGTAGGTGTGCAGCTCTATCGTCCACACACTCATTTCTTTTTCTTTGGATATGTACCAAGCAGGGGATTGCTGGATCATATGGTAGTCCTTTTTTAGTTTTTTGAGGAACCCCTATATTGTTTTCTATAATGGCTGTGTCACTTTACATTTCTGCCAACAGTGTATGTGCTTTTCTCTACATTTCTTGCCAGTATTTGTTATTTTTTGTCTTTCTAGTAATAGCTATTGTAACTAGGGTAAGATGGATATCTCATTGTAGTTTTTATTTACATTTTCCTGATTATTAGTGATATTGAGCATTGTTTAATATACCTGTTGCCATTTGTACATCTTTTGAGAAATGTCCATTCAGGTATTTTGTCCATTTTAAAATTGGATTTTTTTTCTTTTGCTATTGATTTGAGTTCTTCATATATTCTGGTTATTAATCTTTTGACAGATGGATAATTTGCAGATTATTTCCTTTCGTTCTGTAGGTTGTCTCTTCACTTTATTGATTGTTTGCTTTGAAGAACTTTAGTTTGATATAATCCCATTTATCTGTTTTTGCTTTTGTTGCCTGTGATTTTTCAGGGCTTCCCCAACAATTTTTGCTCAAACCAATGTCCTGTAGCATTTTTCTAATTTTGTTTTGTTTTAGTAGTTTAATAGTGCCAGGTCTTACATTTAAGTTTTTAATCCATTTTGAGTTGATTTTTGTATATGGTTGAAGATGGGGATCTAGTTTGGTTCTTCTGCATAGGGATATCCAGTTTTTGCAGCACCATTTATTAAAGGGACTCCTTTCTCCAATGTATATTCTTGGTTCCTTTGTTGAAAATGAATTGGCTGTTAAGTGTGTGGATTTATTTCTGAGTTCTCTATTCTGTTCTATTGATCTATGTGTGTTTTTATGCCAGTCATGCTGTTTTGGTTACTATAGCTTTGTAGTAGTATATTTTGAAGTCAGGTATTATGATGCGTCCAGGCTTGGTTTTTTTTTCCCAGCAGTAGCTATTTGGGGTCTTTTGTGGTTCCACATACATTTTAGGATTTTTTTTTTCCTTTCTGTGAGGAGTGTCAGAGGTTTTCTCTTTAATTTTTAATGTTTAATTTTGGGGGGTACATAGTAGATTTATATATTTATGGGGTAAATGAGATGTTTTGATACAGGCATGCAATGTGTAACAGTCATACCATGGAGAATGGGGTATCTATCCCCTCAAGCTTTTATCTTTTGTGTTACCAACAGTCTAATTATACTGTTTTAATTATTTTTAAATGTACAATCCAATTATTATTGACTGTAGTCACCATGTTGTGCTTTCAAATTTTAGGTCTGATACATTCTCCCTATTTGTTTATACACATTAACCATCTCCACCACACCCTCTGTTTCCCTATGACCCTTCCCACCCTCTGGCAACCATTCTTCTACTCTCTGTCTCCATGAGTTCTGTTGTTTTGGTTTTTAGATCCCAGAAATAGGTGATAACATGTGATGTTTGTCTTTCTGTGCCTGATTTATTTCACTTAACATAGTGATCTCTAGTTTCATCCATGTTGTTGCAAATAACAGGATCTTATTCTTCTTTATGACTGAATAGTACTCCATTGTATATGTGTACCACATTTTCTTTATCCATTTGTCTGTTGATAGATGCTTAGATTACTTCCAAATCTTGGCTGTTGTTAACAGTGCTGCAACAAACATGGGAGCGCATGTATCTCTTCGATATACTGATTTCCTTTCTTTTGGATATATAACCAGCAGTGGGATTGCTGGATCATATAGTAACTCTAGTTTTAGTTGTTGGAGGAACCTCCAAACTGTTCTCCATAGTGGTTGTACTAATTGACATTCCCACCAACAGCATGCAAGGGTTCCCTTTTCTCCACATCCTCATCAGCATTTGTTATTGTTTGTCTTTTGGATATAAGCCATTTTAACTGGGGTGAGATGATATTTCATTGTAGTTTTGGTTTGTATTTCTCTGATGATCAGTGATGTTGAGTACCATTTCATATGCCGGTTTTGCAGTTGGTATATTTTCTTTTGAGAAATGTGTGTTCAAATCTTTTGCCCATTTTTTGATCAGATTATTCGATTTTTTTCCTATAGAGTTGTTTGAGTTCCTTGTATATTCTAGTCATTAATATTTTCTCTTATTCTGTGGGTTGTTTGTTCATTTCGTTGATTGTTTCCTTTGCTGTGAAGAAGCTTTTTAACTTGATGTGATCCCGTTTGTCCATTTTTTCTTTTGTTGCCTGTCCTTTTGGGGCATTACTTAAGAATTTTTTGTCAGGGTCAGGCGCAGTGGCTCACACCTGTAATCCCAGCACTTTGGGAGGCTGAGGTGGGCAGATCACGAGGTCAGGAGATTGAGACCATCCTGGCCAACATGGTGAAATCCCGTCTCTACTAAAAATACGAAAATTAGCTGGGCGTGGTGGCATGTGCCTGTAATCCCAGCTACTCGGGAGGCTGAGGCAGAAGAATCCCTTGAACCAGGGAGTCAGAGGTTGTGGTTAGCTGAGATCATGGCACCGCACTCCAGCCTGGTGACAAAGCGAGACTCTTTTTTTTTTTTTTTTGAGACAAAGCTTTGACCAGACCAATGACCTGGAGAGTTTCCCCAAAATTTTCTTCTAGTAGTTTTGTAGTTTGAGGGTATATGCAAATCTTTCATCCATTTTGATTAGATATTTGTATATGGTGAGTGTTGGGGTCTAGTTTCATTCTGCATATGGATACTCAGGTTCCCCAGCACCATTTATTAAAGAGAATGTCTTTTCCTCAGTGTATGTTCTGGGCACCTTTGTTGAAAATGAGTTCACTGTAGTTGTGTAGATTTGTTTCTGGGTTCTCTATTGTGTTCCTTTGGTGTATATGTCTATATTTATGCCAATACCATGCTCTTTTGGTTACTATAGCTCTGTAGTATAATTTGAAGTCAGGTAATGTGATTCCACCAGACTTGTTCTTTTTCTTAGGGTAGCTAAGAAACAGCTATTCTGTTTCTTTTGTGGTTCCAAATATATTTTAGGATTGTTTTTTCTGTTTCTGTGAATAATGTCATTGGTATTTTAGTAGGGATTTCATTGAATCTGTAGATTTCTTTGGGAAGTATAAACACTTTAACAGCATTGATTCATCCAATCCATGAACATGGAATGTTTTTTATTTTTTGGCATCCCTCCAATTTCTTTAGTCAGTGTTTTATAGTTTTTATGATAGAAATCTTTCACTTCTTTGGTTACCTCATAGATTTAATTTTATGTGTGGTTATTGTAAAGAAAATTACTTTTTGAGTTTCTTTTTTAGATTGTTCATTGTTGGCATATAGAAATGCTACTGATTTTTGTATGTTCATTTTGTTGTCTGTGACTTTACTGAATTTATCAGTTCTAAAAGGTTTTTTTGTGTGGAGTCTTTAGGTTTTTCTAAATATGGGATTATATCATCTGCAAGGATAACTTGACTTTTTTCTTTCCAAATTGGATTCTCTGTGTTTTTTTCTGTTGTCTGATTGCTGTACCTAGGACTTCCAGTACTATGTTGAGAAACACTGAAAGTGGTCATCCTTGTAGTGTTTCAGATCTTAGAGGAAAGAAAGGCTTTCAGCTTTTCCACATTCAGTATTATACTAGCTGTGGGTCTGTTGTATATGGCCTTTATTATGTTGAGGTGTGTTCCTAGTTACCTGTTTTTTTTTTTTTTTAGGGTTTTTATCATGAAGGGATTTTGAACTTTATCAGATGCTTTTTCATAATCAATTGAAATGATCATATGGTTTTTGTCTTTTATTCTGTTGATAATGATGTATCACATTGATTTGTGTATGTTGAACCATCCTTCCATCCCAGGGATAAATCTTACTTGATCATGATGAATGATCTCTTTAATATATTGTTGAATTCATTTTGCTAGTATTTTGTTGAGGATGTTTGCATCAATGTTTATCAGAGATATTGGCCTGTAGTTTTCCTTTTTCATGTGTCATTGTTTGATTTTGGTATTAGAGTAATATTGGCCTTTGTAGAATGGTTTGGATGTATCCCCTCTTACTCTATTTTTTGGAATATTTAAAGAAGATTGGTATTAGTTCTTCTTTAAATGTTAGGTAGAATTCAGCAGTGAAGCCATTGGGTCCCAGGCTTTTCTTTACTGGGAGACTTCTTTTTTTTTTTTTTGAGATGGAGTCTCACTCTGTCGCCAGACTGGAGTGCAATGGCACAATCTTGGCTCACTACAACCTCCACCTCCCAGGTTCAAGCGATTCTCCTGTCTCAGCCTCCTGAGTAGCTGGGATTACAGGCACGTGCCACCACACCCAGCTAATTTTTGTATTTTTAGTAGAGACAGGGTTTCACCATGTTGGCCAGGATGGTCTCAATCTCCTAACCTCGTGATCCGCCCACCTCGGCCTTCCAAAGTGCTGGGATTACAGGCGTAAGGCACCATGCCCGGCCTGCTTTTGTTTTTTCTTTGGAGACAGGATCTCACTCTGTCATCCATTCTGGAGTGTGGTGGCATGTTTATGGCTTACTTCAGCTTCAACCTCCCTGGGCTCAAGCATTTCTCATACCTCAGATCCCCAAGTAGCTGGGACTACAGGCACACACCATCACACCCGGCTAATTTTTGTATATTTTGTAGAGTCAGAGTTTCACCATTTTCCCCAGGCTGGTCTGAAACTCCTGGGCTCAAGTGATCCACCTGCCTCAGCTTCCCAAAGTGCTGAGATTATAGGTGTGAGCCACTGCACCAGGCTGACTTTTTATTATGGCTTTTATCTTGTTACTGGTCTTTTCAGGTTTTGGATTTCTTTATTGTTTAATATTGGTAAGTTGGATGTCTAGGAATTTGTCCATTTCTTCTAGATTTCCCAATTTATTGGCATTGGCATATACTTGCTCACAGTAGCCACTAATGATCCTTTGTTTTTCTGCAGTGTCAGTTGTAATGTTTCATCCCTGATTTTATTTATTTGGATAATCTGTTTTTTTTTTTTTTTTTTTTTTTTTGGTCTGACTAAAAGTTTGTCGGTTTTGTTTAACTTTTCAAAAAACCAACTCTTTTTTTTTTTTTTTGAGGTGGAGTCTCGCTCTGTCGCCCAGGCTGGAGTGCAGTGGCTTGATCTCGGCTCACTGCAAGCTCTGCCTCCCGGGTTCACGCCATTCTCCTGCCTCAGCCTCCTGAGTAGCTGGGACTACAGGCACCTGCCACCACGCCTGGCTAATTTTTTGTGTTTTCAGTAGAGACGGGGTTTCACTGTGTTAGCCAGGATGGTCTGGATCTCCTGACCTCATGATCTGCCCACCTTGGCCTCCCAAAGTATTGGGATTACAGGCGTGAGCCGCTGCGCCCAGCCAAAACCAACTCTTTTTTCATTTTTTAAAATTGTTTTCTTTATTTCAATTTTATTTATTTCTGCTGGGAATTTTTTTTTTTTTTTTTTTTTTTTTTTTTTTTTTTTTTTTTTTTTTTTGGAGATAGGGTCTCAGTGTCACTCAGGCTGGAGTCAGTGGTGTGATCTCAGCTCACTGCAACCTCTGCCTGCTAGGCTCAAGTGATTCTCCCACCTCAGCCTCCCGAGTAGCTGGGACCACAGGTATGTGCTGCCATGCCCAGCTAATTTCTTGTGTTTTTGGTAGAGATGGGGTTTTGCCGTGTTGGCCAGGCTGGTCTCAAACTCCTGAGAGCAAGTGATCCACCTGTTTTGGCCTCCGAAAGTGCTGGGATTACAGGTGTGAGCCACCATGTGCGACCTGATCTTTATTATTTTTCTTCTACTGATTTTGGGTTTGATTTGCTCGCTTTGCTAGTCCTTTAAGATGGATTGTTAGATTATTCATTCAGAGTTTTTCTTCTTTATTGATGTAGGTACTTATACCTGTAAACTTCCATCGAAGTACTGCTTTTGCTGTATTTTTCTTTCCAGAAATTTGTCATTTTTTAAAAATTACTTCACTGATCCACTGGTCATTCAAGAGCATGTTGTTTTATCTGCATACATTTGTATAGTTTCAACAAGTCTTTTTGTTATGATTTCTAGTTTTATTCCATTGTGGTCAAAGAAGATGCTTAATATTGTTTCCATTTTTAAAATATTGTAAGAGTTGTTTTGTGATCTAGTTTGTCCCTGAGAATGATCCATGTGCTGAGGAAGAGAATGTATATTCTGCAGCCTTTGCATGAAATGTTCTGTAAATATCTATTCGATTCATTTCATCTGTAGTGCAGATTAAATCTGATGTTTCTTTGTTGATTTTCTGCCTGGAAGATATCTCCAGTACTGAAAGTGGGGTGTTGATGTCTCCAGCTATTATGGTATTAAAGTCTATCTTTCTCTTTTGCTCTAATAATATTTGGTTGGTATATTTGTGTTCTCCAGTGTTGGTTGCACATATACTTAAAATTGTTATATTCTGTTACTGAATTGACACTTTATTGTTATATAGTGTACTTCTTCAACTCTTCTTATAATTTTTGTCTTGAAATCTATTTTGTCTAAGTATAGCCACTTCTACTCTTTTTTGGTTTCCATTGGTATGGAATATCTTTTTTCATGTTTTTATTTTTAGTCCACATGTGCCTTTATAGGGTAAGAGTGCTTCTTGTAAGCAAAAAATCATTGGGTTTTGCGTTTTCGTTTATTCAACTGTGCTATATCTTTTGATTGGAGAGTTTAGTCCCTTTCCATTCAGCATTATTATTGATAAGTAAGGACTTATTCCTGTTCTTTTGTTATTTGTTTTCTGGTTGTTTTGTTGTCTTCTCTTTTTTCTTTCTTTCCATTCTATCTTCTTTTTTGTGAAGATATTTTTCTGTGGTGATATGATTTAATTTTTTGCTTTTTTGGATCTCATGTATTTTTTGTTGTTTGTGATTACCATGAGGCTTGCAAATACTACCTTATTATCCATTATTTTTAGCTGATAACAGCTTAACACTGTTAGCATAAACATACAAGCAAAAAGAAAACTTAGAAAAACTTCACTTTAATTCCCCTGCTTTTCAACTTTTTATTGTTTCTTTTTATATTTTATTGTACTGCCTATCCTGAATAGTTGTAGTTATTATTTTTTGTGGGTTAATCATTTTGTCTTTCTACTTAGGATAAGAGTAGTTTACACACTGCAGTTACAGTTTTATATATAATATTCTGTATTTTTCTGTATACTTAGTATTACCGATGAGTTTCGTACCTTCAGATGATTACTCGTTGCTTGTCGTCATCCTTTTTCTTTCTGATTGAAGTACTCCCTTTAGCATTTTTTGTAGGACAGGTCTGGTGTTAATGAAATCCCTCTGCTTTTGTTTATCTGGGAAAGTCTTTATTTCTCCTTCATGTTTTAAGTGTATTTTCCCTGGATACATTATTCTTGGGTAAAAGTTTTTTTTTTTTTTCTTCAGCACTTTAAATATGTTATGCCACTCTTCTTGCCTGTAAGGTTTCCATGGAAAAGTTTGTTGTTAGACATGTTGGAGCTCCATTGTATGTTAGTTATTTGCTTCTTTTCTCCTGCTGCTTTTAGGATCCTTTTTTTAATCCTTGATCTTCGTGAGTTTGATTATTAAATGTCTTGAGGTAGTCCTCTGTGGGTTAAATTTTCTTGGTGTTCTGTAACCTTCTTGAACTTGGATATTGATGTCTCTCGCTATGTTTGGAGGGTTCTCTGTTATTATTTCTTTTAGTGAAGTTCTGAACCCTATTTCTTTCTCTACCTCCTCTTTAATGCCAACTCTCAGATTTGCTCTTTTGAGGCTATTTTCTAAAACCTGTCATCTTGCTTGTTTTTTATTCTTTTAACTTTTGTCTCCTTTGTGTATTTTCAAATAGCCTGTCTTAAAGCTCACTAATTCTTTCTTGTGCTTGATTCATTCTGCACAATGAGTCATTCTTGATTCAACAGACTCTGGTGCATTATTCAGTACATCAGTTGCATTTTTCAACTCCAGAATTTTGGCTTGATTATTTTAAATTATTTCGATCTCTTTGCTAAATTTACCTGATAGAATTCTGGATTTCTTTTCTGTGTTATCTTGAATTTCTTTGAGTTTACTAAAAACAGCTATTTTGAGTTCTCTGTCTGAAAGATCATATATCTCTGTTTCTCTAGATTTGGTTCCTGGTGCCTTATTTAGTTTATTTGGTAAGGCCATATTTTCCTGGATATGGTCTTGATACTTGTAGAGTTTTGTCTGTGGTAGGCATTGAAGAGTTAGTTATTTAAGGTAGTCTTTGAGTTAGTTATTTGTTGAGCTTGTTTGTCTTTCTTAGGAAGGCCTTCCAGATATTCAGAGGGACTTGGATGTTGTGATTTAAGCTGTGTCTGCTTTAGGGGGGACCCCAAGTCTAGTTAATGCTGTGGTTTTTTCAGACTTGTAGAGGGACCACCTTGATGGTCTTGGACAATATCTGGAAGAATTCTCTGTATTACCAGACAGAGACTCTTGTTCTCTTCTCTTACTTTCTGCCAAACAAGCAGTCTCTCTCTCTGTTTCGAGTCACCTGAAGCTGGAGTTTGAGTGACACAAGCACCTCTGTGGTCACCACCACTAGGACTGTGCTGGGTCAGACCTGAAGCCAGGTCTCACTGGGTCTCACCCAAGGCCTGTTGTAACCACTCCCGGGCTACCATATATGTCTGTTCAAGGCCCTGGAGCTCTAGAATGAGCAGCTGGCAAAGCCAGTCAGGTCTGTGTCCTTCCCTTCAGGGTACTGAGTTTCCCCAGTTCCTGGGTGAGTTTAGAGGTGATATCTAGGAGCCAGGGACTAGAGTCAAAAACCTTAGAAGTCTACCTTATGTTCTCTTGTACCATAGCTGAGCTGGCACCAAAACCACAAGACACCATCCTTCCCCTTCTTTCCTCCCCTTTCCGAAGGCAGAGGAGCCTCATCCTGTGGCTCCTGCCATCACAGGCCCACGGGGCCTACTGCCAGACTACCACCAATATTTTAAGGCCAAGAGCTCTTCAGTCAGCTTGTGGTGACTCTTTCCTGGCCTGGGAATCACCTTCATGGCAGTGGGCTCCTCCCTGGTCCAGGACAGGTCCAGAAATGCAGTCCAAGAGCCAAGTCCTGGAATCAGGGACCCAAGAGCCTGCTTTGTTCTGTACCCACCCATGACCACGCTGGTTCCTAAGGTGCAAGAGAAAGCCTTGTTTCCTTTTCCCCTCCACTTGTCTCAGGCAGAAGGCTTGCCCGGTAGCCAACACAGCTGGAAATGTGCTGAGTTTCCCCCGAAGCCAGCAAGTCTCAGATTCTCACCCAAGACCCTTGATGTAATACCTGGGTATCACTCCTGGTTATTCAGGGCCCCAGGGGCTCTTTAGGTAGCAGATGATGAATTTTGCTAGGATTTTGCCCTTCCCTTCAAGGCAGCAGGTTCCCTTCTGGGCCAGGGTATGTCTAGAAATGTCATCTGGGAGCTAGGGCCTGGAAAGGGGACCTCATGACCTCACGACTCTGAGCAGTGCCTTATCCTGCTGTGACTGAGCTGGTATCCAAGATGCCAGACAAAGTCTTCTTCACTGTTTCCTCTCCTCTCCTCACACAGAAGGAAGGGGTCTGTTGGAGCTGCAAGCTGTACAGCCTGGGGTTAAGGGAGAGGTGATGCCAGCACTTTCTTAGCTACCCTAGCTGTTATCTCATTAGATTGTGTGTTCCCTAATCCACTGGCTCAGGGCCTGGTTCACCACTGGGACTCACCTAGGAGTTACAGTCCTTGTGGCCTAAACTGCCTTTTAAATTTATTTAGAGCCCCAGAGCCTTTAGCCTGAGGTGGTGAGACTTTCAGGAACTCAAGTTCCAATCACTGAGATCAGCTATTCTCCTCTGCCTAGGGCTGGTTTAAATGCTTTCTTCATGGGCACACATCAGCCAAATTTATTCTGGTTTTTATTTCTGCTCTAATGGAACAGCTTTGAGTTCAGTGCCTCCCAATTTCCGCGCTGTTTCTCCCCCAGCATACAGAATTGTTTTCTGCACTATGCAGTAGCTGCTATGGGTTGGGGGAAGGGTGATGTCTGTGATTCAAAACTGTTTTTTCTACTTCTTCATTTTCTCTTTCAGTAATGTAAAGTTAAAATCGGATGCTGTAAGTACTTGCCTGAGTTTTGGTTTTCATGAAGGTGTTTTTTTTTTTTTCTTTTCTTTTGTTTTTTTTTTTTTTGTTAAATTGTTGTACTCTTAGTGGGGTGATCAGTGGAGCTTTCTATTTCAGCATCTTGCTCCATCTTTTTCTCCTGTCATTGGTATTTTGATAGGAATTGCATTAAATGTATAGATTGCTTTGGGAAGTATAGATATTTTGCTGAATGTGATAGGTCACACCTGTAATCTCAGCACTTTGGGAGGCTGAGGTGGGAGGGTCACTAGAGCCCAGAAGTTCGAGACCAGCCTAAGCAAGATGGCAAGACCGTATGTCTGCAAAAAATTAAAAGAAAAAATTAGCTGGGCATGGTGGGTGTATTTGTAGTCCCAGCTACCTGGGAGGCTGAAGCAGGAGGATCCCTTGAGCCTAGGAGTTTAAGGCTGCAGTGAGCTAATTGTTCTACTGCACTCCAGCCTGGTGATGAAATGGGACCCTGTATCTTAGAAATAAATAAAGAAAAAAAAAAACAAAAAAAGTATAGGCATTTTAACAATATTAATTATTCCAATCCATGAATCTGGCATACCTTTCCATTTATTTTGTGTCCTTTTCAGTTTCTTTCATTAGTGTTTTGTAGTTTTTCTTGTAGAGATATTCCACTTATTTGGTTAAATTTATTCCTAAGTATTTTATTTTATTTTTGGTAGCTATTGTAAATCAGATTGCCTTTTTGATTTTTCACTGGTAGTATATGTAAATGCTACTGATTTTTGTATGTTGAGGTTGTATGCTGCAACTTTACTGAATACGTTTTTCAGTTCTAAGCTTTTTTGTGGTGGAGTCTTTAGGTTTCTCTAAATATAAGATCATTGTGGCCATAAAAAAGAATGAGTTCATGGGCTTTGCAGGCACACGGATGAAGCTGGAAGCCATCATTCTTAGCAAACTAACACAGAAACAGAAAACCAAACACCACACGTTCTCACTCATAAGTGGGAGTTGAACAATGAGAACACATGGACACAGGGAGGGGAACGTCACACACCGGAGTTGTGGGGGAGGGGTGGGAGAGCATTAAGACAAATACCTAAAGCATGCGGGGCTTCAAACCTAGATGACGAGTTGATAGGTGCAGCAAACCACCATGGCACATGTATGCCTATGTAACAAACCTGCACGTTCTGCACATGTATCCCAGAACTTAAAGTAAAATTAAAAAAAAAATTATGTTGTCTGCAAACAAGGATAATTTGGCTTTTAAAATTCCAGTTTGGGTACCCTTTCACTTGTTTCTCTTGCCTGTTTGTGCTGGCTAAGACTTGTAGTACTATGTTAAATAAAAGTGGTGGAAGTCTTATCTTTGTCTTGTTTGAGATCTCTTTGGAAAGACTTTCAATTTTTCCCTGTTCCTTCAGTATGATATTAGCTATGGGTTTGTTATATGTGGCCATTATTGTGTTCAGGTAAATTCCTTCCATACCCAGTTTGTTTAGAGGTTTTATCATGAAGGAATTTTGAACTTTATCAAATGCTTTTTCAGCACCCATTGAAATGATGATATGGGTTTTGTCTCTGATTTTGTTGATGTGATATATCATGTTTATTGATTTTCACATGTTCAACCATCCTTGATTCCCTGGGATGAATCCCACTTGATCACGATGAATGATGTTTTTGATATGTTGTTGAATTTGAGTATTTAATATTTTGTAGAAGATTTTTGCATTTATATTCATCAGGATTATCGGCCTATAGTTTTCTTGTTTGTTGTGTCCCTGTCTGATTTTGGTATCAGAGCAGTGCTTGCCTCATAGAATGAAGTTGCAATCATCTCTTCCTCTTTAATTTTTGAATTAAAAAAAAAAAAACAACTGTTGTGTTTTGAGAGTCTTCGCCTGTTCGCTGTTGAGATAATATGAAACATTTTCATGATATATTGAACAAGAACAGAGCTGAATAATCCAGCTCTACTGGAGCATTAAAAAAAATTCTTTACCATCGTGTAAGGTTTAAATGCAACTGACAAGAGGGTGCATGCTATGTAAAACATAATAAGATTACTGCTGCTATACCAAGTATTTCCAGTCTGTTTCTGAGAAACAGAACCTGTTCCTCAGGTTCTGTTGAAATACTGGAATATCAATATTTTTATCAGAATTATTCATGTTAAAAAACCATTTAAAAAGAGAAATCAAAATTCCTCAGTAGTCATGTATTCAACTCAAGCTTTATCTACTTAAATTAGTTTTATTTGCCTCCCATTTGTAAACCTGTGTTTCACTAAAACCAGAGCAATAAATCTTCCATACTTAAGTATCTTTCTTGCCTAATAAAGGAAAAATACAAAATGATTATTAAAGAAAAATATATGAACTAACAAATCCTTTTGTTTTAAATATTTTAAGGTTTAAAATATTTAGTATTTTATTCAGTATAAATATTTAGTGAATAAATATTTAGTATTTTATTATAGTTTGTAATTTCTAGCAGGAACACATGATTTGAATGAATATCCTAATGGCAAACCACAGTAAAATATTCAGCTGCATTTGGGGAAGAGGGGTAGAGATGATCTTGAAAGCCTTCTAGTTGTCTTGATCAGAGGTACACCGGTTTGTATTATTGTAACATTTATTAGGTGATCTAGTTTGCTTTTCCTTCACCTAGGGCCTTTTACTTGTCCAAAGGACATTTTCCTTCACTTTAAAAATTTGGCTGACAATTTACTGATGAGATTCATAATTTTTTTGGTTACTCTGGTGTTTTGACATATTTGCTGTGTTCTGGGCCACATCCTAGAAGATCACTGTAACTTCTGTTTCCTGCATGGCTGCAAGAACCTCTAGGTCAAGCTTGTCCAACTCATGGGCCATATGCAGCCCAGAACAGTTTTGAATGTGGCCCAACACAAATTTGTAAATTTTCTTAAAACATTATGAGATTTTTTGCAATTTTTTTAAAAAGCCCATCAGCTCTCGTTAGTGTTACTGTATTTTATGTGTGGCCCAAGACAATTCTTCTTTGAGTGTGGTCCAGGGAAGCCAAAAGATTGAACACTCCTGCTCTAAATCACTAAGAATTTCATTGCATCCAGGCATTTCTGCCATTCTAGGCATTGCTCCAGGAAAATTACCAGGCATTCCCCCTGGGAAAGCCACCTGGAAAAGAGCCATACTGAGCTCCTGAATGTCATCTGGCTTCTTTCTCCCTCTGAGCTCTCTCATGATCTTACGGAGCCTTCTTAACCCTTTTTATTCTTTCTTTGATTTCTTACTCTTGATATTTCTATTCAACCTTTTTCTAATGTTGTGCAATTTTCTTGGCCCTCAGTTGAACTTCTTTCAGCATTGTACTAGTATCTTCATCATAATCCAGTTATGGTCAGGGTCAAGATTATAGCTGCTTCTTTCCAATGGCCCAGAAATCTGTGTGCTTTCCCTCACCACTTATAAGGCTGAGCCAAATCAGAATTTATTTCATTTGTTCTGTCAGTCTCGAATGGCAGTGTTTGGCTTCTGTAATGTGATGAAGATACTGACTGTGTTGACATACAGAATGGTCAAGCGAGGATTCAGCTTGATGGCATCTCTGAACAAGACAGTGGCTTTCTGTAGTGCACCATTATCTAGGGCTTCAATGGCAGCCACTTTTTCTTTTCTTTTCTTTTCTTTTCTTTTCTTTTTCTTTTTTATGTTGGAGTCTCGCTGTGTCACCAGGCTGGAGTGCAGTGGCGTGATCTCAGCTCACTGCAACCTCCGCCTCCTGGGTTCAAGCAATTCTCCTGCCTCAGCCTCCTGAGTAGCTGGGATTACAGGCCTGCACCACCACGCCTGGCTAACTGGGAGTAACCTAACTGGGAGACATCTCCCAATAGAGGCTGACTGACACCAAATACAGCCAGGTGCCCCTCTGAGACGAAGCTTCCAGAGGAAGGATCAGGCAGCAACATTTGCCGTTCTGCAATATTTGCTGTTCTGCAGCCTCCGCTGGTGATACCCAGGCAAACAGTGTCTGGAGTGGACCTCCAGCAAACTCCAACAGACCTGCAGCTGAAGGTCCTGACTGTTAGAAGGAAAACTAACAAACAGAAAGGACATCCACACCAAAACCCCATCTGTACGTCACCATCATCAAAGATCAAAGGTAGATAAAACCACCAAGATGGGGAGAAACCAGAGCAGAAAAGCTGAAAATTCTAAAAATCAGAGCGTCTCTTCTCCTCCAGAGGAATGCAGCTCCTCGCCAGCAATGAAACAAAGCTGGAAGGAGAATGACTTTGATGAGTTGAGAGAAGAAGGCTTCGGACGATTGGTAATAACAAACTTCTCCGAGCTAAAGGAGGATATTTGAACCCATTGCAAAGAAGCTAAAAACCTTGAAAAAAGATTAGATGGGTGGCTAACTAGAATAAACAGTGTAGAGAAGACCTTAAATGACCTGATGGAGCTGAAAACCATGGCACGAGAACGATGTGACGCATGCACAAGCTTCAGTAGCTGATTTGATCAAGTGGAAGAAAGGGTATCAGTGATTGAAGATCAAATTAATGAAATGAAGCAAGAAGAGAAGTTTAGAGAAAAAAGTAAAGAGAAACGAACAAAGCCTCCAAGAAATATGGCACTATGTGAAAAGACCAAATCTGTGTCTGATTGGTGTACCTGAAAGTGACAGGGAGAATGAAACCAAGTTGGAAAACACTCTGCAGGATATTAACCAGGAGAATATCCCCAAGCTAGCAAGGCAGGCCAACATTCAAATTCAGGAAATACAGAGAACACCACAAATATACTCCTCGAGAAGAGCAACTCCATGACACATAATTGTCAGATTCATCAAAGTTGAAATGAAGGAAAAAATATTAAGGGCAGCCAGAGAGAAAAGTCGGGTTACCCACAAAGGGAAGCCCATCAGACTAACAGCAGATCTCTCGGCAGAAACTCTACAAGCCAGAAGAGAGTGGGGGCCAATATTCAACATTCTTAAAGAAAAGAATTTTCAACCCAGAATTTCATATCCAGCCAAACTAAGCTTCATAAGTGAAGGAGAAATAAAATCCTTTACAGACAAGCAAATGCTGAGAGATTTTGTCACCACCAGGCCTGCCTTACAAGAGCTCCTGAAGGAAGCACTAAACATGGAAAGGAACAAATGGTACTAGCCACTGCAAAAACATGCCAAATTGTAAAGACCATCGATGCTAGGAAGAAACTGCATCAATTAACGAGCAAAATAACCAGCTAACATCATAATGACAGGATCAAATTCACACCTAACAATATTCACTTTAAATGTAAATGGGCTAACTGCTCCAATTGAAAGACACAGACTGGCAAATTGCATAAAGAGTCAAGACCCATCAGTGTGCTATATTCAGGAGACCCATCTCAGGTGCAGAGACACACATAGGCTCAAAATAAAGGGATGGAGGAAGATTTACCAAGCAAATGGAAAACAAAAAAAAGGAAGGGGTTGCAATCCTAGTCTCTGATAAAACAGACTTTAAACCAACAAAGATCAAAAGAGACAAAGAAGGGCATTACATAATGGTAAAGGGATCAATTCAACAAGAAGAGCTGACCAGCCTAAATATATATTCACCCAGTACAGGAGCACCCAGATTCATAAAGCAAGTCCTTAGAGACCTACAAAGAGACTTAGACTCCCAAACAATAATAATGGGAGACTTTTAACACCCCACTGTCAACATTAGACAGATCAACGAGACAGAAAGTTAACAAGGATATCCAAGAATTGAACTCAGCTCTGCACCAAGTGGACCTAATAGACATCTAGAGAACTCTCCACACCAAATCAACAGAATATACATTTTTCTCAGCACTACATCACACTTATTCCAAAATCAACAACATAGTTGGAAGTAAAGCACTCCTCAGCAAATGTAAAAGAATAGAAATTATAACAAACTGTCTCTCAGACCACAGTGCAATCAAACTAGAACTCAGGATTAAGAAACTCACTCAAAACCACTCAACTACATGGAAACTGAACAACCTGCTCCTGAATGACTGCTGGGTACATAACAAAGTGAAGGCAGAAATAAAGATGTTCTTTGAAACCAATGAGAACAAAGACACAACATACCAGAATCTCTGGAACACATTTAAAGCAGTGTGTAGAGGGAAATTTATAGCACTAAATGCCCACAAGAGAAAGCAGGAAAGTTCTAAAAGTGGCACCCTAACATCACAATTGAAAGAACTAGAGAAGCAAGAGCAAACACATTCAAAAGCTAGCAGAAGGCAAGAAATAACTAAGAGCAGAACTGAAGGAGATAGAGACACAAAAAACCCTTCAAAAAATCAATGAAGCCAGGAGCTGGTTTTTTGAAAAGATGAACGAAATTGATAGACCACTAGCAAGTCTGATAAAGAAGAAAAGAGAGAAGAATCAAATAGATGCAATACAAAATGATAAAGGGGATATCACCGCCGATCCCACAGAAATACAAACTACCATCAGAAAACACTGTAAACACCTCTACGCAAATGAGCTAGAAAATCTAGAAGAAATGGATAAATTCCTGGATATATACACCCTCCCAGGACTAAACCAGGAAGAAGTTGAATCCCCGAATAGACCAATAACAGGTTCTGAAATTGAGGCAATAATTAATAGCCTACCAACCAAAAAAAGTCCAGGACCAGACAGATTCACAGCTGAATTCGACCAGAAGTACAAAGAGGAGCTGGTACCATTCTTTCTGAAACTATTCCAATCAACGGAAAAAGTGGGAATCCTCCCTAATTCATTTTATGAGGCCAGCATCATCCTGATACCAAAGCCGGGCAGAGACACAACCAAAAAAGAGAATTTTAGACCAATATCCTTGATGAACATTGATGCAAAAATCCTCAATAAAATACTGGCAAACTGAATCCAGCAGCGAATCAAAAAGCTTATCCACCATGATCAAGTGGGCTTCATCCCTGGGATGCAAGGCTGGTTCAACATATGCAAATCAATAAATGTAATCCATCACATAAACAGAACCAAAGACAAAATCCACATGATTATCTCAATAGATGCAGAAAAGGCCTTCGACAAAATTCAACAGCCCTTCATAATAAAAACTCTCAATAAACTAGGTATTGATGGGATGTATCTCAAAATAATAAGAGCTATTTATGACAAACCCACAGCCAATGTCATACTGAATGGGCAAAAACTGGAAGCATTCCCTTTGAAAACTGGCACAAGACAGGGATGCCCTCTCTCACCACTCCTATTCAGCATAGTGTTGGAAGTTCTGGCCAGGGCAATCAGGCAAGAGAAAGAAATAAAGGGTGTTCAATTAGGAAAAGAGGAAGTCAAATTGTCCCTGTTTGCAGATGACATGATTGTATATTTAGAAATCTCAGCCCAAAATCTCCTTAAGCTGATAAGCAACTTCAGCAAAGTCTCAGGATACAAAATCAATGTGCAAAAATCACAAGCATTCCTGTACACCAGTAACAGACAGAGAGCCAAATCATGAGTGAACTCCCATTCACAATTGCTTCAAAGAGAGTAAAATACCTAGGAATCCAACTTACAAGGGATGTGAAGGACCTCTTCAAGGATAACTACAAACCACTGCTCAACGAAATAAAAGAGGACACAAACAAATGGAAGAACATTCCATGCTCATGGGTAGGAAGAATCAATATCGTGAAAATGGCCATACTGCCCAAGGTAATTTATAGATTCAATGCTGTCCCCATCATGTGACCAATGCCTTTCTTCACAGAATTGGAAAAAACTACTTTAAAGTTTATATGGAACCAAAAAGGAGCCCGCATTGCCCAGACAATCCTCAGCCAAAAGAACAAAGCTGGAGGCATCATGCTACCTTATTTCAGACTATACTACAAGTCTACAGTAACCAACACAGCATGGTACTGGGACCAAAACAGAGATATAGACCAATGGAATAGAATAGAGCCCTCGGAAATAATACCACACGTCTACAACCATCTGCTCTTTGACAAACCTGACAAAGACAAGCAATGGGGAAAGAATTCCCTATTTAATAAATGGTGCTCGGAAAACTGGCTAGCCATACATAGAAAGCTGAAACTGGATCCCTTCCTTACACCTTTTACAAGAATTAATTCAAGATGGATTGAAGACTTAAACCTTAGACCTAAAACCATAAGAACCCTAGAAGAAAACCTAGGCAATACCATTCAGGATATAGGCATGGGCAAGGACTTCATGATTAAAACAACAAAATCAGTGGCAACAAAAGCCAAAATAGACAAATGGGATCTAATTAAACTAAAGAGCTTCTGCACAGCAAAAGAAACTACCATCAGAGTGAACAAGCAACTTACAGAATGGGAGAACAGTTTTACAATCTACCCATCTGACAAAGGGCTAATATCCAGAATCTACAAAGAACTTAAACAAATTTACAAGAAAAAATCAAACAACCCCATCAAAAAGTGGGCAAAGGCTATGAACAGACACTTCTCAAAAGAAGACATTTATGCAGCCAACAGACACGTGAAAAAATGCTCATCATCACTGGCCATCAGAGAAATGCAAATCAAAACCACAATGAGATCCCATCACACACCAGTTAGAATGGCGATCATTAAAAAGTCAGGAAACAACAGGTATTGGAGAAGTTGTGGAGAAATAGGAGCACTTTTACACTGTTGGTGGGACTGTAAACTAGTTCAACCATTGTGGAAGACAGTGTGGAGATTCCTCAGGGGTCTAGAACTAGAAGTAACATTTGACCCAGCCATCCCATTACTGGACATATACCCAAAGGATTATAAATCATGCTGCTATAAAGACACATGCACACATATGTTTATTGCAGCACTATTCACAATAGCAAAAACTTGTAACCAACCCAAATGTCCATCAATGATAGACTGGATTAAGAAAATGTGGCACATATACACCATGGAATACTATGCAGCCATGAAAAAGGATGAGTTCATGTCCTTTGGAGGGAGATGGATGAAGCTGGAAACCATCACTCTGAGCAAACTATTGCAAGGACAGAAAACCAAACACTGCATGTTCTCACTCATAGGTGGGAATTGAACCATGAGAACACTTGGACACAGGGTGGGGAACATCACACACCAGGGCCTGTCGTGGGGTGGGGGAATGGGGGAGGGATAGCATTGGGAGATATACCTAATACAAATGATGAGTTAACAGGTGCAGCACACCAACATGGCACATGTATACATATGTAACAAACCTGCACGTTGTGCACATGTACCCTAGAACTTGAAGTATTAAAAAAAAAAGGCCATTTTGCTAGATATCTGTGAATGGCAAATAATCACGCACAAGGAGAAGTTTTTTCTTTATAAAAAAAAATGTTTGCTTCAACCATCAAACCTAATTAAGAAAATTCAAGAGAAAAATGAATGTCTATTATATTTACCCATGGGTTTGCTTACATTTTTTGTTTTTTCTTAGTGTAGTTCCATGGTTTTTTGTTTTATCATTTTCTTTCTGCTTAGAGAATTTTCATTCACTACTTTTTTTTAGGGTATTTCTGTTGATGACAAATTCTTTTTGTTTTCCTTCATCTGAAAATGTTTTGATTTGTCTTCCATTCCTGAAATGTATTTTTGGTAGATATAATATTCTAGATTGACAGTGCTTTTCTTTCAGCATTTGACAAATGTGCCACTTCCTTCTGTCTTCTATATTTTCATTGAAAATTATAGAAATTTGTATTTTAAATATTTTATACTTATTTTTCAAAAATCTAGAATGTAAAATACACATAACGTTTACCATGAGTGACATTTAGTACATGCATAATGTTTTACAAACATCACCATTATTATGTTTCAAAATGTTTTCATTTCCACAAACAGAAACTTCCAAGCCCATTAAGTGGCCATACTTTTTCATCCTCCTGCTGCTGACAACCATATGACTTCTTTCTGTCTCTGTGTATTTGCCTATTCTGAATATTTCATGTAAATGAAATTATATAATAGGTGTCTTTTGCATCTGCCTTCTTTCATTCAGCATAATGTTTTCTGAGTTCATTCATGTACGTTCCTTTTTATGGCTGAATAAGATTTCACTGCAAGTATATACCATTCTTTTTTTTTTTTTTTAATTTTTGATATGGAGTCTCGCTCTTTCAGGCTGGAGTGCAGTGGCGCCATCTCGCCTCACTGCAAACTCTGCCTCCTGGGTTCAAGCGATTCTCCTGTCTCAGCCTCCTGATTAGCTAGGATTACAGGCATCCACCACCACGGCCAGCTAATTTTTGTAGTTTTAGTAGAGACAGGATTTCGCCATGTTGGCAAAGCTGGTCTTGAACTCCTGACCTCAGGTGATTTGCCCGCCTTGGCCTCTCAAAGTGCTGAGATTACAGGCATGAGCCACCATGCCTGGCTGGATATATACCATTCAATAATATGAACAGCTCATTTATTTATCAGTTGATAGACATCTGGGTTGTAAACAGCTTTTGGCTATTGTAACTGGTGCTGCTGTCTTTTATGGTTTTGATGAAAAATCTGCTGATAATTCAGATAGGTTTTTTTCACTATAGGTAAGGTGTTGTTTCTCTCTTGTCAATTTTTTTCTTTGCCCATGGTATTCCAAAGTGACTATGTTGTAACTTGTGTATTTCCTTGGTTTTCTTCCTGCTTGGGATTCATTCAGCTTCTTGAATGTGTACGTTTATGTCTTTTTCCAAATTTGGAAAGTTTTGTGTCATTTTTAAAATTTTACATTTCAAATTAGACTTTTTTTTTTAAAGAGTTTTAGGTTTCCAAAAACATTGTGCAGAAAGTACAGGGTTTTCCTCCCCGCCCCCCACAGTTTTCCTATTATTAATATCCTGCATTAGTGTGGAACATTTGTTATAATGGATGAACCAGTATTGATACACTATTAATATTATTTGTTATTGACATTAGGGTTTACTCTTTGTGTTGTACCATCCTAAGGGTTTTACCAAATGCACAATGTCATGTAGCTATCATTACGGTACCATACAGAATAGTTTCACTGTCCTAACAATGTCCTTGTGTGCCACCTGTTCATCCTTTCCCACTTCCCCTAGGAACCTTGGCAACAACTGTGTTTTTTACTGTCTCTATGGTTTTGCTTTTTCTAGAATATCATATAGGTGGAGTCATACAGTATGTGGCCTTTCAGATTGATTTCTTTCACTTAGCAATATGCAGTTAATGTTTTCCCCATGTTTTTGTGGCTTTGTAGCTCATTTCTTTTTATTGCTGAATCATATTTCATTGTATGGATGTGCTACAGTTTGCTTATCCATTCACCTGTTGAAGGACATCGTAGTTTCTTCCAAGTCTTGGCATTTATGAAGAAAAATGGTATAAGCTTTTGTATGCAGTTTTTTTTTTTTTTTTTGTATGGGCATCATCTTTTCAACTCATTTGGGTAAATACCTAGGTGTGTAATTGCTGGATCATATGGTAAGGCTATGTTTAGTTTTGTATGAAACTGCCAGTGTCTTTTAAAGTGACTATACCATTTTGCATTCGTACCAGCAATGAATGAGGTTGAGTCACATCCTCACTAGTATGCCATTATTTCTTCATGTACTTTTTCAGTCCAACTGTCCCATTGGGCAGTTCTGATACCACCAGAGAAGGCTGACGGAGGGAGTCCTATTAATGCTGGTTAGGGGTGGAAGTCCAGATAATCCAGGCAATCTCCACTGCCACTGTGTGGTGGGAGCTTGTTATTACCTACTGGAGTAGAAGGTTTTGGGGTCCCTAAACAGTCAGCCACCTCTTACGTTACCCCAATGTGGGTTTGAGTGCTTCGTTACTGCCTGATGGTGGTGAAAGTCTAGTATCTCCAATTGACCTTACTCGTGTGGGTGGGGATTAGGTCACAGTTTTTTGGTGTGGGGGGCAGAGGGGGTTGCTGTTTGACAGCAGGGTAGTGGTTATTGTTTAAAAGTTTTCTGTCTTAATAGGATGACCTTTTCCTGGTTCTTTGGCTAGAGAGAGCAAGTTTTTGTTGGAGTTTCTTTCTGTCTGTTCCTGTTGGTATTTCCAGGTTTCCAGCTTCTTCACTTTAAAATAGCCTGATACATATGGCAAAAAGATAAACTAGGGAATTCACCACTATGTTATTTTGTGTCTCCCACATTCCCTAGTTGGTCTGCCTTCTTCTTTCCGCCTTTCAGAATATTTTTTATTTTGGAGATATATATATATATATATATATTCCAGAGTTTTTAGGTATGCACTAGGTGTTATTTGGAGAAATACTGAAAAGTATGTTTATTTCATCTTCCCAGAAGTGTATGCCAAGCATGTATATTTTAAAGATTTTTACTATCAATTGTTTTTTTAAAAACAGATAAACGATAGTCATCATTTAGCTATGGTTACGTGCAGTTGCTTTTTAAATCCTTTTTTTAAAAAATTTTATTATTATTATACTTTAAGTTTTAGGGTACATGTGCACAATGTGCAGGTTAGTTACATATGTATACATGTGCCATGCTGGTGCGCTGCACCCACTAACTGGTCATCTAGCATTAGGTATATCTCCCAATGCTATCCCTCCCCCCTCCCCCCACCCCACCACAGTCCCCAGAGTGTGATGTTCCCCTTCCTGTGTCCATGTGTTCTCATTGTTCAATTCCCATCTATGAGTGAGAACATGTATGTGGTGTTTGATTTTTTGTCCTTGCGATAGTTTACTGAGAATGATGATTTCCAATTTCATCCATGTCCCTACAAAGGACATGAACTCATCATTTTTTATGATGACTACTGGGTACATAATGAAATGAAGGCAGAAATAAAGATGTTCTTTGAAACCAGAGAGAACAAAGACACAACATACCAGAATCTCTGGGATACATTAAAAGCAATGTGTAGTGGGAAATTTGTGCACTAAATGCCCACAAGAGAAAGCAGGAAAGATCCAAAATTGACACCCTAACATCACAATTAAAAGAACTAGAAAAGCAAGAGCAAACACATTCAAAAGCTAGCAGAAGGCAAGAAATAACCCAAATCAGAGCAGAACTGAAGGAAATAGAGACACAAAAAACCCTTCAAAAAATTAATGAATCCAGGAGCTGGTTTTTTGAAAAGATCAACAAAATTGATAGACTGCTAGCAAGACTAATAAAGAAGAAAAGAGAGAAGAATCAAATAGACGCAATAAAAAATGATAAAGGGGATATCACCACCGATCCCACAGAAATACAAACTACCATCAGAGAATACTACAAACACCTCTATGCAAATAAACTAGAAAATCTAGAAGAAATGGATAAATTTCTGGACACATACACCCTCCCAAGACTAAACCAGGAAGAAGTCGAATCCCTGAAGAGGCCAATAACAAGTTCTGAAATGGAGACAGTAATTAATAGCCTACCAACCAATAAAAGCCCAGGACCAGAAAGATTCACAGCCAAATTCTATCAGGGGTACAAAGAGGAGCTGGTACCATTCCTTCTACAAACTATTCCAAAAAACTGAAAAAGAGTGACTCCTCCCTAACTCATTTTATGAGGCCAGCATCATCCTGATACCAAAACCTGGCAGAGACACAACAAAAAGAGAAAATTTTAGGCCAATATACCTGATGAACATCGATGTGAAAATCCTCAGTAAAATACTGGCAAAACGAATCCAGCAGCACGTCAAAAAGCTTATCCACCATGATCAAGTCGGCTTCATCCCTGGGATGCAAGCCTGGTTCAACATACACAAATCAATAAACATAATCCATCACATAAACAGAACCAATGATAAAAACCACATGATTATCTCAATAGATGCAGAAAAGGTCTCCAATAAAATTCTACACCCCTTTAGGCTAAAAACACTCAATAAACTATACCGATTGAACGTATCTCAAAATAATAAGAGCTATTTATGAACCCACAGCCAATGTCATACTGAATGGGCAAAAACTGGAAGTATTCACTTTGAACACTGGCACAAGACAGGGATGCCCTCTCTCACCACTCCTGTTCAACATAGTGTTGGAAGTTCTGGCCAGGGCAATTCGGCAGGAGAAAGAAATAAAGGATATTCAATTAGGAAAAGAGGAAGTCAAATTGTCCCTGTTTGCAGATGACATGATTGTATATCTAGAAAACCCCATTGTGTCAGCCCAAAATCTCCTTAAGCTGATAAGCAACTTCAGCAAAGTCTCAGGATACAAAATCAATGTACAAAAATCACAAGCATTCTTATACACCAATAACAGACAAACAGAGAGCCAAATCATGAGTAAACTCCCATTCACAATTGCGTCAAAGAGAATAAAATACCTAGGAATCCAACTTACAAGGGATGTGAAGGACCTCTTCAAGGAGAACTACAAACCACTGCTCAAGGAAATAAGAGAGGATACAAATAAATGGAAAAACATTCCATGCTCATGGGTAGGAAGAATGCATATCGTGAAAATGGCCATACTGCCCAAGGTAATTTATAGATTCAATGCCATCCTCATCAAGCTACCAATGACTTTCTTCACAGAATTGGAAAAAACTACTTTAAAGTTCATATGGAACCAAAGAAGAGCCCGCATCGCCAAGTCAATCCTAAGCCGAAAGAACAAAGCTGGAGGCATCATGCTACCTGACTTCAAACTATACTACAAGGCTACAGTAACCAAAACAGCATGGTACTGGTACCAAAACAGAGATATAGATCAATGGAACAGAACAGAGCCCTCAGAAATAACTCCGCATATCTACAACTATCTGATCTTTGACAAACCTGAGAAAAACAAGCAATGGGGAAAGGATGCCCTATTTAATAAATGGTGCTGGGAAAACTGGCTAGCCATATGTAGAAAGCTGAAACTGGATCCCTTTCTTACACCTTATACAAAAATTAATTCAAGATGGATTAAAGATTAAAGACTTAAATCCTTTTTTTAAGTCTCTATATTCTCCCATATTAGGATTTTACGTTACTATATGCTGTCTTTTATTATGAGCCAAAATACAAAACTCATTACTGTAGTCTAATTGCTTATAGCCTTCATTTGGGTGATTATTGGTGGTAGTGTGGGCCAAAGAGTATAAAATATATTTAAGCCATGGGTGTGTGTGTGTGTGTGTGTGTGTGTGTGTGTGTGTGTGTGTGTGTTTAAGACAGGTTCTTGCTCTGTCATATAGGCTGGAGTATAGTGGTGCTATCATAGCTCACTGTAGCCCCAAACTTCTGGGCTCAAGTCATCCTCCCAAGTAGCTAGGACTACAGGTGTGCACCACCACACCTGGCTAACTTTCTAATTGTTTGTAGAGACAGGATCTTGCTATGTTGCCCAGACTAGTCATGGAGTCCTGGCCTCTAACAGTTCTCCCACTTTAGGCTCCTAAAGCACTGGGATTACAAGCATGAGCCGCCAAACCTGTAAGCCATTCATGTTTTATTTAAAGAGCATTTTATACATCAGGAGATGGGGGCGAAACATTGATTGGAAAACTGATGTGGTTTTTTTTTTTTTTTAAATACGCTACTTATTCTTTAGGAATTGAAATCAAATTATGGTAAACAACAAAGTAGAAACAGTTTTGGAAAGAGTAAAAGAAGACATATTTTAGAAGTTCTTGAATTGATTCACTCCTGTGAATATTAATGTTAGCTAGAGTCTGAGAATTGTTTTTCTAGCTCAGAGCTAGATAATCTGTAAGTTGTTGGTTAGATGATGATATTAGTTTTGGAGATACATGACAAGTTCTGTACACAATACTGTTTCTGGAGAGTGAATTGATGGACCATCTCTAATCTACAACTCTTTTAAAATTAAAATTTAAAGTTTTATTTTTGCAGTGCTAAAGATCACAGTTGTCTCCTGAGGATAGATTTTGATTGCATATGGCCGTGAAATTCCTACCTAATATACTTTGTACAGCTCTGCATACTTAATATGCAAAGTGGTTGCTGTAGCAGGAGATCTACTATGTTTCTGTGCTGAAATCTGATTGCTATTTTTGTATATATGAAATGTTAATCACAATTTTATTTTTTCTAACAGGAAATATTTTCTCTTTTACAGGGGATCTTTCCTGCAAATTACATTCACTTGAAAAAGGCAATTGTCAGTAATAGGGGGTGAGTAATTGGCCTTACTAAATTTATGTACAATTTTTATAGGCTACAGAGGAAGATTGTTTTTCCTTTTGGTTCATAGTATAAAATATACAATTGATATGTTTTCCTGGCAAAAATGTACATGCTTTATCATGTAATTTTGAGGGAATAATGTTTTCTTAAAATACAGACTTTAATCTGTTTTCTTGTATACGGAAGAAATGATGTTAGCTGTGAATTTTATAAAATCAGTTAGGCATGCAGTATGTTTTAAAAAATTATGTACTATTTTGAGCATAGTCATTCATAGAGTAGGAGTTAAAGATAAATATGTCATTTTGTTTTTACAAAGTGAAAGAGACTTTTAAAATTTTTTATTTGCAAGTTGAAATTGAAAAAGTTTAAAGGTATACCTTAACCATAAGAAGACAATATACAAAATGGTTTGATCACAAATTTTAAAAACAAAGCAATCTGCCTAAAAAGAGACAAGAAATAAATATATCAAAATGTTAACACTTGTTTTTGCATGTTGGGAATATGAATGAGTTTTTAAAAAATTCTTTGTCATGTTTAATAATAAGTATTATAGTTTCGATTTTATTTTTCAAAATTTATTATTTTAAAACATAAAATTTAGGTACTGTATAATTTGTAACCAAGGTAGCTTCCTAAAGTAGAAATACTATTCTTGACTGCAGGGTGAGTAAGCATCAGAGTAACCTTCTGGTCAGTTATGGTTCATTCAGGAAAATAGAAACATGAGCCACTTTATGAGGTAGAATTTAATGTGGGAAATTATTTACACACGTTTGAAGAGTGAAAGAACAAAAGAGGAAATACTGATGTAACCCATAGATTTTAACTGCATAAAGTGGCCTACACGTTAATAATGGTGGAGATACCGAAACCCAGGAACTCAGAAATTAGATCTTGAGATATTGGAGCTCAGAAATTTGAGGAGGGAATATCAAATAGCTACTGTTGGTATGTATAAAGAAGGTGGTAATGAGGCTGTTTTGGGGAATGCCAAAAGCAACTGGAGGCTGGAACCTATTTTCACTGTGAAAGAAATTGTTTACAGGAACAGCAGGAAACACACCTCTTCACCTTCTTTTCCCCAGTATCTTTCTAATGCTTCCAGCTGGCAAAGGAGACTGCAAAACACAGCTTGTGGATTGCAGCCTCATGATTAGTCCTTAGAAGAATAGATTTGGAGATGATAGTTATTATTAATTGTCTTGTATGCCTTCCAATATAAAATTTGTGTTGGGGAAATAGTAAGAATATAACTTAGAAGATTCTGATATGAATCCACAACTAGCATACTTCTTATTCTTCCCCTTCTCCTTTTACAAAACATGTAAAGCCATAAGGACATAAAAAAGAAAAACAACTTATACATCTCATGTTTATGAACCTTTGCAACAAATAATCTGCCATCTCAAGTTTATAAGTAAGGACTATCAAAAGTATCAAGCCTGGATAGAAGTGTGGGAAAAGGAAAAGAGAGTATTTCGACTTGGGATTAGCAAAGTATATATTTTGGAAAGTGCTAAAAACATTTTCTGAATGTGAATGGCTTATTATAAATTCAGAAGTAATATCCTTTATTTATCAGTAATGAGGCTGATCAGAGCTGAAAGTGGGCAGAAGCTGTGAGGGACCAAGGTGAGAAAAGGAGATATAGATGAAATCTAGGGATGCAGAAATAGAGTGCCTTAGAAAATACTAGCAAAGTCATACACTTTCTGATGATGAGGAACTTATCCTAAGTTTATGAGTCATATGTCCCATTTATAATAGTTATAAAGGACATTGGGGAGCACTTTGCTAGCAGAAGAATCCCTACCTGGATTCAGTTTGCCTCAGGAAAGTAGAAGTGATGTGGCTGTACATAAAATTACACACAGAGCAGCCATATTTGCTGGAAGTGGGATATAAATCTTAGAAAGCTATTTGGAATTGACCTCCATATCCAAATGTCCAATAAGTTGATGGTCCACAATAAGAATTCTAAAATCTGGAGAAAATATTAAAAAACAATTGTCTGCAGGCACTGGAGAACAATTGGTTGGGCAAGATCTTGAGAGGCTATGATCTTTGAAGGAAGGGATGCACACAAGGAGAGCTTCATGTTTACTTTGGCCTTTTTCTCCAGATAATTTTTCATTTACTGTGTTGTAGTGGAATAGAGCCCAACCAGAAAATAGTAGTCTTTCATGACATCAGCAATTTGGCAGAATAAGAAGTTTCAGCTCTCATCCCCCTACAGAAACACAGATTTAACAATGGTATACCAAGAAAAATACCTTTATAAGAGGTCCAGTATCCAGTGAAGAAGTCGCAGTACTCCAGAGGAGCACAAAACAGAGTAGACACGTTGAAATGGCTAAGAAGAGCAATTTCACTCTTACCTTTGTCAGTCCCTTCTCCCAGCTGGTTAAGAGAGAATTTGTCCCAGATTGTGACTCTTCCAGTGGGGCAAAGAAAAAGAGGACTGTACATCAAACATCTCTAGCATTTGTGGGTGCTGCTTGAATGACCTCTTTCTATCCCACCTCACCCAGAGTGCTGGAGTAGCCAGCATAATTTAAACATGCAGGGGAAGCTAAGAACAAAGAAAAGGAGTGAGAGGCTCACTGCAGCTAGCTTGCCTCTGCAAGATCGGGAAAAGTGCACAACCCTAAGATTTCTGCAGGAGGGAGGGTGAGGAGTGGGAGCAATATCCCATCATTTCAATGCATCACTCTAGAAAAAAGTGGAGGGCAGGCAACTGTGGCCAGTAGAGCTCTGGAGGGTTGGGAGAAGATGCATATCTGTGAGTCTTCTCCCTCAGAAGGGAAAGGAAGAATGAAGCATACATCCTGGAATTTTAGAGTACTGCCACAGGGAAAAGAGATGGGCAGCTTACTGTGGCCATCATTTCTTTGAGAGATTGGGAGAAGGCACAGAACCCTGAGACTCTCAGGCTGGATGGAGGAATGAAGTGCGTACATTCATAGAAAAGGTTTGACAGGTTCCCAGAATCTGAGTTGGGCTGATTGGTGAGGGTCTTTGTCTATTGAAGTCAGTCCATAAAGACCGGGAGAAGTGGTTGTTTCTTCAAATGTGCAGGCCCCAAAGCAAAGCTGCAAGGAAGATGAAGGATCGGGAATACATGACACAATCAAAGGAACAAAATAAATATTCAATAACAGACCCTAAAGAAAAGGAGTTCTATGAATTGCCCTCAAGACAACTCAAAATAATAGTCTTAAAGATTACTTAACTAAATGAGTTACAAGAGAATACAGGCAACTAAATTAAATGAGGAAAATGAAAAGTGAAAATAATGAGAATACCAACAAAGAGATAGAAACCATAAGAAAGCAAAGAATCAAACATAAATTCTGGAGCTGAAGAATACAATAAGTAATATGAAAATTGTATGGAGAACTTCAACAGCATTCTTGATCAAATAGAGGAGCGAGTCAACTTGAAGATAGGTCATTTGAAATGATCCATTCAGAGAATCAGAAAGGAAAAAGAGGGAAGAAATCCTAAGAAACTAATGGGACACCATCAAGCAAACCAATATGCTCAATATGGAATTATCACACGTGGGGCAGGAGAGAGAGGAAGAGGGAGAGCAAGGAAAAGAAAGGAGCAGGAAACTTATTTAAAGAAACAATGGCTGAAAACTTCCCAAATCTGGGGAGGGAAATGAACATTGATCCTTGAAGTCCAAACAACCCCTTTAAGATGTTCATGTCCTTTGTAGGGACATGGATGAAGCTGGAAGCCATCATTCTCAGCACAGTATCACAAGGACAAAAAACCAAACACCGTGTGTTCTCATTCATAGGTGGGAACTGAATAATGAGAACATTGGGACACAGGAAGGGGAACATCACACACCGGGGCCTGTCGTTAGGTGAGGGGAGGGGGGAGGGGGGAGGGATAGCATTAGGAGATATACCTAATGTAAATGACGAGTTAATGGGTGCAGCACACCAACATGGCACTTGTATACCTATGTAACAAACCGGCACGTTGTGCACATGTACCCTAGAACTTAAAGTATAATTAAAAAAACAGGAATCCAAAGAAATCCATGCTGAGATGCATTGTGGTCAAATTGTCAAAAGTCAAAGAGAATTTTGAAAGCAGCAAGATGAAAAGGACTTGTCTTATATAAGAGAGCCTCCATAAATCTGCTATCAGCAGATTTCTCCGCCAAAACCTTGTAGGCCAGAAGGGAGCAGGATGATATATTTAAAATACTGAAGGAAACAAAAAAAACCCTGTCAACCAGTACCCAGCAAAACTGTCCTTCAGAAATGAAGTAGAGAGAAAGGCTTTCCCAGATAAACAAAAGCTGAGGGAGTTCATCACCAGTAGATTTGCCTTATAAAAAATGCTGAAAGGAGTTCTTTAAGTTGAAACAAAATGATGCTATACAGCAACATGAAAGCATACAAAAGTATACAATTCACAGGCAAAGGCAAATATATACACATATACAGAATATTTGAATACTGTAAAGATAGTATATAAATAATTTTAGTATAAGAGTTAAAAGACAAGTATTAAGAATAACTATAACTACAAAAACTTGTTAGTAGATGCACAATATAAAATATGTAAATTGTGTCATCAACAATAAAACATTTGTTGAGGGAATTAAAATTGTCAGGTTTTTGTTTTTGATTTTTTTTTACAGCATGCAAATCTTTTAAGTTTAGCAAATCTTAATTTTAAGGGAACTATGAATAGTGATTGGTTCTGTTTACATAGTTGGTTAATTAAGCTTTATTCTTATATATTCTTCCCATCTGTTAGGTCACACAGTTCTTGAGCGTTAAAACAATGTTCTGTTGAATTCTAGGTCTCCCAGCTGTATTTGACTATTTGGTTACAATTCCAAATTGTTATTCTGACTGCTAAGTGATTTACTTTCAAAGTATTGCTCCAGTAATGTTAAAGGTGTAATTTCTACCACTTCTTCTTCAATTAAAGGACATTTTAATGGCTTTTTTTCTTTATCAATTGGGATAAAAGCCTCAAACAAAAAACATCAGAAATGAATCACATAAAAGAGTAATCTTAGTTTTTATTTCAGCATCCATATGAAATGCTTAGTTACCTTATTTTATCCCCGCTTTTTTTTTTTTTTTTTTTAGAACTTGAAAAACTCTTTTTTTCCTTCAACTTTAATTTTAACTTCCAGGGTACATGTCCATCACGTGCAGTTTTGTTATACAGGTAAACGTGTGCCATGGTGGTTTGCTGCACAGATCACCCATCACCTAGGTATTAAGCCCAGCATTCATTAGCTGTTCTTCTTCTTCTTTTTTTTTTAAGGAAATTATATTTATTCAGGAATGAGCATTGCAATGGCAGTACATAGGCCGTCATAAACTGTGTACCCATGTGCATGCTTAGGGAGGTAAGGGGATACAAAGATTTCTTTTTAAAATTTTTTTATTATACTTTAAGTTCTGGGATACATGTGCAGAATGTGCAGGTTTGCTACATAGGTATACATGTGCCATGGTGGTTTGCTGCACCCATCAACCCGTCATCAACATTAGGTATTTCTCCTAATGCTATCCCTCCCCTAGCTCCCCAACCCCCAACAGGCCCCAGTGTGTGATGCTTCCCTCTTCATGTCCATGTGTTCTCACTGTTTAACTCCCACTTATGAGTGAGAACATGTGGTGTTTGGTCTTCTGTTCCTGTGTTAGTTTGCTGAGAATTATGGTTTCCAGCTTCATCTATGTTGCTGCAAAGGACATGAACTCATCCCTTTTTTATGGCTGCATAGTATTCCGTGGTGTGTATGTGCCACATTTTCTTTATCAAGTCTATCATTGAAGGGCATTTGGGTTGGTTGGTTCCAAGTTTTTGCTATTCTGAACAGTGCTGCAATAAACATACGCATGCATGTGTCTCTATAGTAGAATGATTTATAATCCTTTGTGTATATACCCAGTAATGGGATTGCTGGGTCAATTTGTATTTCTGGTTCTAGATCCTTGAGGAATCGCCACACTGTCTTCCACAATGGTTGAACTAATTTACACTCCCACGAACAGTGTAAAAGTGTTCCTATTTCTCCACATCCTCTCCAGCTAATGATTGCCATTCTAACTGGCGTGAGATGGTATTTCATTGTGGTTTTGATTTGTATTTCTCTAATGATCAGTGATGATGAGCTTTTTCTCATATGTTTATTGGCCACATAAATGTCTTCTTTTGAGAAGTGTCTGTTCATCTCCTTTGCCCACTTTTTGATGGAGTTGTTTTTTTCTTATAAATTTGTTTAATCTTTGTAGATTCAGGATATTGTCAGATGGAGAGATTGCAAACATTTTCTCCCATTCTGTAGGTTGCCTGTTCACTCTGATGATAGTTTCTTTTGCTCTGCAGAAGCTTTTTAGTTTAATTAGACACCATTTGTCATTTTTGGCTTTTGTTGCCATTGCTTTTGGTGTTTTAGTCATGAAATCTTTGCCCATGCCTCTGCCCTGAATGGTATTGCCTAGGTTTTTTTCTAGGGTTTTTATGGTTTTAGGTCTTACGTTTAAGTCTTTAATCCATCTTGAGTTAATATTTGTATAAGATTCTGTAAGGAAGGGGTCCAGTTTCAGTTTTCTGCATATGGCTAGCCAGTTTTACCAACACCATTTATTAAGTAGGCAATCATTTCCCCATTGCTTGTTTTTGTCAGGTTTGTCAAAGATCAGATGGTTGTAGACATGTAGTGTTATTTCTGAGGCCTCTGTTCTGTTCCATTGGTCTGTATATCTGTTTTGTACTAGTACCTTGTGTTTTGGTTAATGTAGCCTTGTAGTATAGTTTGAAGTCAGGTAGTGTGATGCCTCCAGCTTTCTTTTTGCTTAGGATTGTTTTGGCTATACGGGCTCTTTTGTGGTTCCATAGGAAATTTAAAGTAGTTTTTTTCTAAACTGTGAAGAAAGTTAGTGGTAGCTTGATGGGGATGACACTGACTCTATAAATTACTTTGGGCAGTATGGCCATTTTCATGATACTGATTCTTCCTATCCATGAGCATGGAATATTTTTCCATTTGTTTGTGTCCTCTCTGATTTCCTTGAGCAGTTGTTTGTAGTTCCACTTGAAGAGGTCCTTCACATCCCTTGTAAGTTGTATTCCTAGGTATTTTATTCTCTTTGTAGCAATTTTGAATGGGAGTTCACTCATGATTTGGCTATTTGTCTATTATTGGTGTATAAGAATGCTTGTGATTTTTGCACATTGATTATGTATCCTGAGAGTTTGCTGAAGTTGCTTATCAGCCTAAGGAGATTTTGGGCTGACACGATGGGGTTTTCTAAATATACAATCATGTCATCTGCAAACAGAGACAATTTGATTTTCTCTCTTCCTATTTGAATACCCTTTATTTCTTTCTCTTGCCTGATTGCCCTTGCCAGAACTTCCAACACTATGTTAAATAGGCATGGTGAGAGAGGGCATCCTTGTCTTGTGCCAGTTTTCAAAAGGAATGCTTCCAGCTTTTGCCCATTGAGTATGACATTGGCTGTGGGTTCATAAATAGCTCTTATTATTTTGAGATACGTTCAATCGGTATAGTTTATTGAGTGTTTT
Source organism: Homo sapiens (assembly GCF_000001405.40). Lineage (NCBI taxonomy): Eukaryota > Metazoa > Chordata > Mammalia > Primates > Hominidae > Homo > Homo sapiens. The sequence goes on from NC_000003.12 coordinate 50,897,678, forward strand.
TAGCCTAAAGGGGTGTAGAATTTTATTGGAGACCTTTTCTGCATCTATTGAGATAATCATGTGGTTTTTATCATTGGTTCTGTTTATGTGATGGATTATGTTTATTGATTTGTGTATGTTGAACCAGGCTTGCATCCCAGGGATGAAGCCGACTTGATCATGGTGGATAAGCTTTTTGACGTGCTGCTGGATTCGTTTTGCCAGTATTTTACTGAGGATTTTCACATCGATGTTCATCAGGTATATTGGCCTAAAATTTTCTCTTTTTGTTGTGTCTCTGCCAGGTTTTGGTATCAGGATGATGCTGGCCTCATAAAATGAGTTAGGGAGGAGTCACTCTTTTTCAGTTTTTTGGAATAGTTTGTAGAAGGAATGGTACCAGCTCCTCTTTGTACCCCTGATAGAATTTGGCTGTGAATCTTTCTGGTCCTGGGCTTTTATTGGTTGGTAGGCTATTAATTACTGTCTCCATTTCAGAACTTGTTATTGGCCTCTTCAGGGATTCGACTTCTTCCTGGTTTAGTCTTGGGAGGGTGTATGTGTCCAGAAATTTATCCATTTCTTCTAGATTTTCTAGTTTATTTGCATAGAGGTGTTCATAGTATTCTCTGATGGTAGTTTGTATTTCTGTGGGATCAGTGGGGATATCCCCTTTATCACACTTTATTGGGTCTATTGGATTCTTCTCTCTTTTCTTCTTTATTGGTCTGGCTAGCGGTCTACCTATTTTGTTAATCTTTTCAAAAAACCAGTTCCTGGATTTATTGATTTTTTGAAGGGTTTTTTGTGTCTCTATTTCCTTCAGTTCTGCTCTGATCTTAGTTATTTCTTGTCTTCTGCTAGCTTTTGAATTTGTTTGCTCTTGCTTCTGCAGTTCTTTTAATTTTGATGTTAGGGTGTCAATTTTAGATCTTTCCTGCTTTCTCTATTGGGCATTTAGTGCTATAAATTTCCCCCTACACACTGCTTTAAATGTGTCCCAGAGATTCTGGTATGTTGTGTCTTCGTTCTTTTTGGTTTCAAAGAACATCTTTATTTCTGCCTTCATTTTGTTACTTACCTAGTAGTCATTCAGGAGCAGGTTGTTCAGTTTCCATGTAGTTGTGCAGTTTTGATTATGAGTTTCTCAATCCTGAGTTCCAATTTGATTGCACTGTGGTCTGAGAGACTGTTATGATTTCCGTTCTTTTGCATTTGCTGAGGAGTGTTTTACTTCCAATTATGTGATCGATTTCAGAATAAGTGCGATGTAGTGCTGAGAGGAATGTATATTCTGTTGATTTGGGATGAAGAGTTCTGTAGATGTCTGTTAGGTCCTCTTGGTCCAGAGCTGAGTTGAAGTCCTGAATATCCTTGTTAATTTTCTGTCTCGTTGATCTGTCTAATATTGGCAGTGGGGTGTTAAAATCTCCCACTATTATTGTGTGGGAGTCTAAGTCTCTTTGTAGGTCTCTAAGAACTTGCTTTATGAATCTGGGTGCTCCTGTATTGGGTGCATATATATTTAGGATAGTTAGCTCTTCTTGTTGTATTGATCACTTTACCATTATGTAATGCCCTTCTTTGTCTTTTTTGATCTTTCTTGGTTTAAAGTCTTTTTTATCAGAGACTAGGACTGCAACCTCTGTTTTTTTCACTTTCCATTTGCTTGGTAAATATTCCTCCATCCCTTTGTTTTGAGCCTATGTGTGTCTTTGCACCTGAGATGGGTCTCCTAAATACAGCACAGTGATGGGTCTTGACTCTTTGTCCAGTTTGCCAGTCTGTGTCTTTTAATTGGGGCATTTAGCCCATTGACATTTAAAGTGAATATTGTTATGTGTGAATTTGATCCTGTCATTATGATGCTAGCTGGTTATTTTGCCCGTTACTTGATGCAGTTTCTTCATAGTGTTGATGGTCTTTACAATTTGGTATGTTCTTGCAGTGGGTGGTACCAGTTTTTCCTTTCCATATTTAGTGCTTCCTTCAGGAGCTCTTGTAAGGCAGGCCTGGTGGTGACAAAATCTCTCAGTAGTTGCTTGTCTGTAAAGGATTTTATTTCTCTTTCACTTGTGAAGCTTAGTTTGGCTGGATGTGAAAATCTGGGTTGAAAATTCTTTTCTTTAAGAATGTTGAATATTGCTCCTCTACCCCCCACTTTCTTCTGGCTTGTAGGGTTTCTGCTGTTAGTCTGATAGGCTTCCCTTTGTGGGTAACCCGACCTTTCTCTCTGGCTGCTCTTAACATTTTTTCCTTCATTTCAACCTTGGTAAATCTGATAATTATGTGTCTTGGGGTTACTCTTCTTGAGGAGTATCTTTGTGGTGGTCTCTGTATTTCCTGAATTTGAATGTTGGCCTGTCTTGCTAGGTTGGGGAAAAGTTCTCCTGGATAATATCCTGAAGAGTGTTTTACAACTTGGTTCCATTCTCACCGTCACTTTCAGGTACACCAATCAAATGTAGATTTGGTCTTTTCACATAGTCCCATATTTCTTGGAGGCGTTTTTCGTTTCTTTTCATTCTTTATTCTCTTATCTTGTCTTCTCGCTTTATTTCATTAAGTTGATCTTCAATCTCTGATATCCTTGCTTCCACTTGATCGGTTCGGCTATTGATACTTGTGTATGCTTCACGAAGTTCTTGTGCTGTGTTTTTTAGTTCCATGAGGTCATTTATATTCTTCTTTAAACCAGTTATGCTGGTTAGCAATTCTTCTAACCTTTTTTCAAGGTTCTTAGCTTCGTTGCATTGGGTTAGAACATGCTCCTTTAGCTTGGAGGAGTTTGTTATTACCCACCTTCTAAAGCCTACTTCTGTCAATTTGTCAAACTCATTCTCCATCCAGTTTTGTTCCCTTGGCGAGGAGTTGTGATCCTTTGGAGGAGAAGAGGCATTCTGATTTTTGGAATTTTCAGCCTTTTTATGCTGGTTTTTCCTCATCTTCGTGGATTTATCTACCTTTGGTCTTTGATGTTGGTGACCTTCAGATGGGGTTTCTGTATGGACCTCCTTTTTGTTAATGTTGATCTTATTCCTTTCTGTTTGTTAGTTTTCCTTCCAATGGTCAGGCTCCTCTGCTGCAGGTCTGCTGGAGTTTGCAGGAGGTCCACTTCAGACCCTGCCCCTGTTTGCCTGGGTATCACCAGCGGAGGCTGCAGAACAGCAAAGATTGCTGCCCTCTGGAAGCTTTGTCCCAGAGGGGCACCCACCAGATGCCAGCCAGAGCTCTCCTGTATGAGGTGTCTGTCGCTCCCTGTTGGGAGGTGTCTCCTAGTCAGGAGGCACGGGGGTCAGGGACCCACCTGAGGAAGCAGTCTATCCCTTAGCAGAGCTTGAGCAATGTGCTGGGAGATTCGCTCCTCTCTTCAGAACAGACAGGCTGGAACATTTAAGTCTGCTGATGCAGTGCCTGCTGCCGCCCCTTCCCCTAGGTGCTCTGTCCCAGGGAGATGGGAGTTTGATGTATAAGCCCCTGAATGGGGCTGCTGCCTTTCTTTTAGAGATGCCCTGCCCAGAGGAGGAATCCTGTGAGGCAGTCTGGCTACAGTGGCTTTGCTGAACTACAGTGGGCTCCACCCAGTTTGAACTTCCTGATGGCTTTGTTTACACTGTGAGGGGAAAACTGCCTACTCAAGCCTTAGTAATGGCAGACACCCCTCCCCCCACCAAGCTCGAGTGTCCCAGGTCAACTTCAGACTGGTGTGCTGGCAGCAAGAATTTCAAGACAGTGGATCTTAGCTTGCTTGGCTCCATGGGAATGAGATCCACTGAGCTAGACCACTTGGCTCTCTGGCTTCACCCCCTTTCTAGGGTAGTGAATGGTTCTGCTTGCTGGCGTTCCAGGCACCACCGGAGTGTGAAAAAATATGCTGCAGTTAGCTCAGTGTCTGCCCAAATGGTCACCTAGTTTTGTGCTTGAAACCCAGGTCCCTGGTGGTGTAGGCACCCGAGGGAATCTCCTGGTGTGTGGATTGCGAGGACCATGGGAAAAGCATAGTAACTGGGCTGGAGTGCACTGTTCCTCAAGGCACAGTCCCTCATGGCTACCCTTGGCTAGGGGAGGGAATTCCCTGACCCTCTTGCTCTTGCTGGGTGAGGCGACACCCTACCCTGCTTCAGCTCTCCCTCTGTGGGTTGCACCCACTGTCTAACCAGTCCCAATGAGATGAACCGTGTACCTCACTTGGAAATGTTGAAATCACCCACCTTATGCATTGATGTCGCTGGGAGCTGCAGACCGGAGCTGTTCCTATTCGGCCATCTTGCCATAAAGAAAGAAAGCAGCTATTCTTCTTGATTCTCTCTCTCCCACCACCCACCTGACAGGCCCCAGTATGTGTTGTTGGCTCCTTGAATGTCTCCTTTTGGGAAATGTCTGTTCATGTCATTTGCCCGCTTTTTAGTGTGGTTGTTTGTTTTTTTCTTGTAAATTTGTTTAAGTTCCTTGTAGATTCTGTCTCCCATTCTGTAGGCTGTCTGTTCACTCTGATGATGTTTCTTTTGCTGTGCTGAAGCTCTTTAGTTTAATTAGATCCCATCTGTCAGTTTTTGCTTTTGTCGCAATTGCTTTTGGCATTTTTGTCATGAAATCTTTGCCTGTGCCTATGTCCTGAATAATATTGCCTAGGTTTTCTTCTAGGGTTTTTATAGTGTTGGGTTTTGCATTTAAGTCTTTAATCCATCTTGAGTTAATTTTTATGTAAGATGTAAGGGTCCAGTTTCAATTTTCTGCATATGGCTAGCCGGTTCTCCCAGCACCATTTATTAAATAGGGAATCCTTTCCCCGTTGCTTGTTTTTGTCAGGTTTGTCAAAGATCAGATGGCTGTAGAAGTTCAGTCTTATTTTTGAATTCTCTGTTCTGTTCCATTGGTCTGTGTGTCTGTTTTTGTACCAGTACCATGCTGTTTTGGTTACTTGAGCCTTGTAGTATAATTTGAAGTTGGATAGTGATGCCTGCAGCCTTGTTCTTTTTCCTTAGGATTCTCTTGGCTATTTGGGCTCTTTTTGTTTCATAGGAATTTTAAAATAGCTTCTTCTAATTCTGTGAAGAATGTCAATGATAGGTTTATGGGAATAGAACTGAATCTATAAATTACTTTGGGCAGTATGGCCATTTTCACAATATTGATTCTTCCTATCCATGAGCGTGGCATATTGTTCCATTTGTGTTCTCTCTGATTTCCTTAAGCAGCGGTTTGTAGTTCTCCCTGAAGAGGTCCTACACCTGTCTGGTTAGTGATATTTCTAGATATTTTATTCTCTTTGTAGCAGTTGTGAATGAGAGTTCATTCATGATTTGGCCCTTTGCTTGCCTGTTGTTGGTGTATAGGAATGCTAGTGATTTTTGCACTATTGACTTTATCCTGAGACTTTGCCGATGTGGCCTATCAGCTTAAGAAGCTTTTGGGTTGAGATGATGGGATTTTCTAGATATGGGATCACGTTATCTGCAAACAAAGTTAATTTGACTTCCTCTCTTCCTGTTTGAATACTTTATTTCTCTTGCCTGACTGCCCTGACCAGAACTTCCAATGCTGTGTTGAATAGGAGTGGTGAGAGAGGGAATCCTCTTCTTGTCCTAGTTTTCACAGGTAATGCTTCCAGCTTTTGCCTTTTCAATATGATATTGGTTATGGGTTTGTCCTATGTGGCTCTTATTATTTTGAGTTATAGTCCTTCAATACCTAGTTTATTGAGAGTTTTTAACATGAAGGGATGTTGAATTTTATTGAAGGCCTTTTCTGCATCTATTGAGATAATCATGTTGTTTTTGTCTTTAGTTCTGTTTATGTGCTTAATTACATTTATTGATTTGCATATGTTTAACCAGCCTTGCATCCCAAGGATGAAGCTGACTTGATCATAGTGGATAAGCTTTTGATGATCTGCTGGATTCAATTTGCCAGTATTTTGTTGAGGATTTTTGCATCAATGTTCATCAGGTATATTGGCCTCAAGTTTTCTGTTTTTGTTGTATCTCTGCCAGATTTTGGTATCAAAATATTGCTGGCCTCATAGAATGAATTAGATAGAAGTCCCTCCTTTTAATTGGTTTGAAGTAGTTTTAGTAGAAATGGTACCAGCTCTTTTTTTTTATTTAAATGTGTATTTTTTTTTATACTTTAAGTTCTAGGGTACATGTGCACCACGTGCAGGTTTGATACATATTTATATATGTGCCGTGTTGGTGTGCTGCACCCATTAACTTGTCATTTACATTAGGTATATCTCCTAATGATATCTCTCCCCACTCCCCCCACCCCACAACAGGCCCCAGTGTGTGATGTTCCCCTTCCTGTGTCCAAGTGTTCTCATTGTTCAGTTCCCACCTATAAGTGAGAACATGTGGTGTTTGGTTTTTTGTCCTTACAATAGTTTGCTGAGAATGATGGTTTCTAGCTTCATCCATGTCCCTACAAAACATGAACTCATCCTTTCTTATGGCTGCATAGTATTCCATGGTGTATATGTGCCACATTTTCTTAATCCAGTCTATCATTGATGGACATTTGCGTTGGTTCCAAGTCTTTGCTATTGTGAATAGTGCCACATTAAACATACGTGTGCATGTGTCTTTATAGTAGCATGATTTATAATCCTTTGGGTATATACCCAGTAATGGGATGGCTGGGTCAGATGGTATTTCTAGTTCTAGATCCTTGAGGAATCGCTACGCTGTCTTCCATAATGGTTGAACTAGTTTACAGTCCCACCAACAGTGTAAGAGTGTTCCTATTTCTCCACATCCTCTCCAGCACCTGTTGTTTCCTGAGTTTTTAATGATCGCCATTCTAACTGGTGTGAGATAGTATCTCATTGTGGTTTTGATTTGCATTTCTCTGATGACCAGTGACAACGAATATTTTTTCATGTGTCTGTTGGCTGCATAAATATCTTCTTTTGAGAAGTGTCTGTTCATATCCTTTGCCCACTTTGTGATGGGGTGGTTTTATTCTTGTAAATTTGTAGATTCTTTTTAAGTTTAAGTTCTTTGTAGATTCTGGATATTAGCCCATTGTCAGATGAGTAGATTGCAAAAATTTTTTCCCATTCTGTAGGTTGCCTGTTCACTCTGATGGTAGTTTCTTTTGCTGTGCAGAAGCTCTTTAGTTTAATTAGATCCCATTTGTCTATTTTTGCTTTTGTTGCCATTGCTTTTGGAAGTCCTTGCACATGCCTATGTCCTAAATGGTATTGCCCAGGTTTTCTTCTAGGGTTTTTATGGTTTTAGGTCTAACATTTAAGTCTTTAATCCATCTTGAATTAATTTTTGTATAAGGTGTAAGAAAGGGATCCAGTTTCAGCTTTCTACATATGGCTAGCCAGTTTTCCCAGAACCGTTTGTTAAATAGGGAATCCTTTCCCCATTGCTTGTTTTTCTCAGCTTTGTCAAAGATCAGATGGTTGTAGATGTGTGGTATTATTTCTGAGGGCTCTGTTCTGTTCCATTGGTCTATATCTCTGTTTTTGTACCAGTACCATGCTGTTTTGGTTACTGCAGCCTTGTAGTATAGTTTGAAGTCAGGTAGTGTGATGCCTCCAGCTTTGTTCTTTTGGCTTAGGATTGTCTTGGCAATGTGGGCCCTTTTTTGGTTCCATATGAACTTTAAAGTAGTTTTTTCCAATTCTGTGAACAAAGTCATTGGTAGCTTGATGGGGACAGCATTGAATCTATAAATTACCTTGGGCAGTATGGCCATTTTCACGATATTGCTTCTTCCTATCCATGAGCATGGAATGTTCTTCCATTTGTTTGTGTCCTTTTTTATGTCGTTGAGCAGTGGTTTGTAGTTCTCCTTGAAGAGGTCCTTCACATCCCTTGTAAGTTGTATTCCTAGGTATTTTATTCTCTTTGAAGCAATTGTGAATGGGAGTTCACTCATGATTTGGCTCTCTGTTTGTCTGTTATTGGTGTAGAGGAATGCTTGTGATTTTTGCACATTGATTTTGTATCCTGAGACTTTGCTGAAGTTGCTTATCAGCTTAAGGAGACTTTGGGCTGAGACAATGGGGTTTTCTAAATATACAATCATGTCATCTGCAAACAGGGACAATTTGACTTCCTCTTTTCCTAATTGAATGCCCTTTATTTCTTTCTCCTGCCTGATTGCCCTGGCCAGAACTTCCAACACTATGTTGAATAGGAGTGGTGAGACAGGGCATCCCTGTCTTGTGCCAGTGTTCAAAGTGAATACTTCCAGTTTTTGCCCATTCAGTATGATATTGGCTGTGGGTTTGTCATAAATAGCTCTTATTATTTTGAGATACATCCCATCAATACCTAATTTATTGAGAGTTTTTAGCATGAAGGGCTGTTGAATTTTGTCAAAGGCCTTTTCTGCATCTATTGAGATAATCATGTGGTTTTTGTCTTTGGTTCTGTTTATATGCTGGATTACGTTTATTGATTTGCATATGTTGAACCAGCCTTGCATCCCAGAGATAAAGCCCACTTGATCATTTTGGATAAGCTTTTTGATGTGCTGCTGGATTCGGTTTGCCAGTATTTTATTGAGGATTTTTGCATCGATGTTCATCAGGAATATTGGTCTAAAATTCTCTTTTTTTGCTGTGTCTCTGTCAGGCTTTGGTATCAGGATGATGCTGGCCTCATAAAATGAGTTAGGGAGGATTCTGTCTTTTTCTATTGATTGGAATAGTTTTAGAAGGAATGCTACCAGCTCCTCCTTGTACCTCTGGTCAAATTTGGCTGTGAATCCGTCTGGTCCTGCATTTTTTTTGGTTGGGAGGCTATTAATTATTGCCTCAATTTCAGAGCCTGTTATTCGTCTATTCAGGGATTCAGCTTCTTCCTGGTTTAGTCTTGGGAGGGTGTGTGTGTCTAGGAATTTATCCATTTCTTCTAGATTTTCTAGTTTATTTGTGTAGAGGTGTTTATAGTATTCTCTGATGGTAGTTTGTATTTCTGTGGGATCGGTGGTGATATCCCCCTTATCATTTTTTATTGCATCTATTTGGTTATTCTCTCTTTTCTTTGTTATTCTTGCTAGAAGTCTATCAATTTTGTTTGAAAAAACCAGCTCCTGGCTTCATTGATTTTTTTGAAGGGTTTTTTTGTATCTCTATCTCCTTCAGTTCTGCTCTGATCTTAGTTATTTCTTGCCTTCTGCTAGCTTTTGAATGTGTTTGCTCTTGCTTCTCTAGTTCTTTTAATTGTGACGTTAGGGTGTCAGTTTTAGATCTTTCCTGTTTTCTTTTGTGGGCATTTAGTGCTATAAATTTCCCTCTACACACTGCTTTGAATGTGTCCCAGAGATTCTGGTATGTTGTGTCTTTGTTCTCATTGGTTTCAAAGAACATCTTTATTTCTGCCTTCATTTTGTTATGTACCCAGTAGTCATTCAGGAGCAGGTTGTTCAGTTTCCATGTAGTTGAGTGGTTTTGAGTGAGTTTCTTAATCCTGAGTTCTAGTTTGATTGCACTGTGGTCTGAGAGACAGTTTGTTATAATTTCTGTTGTTTTACATTTCCTGAGGAGTGCTTTACTTCCAACTATGTTGATTTTGGAATAAGTGTGACGTGGTGCTGAGAAGAATGTATATTCTTTTGATTTGGTGTGGAGAGTTCGTTAGATGTCTATTAAGTCTGCTTGGTGCAGAGCTGAGTTCAATTCCTGAATATCCTTGTTAACTTTCTGTCTCGTTGATCTGTCTAATGTTGACAGTGGGGTGTTAAAAGTCTCCCATTATTATTGTTTGGAGTCTAAGTCTCTTTGTAGGTCTCTAAGGACTTGCTTTATGAATCTGGTTGCTCCTGTATTGGGTGCATATATGCTTAGGACAGTTAGCTCTTCTTGTTGAATTGATCCCTTTACCATTATGTAATAGCCTTCTTTGTCTTTTTTGATCTTTGTTGGTTTAAAGTCTGTTTTATCAGAGACTAGGATTGCAACCCCTGCCTTTTTTTGTTTTCCATTTGCTTGGTAGATCTTCCTCCATCCCTTTATTTTGAGCCTCTGTGTGTCTCTGCACATGAGATGAGTCTCCTGAATACAGCACACTGATGGGTCTTGACTCTATCCAATTTGCCAGTCTGTGCCTTTTAATTGGAGCATTTAGCCCATTTACATTTAAAGTGAATATTGTTATGTGTGAATTTGATCCTGTCATTATGATGTTAGCTGGTACCAGCTCTTTTTTGTGCCTCTGGTAGAATTGAGCTGTATATCCTTCTGGTTTGGATGGTAGGCTATTTATTACTGCCTCAATTTCAGAGCTTGTTGTTGGTCTATTCAGAGATTCAGTTTGTTCCTGGTTCAGTCTTGGGAGGGCATATGCATCCAGTCATTTATTCATTTCTTCTAGATTTTCTAGTTTATGGGCATAGAGATGTTCATAGTATTCTCTATTGGTGGTTAGTATTTCTGTGCGATCAGCAGTGATATCCCTGTTATCATTAATAATTGTGTCTATTTGATTCTCATTTTTATTATGTGTGTAGCTAGCGGTCTATTTTATTAATTTTTTCAAAAAACCATCTTCCAGATTCATTGATTTTTTTTTTTTTTGAAGGGCTTTTTTTTTTTTTCATCTCAATTTATTTCACGTCTGCTCTGATCCTGGTTATTTCTTGCTTTCTACTAGCTTTGTGGTTTCTTTGCTCTTGATTCTACAGTTCTTTTAGTTGTGATGTTAGGCTGCTCATTTGAGATCTTTCTGGCTTTTTGATGTGGACATTTAGTGTTATAAACTTGTGTCTTAACCCTGCTTTAGCAGCATCCCAGAGATTCTGTTACATTGTCTCTTTGTTCTCATTATTTTCAAAGAACTTCTTGATTTCTGCCTCAATTATTCACCCAGTAGTCAATTCAGGAACAGGTTGTTCAGTTTCCTTGTAGTTGTGAGGGTTGGAGTGAGTGTCTTAACATTGAGTTCTAATTTGATTGTGCTGTCATCTGAGAGACTGTCTTGATTTTAGTTCTTTTGCATTTGCTGAGGTGTGTTTTACTTCTGATTATGTGATCTATTTTAGAGTAAGTGCCATGTGGCAATCAGAAGAATGTATATCCTGTTGGTATTGGTTGGAGAGTTCTGTAGATATCGATCAGGTTCGCTTGATCCAGACCTTAGTTCAGGTCCTTAATATCTTTGTTAATTTTCTGTCTCGATGATCTAATATTGTCAGTGAGGTTTTAAAGTCTCCCACTATTATTTTGTGGGAGTCTAAGTCTCTTTGTAGGTCTCTAAGAGCTTGCTTTATGAATCTGGGTGCTGCTCTATTGGGTGCATATGTATTTAGGTTATTTAGCTCTTTCTATTGAATTGAACCTTTTATCATTATGTAATGCCCTTCTTTGTCTTTTTTGATATTTGATAATGTAAAGTCTGTTTTGTCAGAAAGTAGGATTGTGATCCCTGCTTTTTTTTTGTTTTCCATTTGCTTGGTAAATTTTCCTCCATCTCTTTATTTTGAGCCTATGTATGTCTTTGCACGTGAGATGGGTCTCCTGAAGACGGCATACCAATGGTCTTAACTTTTTATCCATCTTGCCATTCTGTGTCTTTTAATTGGGGCATTTAGCCCATTAACATTTAAGTTTAATACTGTTATGTGTGAATTTGATCGTGTCATCATGGTGTTAGCTGGTTATTTTGCAGGCTTGTTCATGTGGTTGTTCATAGTGTCACTGTTCTTCTGTGTACTTCAGTGCGTTTTTGTAGTGGCTAGTAATGGTCTTTCCTTTCCATATGGAGTGCTTCCTTCAGGAGCTCTTGCAAGGCAGGCGTGTTGATGAATTCCCTCAGCATTTGCTTCTTTGAAAAGGATCTTATCTCTTCTTCGCTTATGAAGCTTAGTTTGGCCAGATGTGAAATTCTGGGTTGGAAATTTTTTTAAGAATGTTGAATATTGGCTTCCAATCTCTTCTGGCTTGTAGGGTTTCCACTGAGGGGTCTGCTGTTATTCTGGTGGGCTTTCCTTTGTAGATGACCTGTCTTTTTTCTCTGGCTACCCTTAACGTTTTTTTTTTTTTTTTTTTCATTTTGACCTTGGAGAATCTGATGATTATGTGTCTTGGGGTTGATCTTCTTGTGGAGTATCTTACTGAGGTTCTCTGGATTTCTTGAATTTGAATGTTGGCCTGTCTTGCTTGGTTGGGGAAGATCTCCTGGATGATATCCTGAAGTATGTTTTCCAACCTAGTTCTGTTCTCTCCATCTCTTTCAGGTAACTCAATCAGTTGTAGGTTTGGTCTTTTTATGTAATCCCATATATCTCAGCGGTTTTGTTCATTCCTTTTCATTCTTTCTTCTCTATTCTTGTCTGCCTGTATTATTTCAGAAAGATCGTCTTCAAGCTTTGATATTCTTTTCTCTGCTTGGTCTGTTCTGCTATTGGTACTTGTGATTGCATTGTGAATTTCCTGTGTTTTACTTTTAGCTTCATCAGGTCAGTTATGCTCCTTTCTAAAATGGCTATTCTCATTATCAGCTCTTATATTGTTTTTTCATGATTGTTAGCTTCTTTGCATTGGGTTAGGACATGCTCCTTTATCTCAGTGAAGTTCATTATTACCCACCTCCTGAAGCCTGCTCCTGTCATTTCAGCCATCTCAGCCTCAGACCAGTTCTGTGCTCTTGCTGGAGAGGTATTGCAGTCATTTGGAGAAGAAAAGGCACTCTGGCTTTTTGAGTTTCCAGCATCACCCCTCCTTACACTCTAGGCAGTGCAGCTCAGGGAGAGATCTTTTCCACTGGTGACACAATCATTCCTTTGGCTGCCCCATCTCATGTGTCACTGGGTCATGTGCACCCCAAGTCCAGCAGCTCTTAGCCCAGCACAGCCCCAGGACTTGTCCAATGACTGCAGTCCTTTTGGCCTAGACTGCATTTCAAATTTGTTCAGAACCCAGGGGCACTTTAGTGAACTGGTGGTGGGGCTAGCCACCACTCAGGTGCCTACTGCTGGGGTGTAAGATTACCCTCTGGCTGAAGGTGCTCTAAGAGCCCACTCCATGGGCATTGGCCAAATTCTGCCTTGTGTTATGTTCTGCTGTGATAAGGAATCACTGAGTTCCAATGCAAAGCCCCACAGTCACTTTGTTCTCCCTCCCCCAAGTACACAGATTGTCTCTCCATGTGCTGATGGTGGATGGGGATTGGTGGTGTAGGCAATGTGAGTCAGTCTTTCTTATCTCTTCAATGCTTCTTTCCTTGATATCATGTTAAAACCAGGTGCTCTGTCCACTCACCTCTAATTTTTAGTTCTTAAGAAGGTGCTTTCTTGCATGGATGGTTGTTCAATTTGGTGTTCCTGCAGAGGATGATTGCTGGAGGGTTCTATTTGGCCATCTTGCTATGCCTTCCCTCATTTGTCTGTTTTTTTTTTGGATTGTCTTTTTGCTGTGGAATTGAGTTCATTATATATGGTGGTTATTAATCCTTTGTCACATGAATAGTTCGCAAATATTTCCCCCTTTCTATAGGTTGTCTTTTCACTTTCTTGATTGCCTCTTTATCCGTGCAGAAGCTTTTTAGCTTGTTATCATCCCATTTGTCTGTTTTTGCTTTTGTTATTTTTCCTTTGAGGTCTCGCTCCAAAAATCTTTGCCCAGACAAATGTGCTGAGAATTTTCCCTATGTTTTCTTCTAGTGGTATCATAGTTTCAAGTCTTACATTTAAGTCTTTAATCCATTTCAAATTGACTTTTGTATGTGGTGAGAAATGGGGTTTAGTTTCATTGTTCTACACATGGATAGTTAGTATTCCTAGCACCATTGATTGAATATACTGTCCTTTCTCCAATGTATGTTTTTGCCACATTTGACAAAAATGAGTTGACTTCATATGTGTGGATTTATTTTTGTTCTCTATTCTGTTTCATTGCTCTATGTATCTGTTTTTGATGCCAGTACCATGTTGTTTTGGTTACTGTGGCTTTTAGTATATTTTGAAGTCAGGTAGTGTGATGCCTCCAGCTTTGTTCTTTTTACTTAGGATTGCCTTAGCTACTTGGAAAATTTTGTAGTACCATACAGATTTTAGGATTTTTCTATTTCTGTGAAGAACATAATTGTTTTTTGAGAGAGAGAGAGAGAGAGAAAGAAAGAGAGATTGCATGGAATCTGCAGATTGCTTTTGGTAGTTTGGTCATTTTCACAATATTCTTCCTATTCATGAACATGGACTTTCTTTTCCTTTATTTGTGCCCTCTTCAGTTTCTTTTTATCAGTGTTTAATAGTTTTCCTTGTAGAGATCTTTCACTACCTTGTTTAATTTATTCTTAGGTATCTTATTATTATTTTTTATAGCTATTATACATGGGCTTGCTTTTTGGTTTCTTTTTCTGCTAGTTTGTTGTTGGTCTCTTGAAGTGCTACTGATTTTGGCAGGTTGATGTTATATACTGCAACTTTACTGAATTTGCCTTTCAGTTATAATTAATTTTCTGGTAGAGTTTGTAGAGATATATATGATCATGTTGTTTTCAAACAGAAACAGTTTTACTTCCTCCGTTCCACTTTAGATGCCCTTTATTACTTTCTCTTTCCTTGGGATGAATTCCACTTGATCATGAGGTACCACCTTGATAGTCTTTGACACGATCCAGAAGTATTCTCTGTATTACCAGGCAGAGACTCTTGTTCTTTTTCCTTACTTTCTCCCAAACAAGCAAAATCTCCCTCTCTGTGTTTTGAGCCATCTGTAGCTGGGGATGGAGTGACACAAGCACCTCTGTGGTCACTAGGTCTGTGCTGGGTCAGACCTGAAGCTTCATGGCACTGAATGTCACCCAAGGACTACTATAACCACTCCCTGGCTACTGTGTATGTTTGCTCAAGGCCCTGGTGCTCTACAGTCAGCAGGTGGCAAAGCCAGCCAGGCCTGTGTCCTTCCCTTCAGGATGCCAAGTTTCCTTAGTCCCCAGGTGGGTCCAGAGGTGATGTCCAGGAGCCAGGAACTAGTAAAAAACTTTAGAAGTCTACTTGGTGTTCTATTGTGCTATGTAGTTGAGCTGTTACTGAAACCACAAGACAACATCCTTCCCCCTTTTCCCTCCCTTTTCCAAAGGCAGAGAAACCTCACCCTGTAGCCACTGCTGCCACAGGCCCACAGGCCCACAGGGAGTACTGCCAGACTACTGTTGATGTTCCCTTAAGTCTTAAGGGCTCCAGAGTCAGCGTGCAGTGAATCTTGCCTTGCCTGGGACTCACCCTTCAGGGCAGTGGCCTCCTCTCTGACCCAGGACAGCTCCAGAAATGCCATCCAAGAGCCAAGTCCTGGAATCGAGGGCCCCTAGAGGCTGCTTTGTTCCCTACTGACCGGTGACCAAGCTGGTTCCTAAGGTGCAAGAGAAAGCCCCTTTTACTTTTCCCCTCCACTTTTCTCAAGCGGAAGTCTTGCCCTGTAGCAACCAGAGCTGGGAATGTTCTGTGTCTCACCTGAAGGCAGCAGGTCTCAGATTCTCACCCAAGGCCCTTGACATAGTACCTGGGTATCACTGGTGTTTATTCGTGGCCCGAGGGCTTTTCAGTTAGCAGGTGATCAATTTATTTTGGAGTGGGTCCTTCCCTTCAAGGCTGCGGGTTTTCTTCTGGCCTGGGTATGTTTAGTTTAGTAGGTTAGTAAGGTCTGAGAGTTAGGACCTGGAAAGGGGACCTTGTGATTGACTGGTGCCCTGTCTTGCTGTGGTTGAGCTGTTATCCAGTATGCAAAACAAAGTCTTCCCACTCTTTCCTTTCCTTAAGCAGAAGGGAGGGGTCTTTTGGAGTTGCAAGCTGTGCAGCCTGGGGCTAGGGGAGGGGTGATGTCAGCACTCCCTTAGTTGCTTTGGCTCTTGTCCCATTAGGTGTCACGCACCTCTCCAGTCCACTGGCTCTGGGCCCAGTTCAGCACTCACATAGGAGTTTCAGTACTTGTGCCCTGGACTGCCTTTCAAGATTATTTAGGACCCCAGAGCATGTTCACAGTGGTGAGGCTTGTGGGAACTCACCTTCCAACCACTGGAATTGTTGATTCCCTTCTGGCTACAGCTGGTTTACAATGATCCCTTCGTTGGTGGGCATCAGCTGAGTTTCATCTGTGTTGTTTTTGTGCTATAACAGAATAGCACTGAATTCAGTGCGTTAGAATTGCTGCAAGTTCCCTCTCTTCAGTGCACAGGAACCCTCTCTGTACTACTGCTGGGGGATTGGGAAGGAGTGGTATTGGCGATTCACGATTGTTTTTTATACCTCTTTAGTGCCTGTTTCAGCAGTATGAAGTTAAAACCAGGTACTATATGGGGGTCATCCGAATTTTAGTTCTCATAAAGGTGCTTTTTTGGAGTGGATACTTGTTAAATTGGTGTCCTTGTGTTGCGGGGAGAGGACAGTTGATGGAGCCTTGTATTCTGGCATCTTGCTTTGTCCTCCCTGTATTGTCTCTCTTATTTTATTTTATTTTATTTTATTTATTTGGGTCTTTTTTTTCATGGTTAGTATAGGTAGTAGTTTGTCAGTTTTGTTTACCTTCTTTAAAAACCCAGTTTTTATTTTGTGGCTCTTTGTATTTTTTTCCTCAATTTTGTTTATTTCGGCTCTATAGTTTATTTTCTTATGTTAACTTTAGGTTTGGTTTGTTCTTGCTCATCTAATTATTTACATTCATTCTTGTTGTTCATTTGAGGTTGTTCATTTGAGAGCTTTCTACTTTTTTTATATTGGCATTGATTTCTATAAACTTTCCTCTTAATACCACTTTTGCTGTATCCATAGGTTTTAGTATGTTGTGTTTCTATTTTCACTTGTTACAAGAAATGTTTAAATTTTATTCTTCACTTTTTCATTGAGACATTGTTTATTCTGAAACATGTTGTTTAATTTGCATGTAACTGCAACTTTGAAAGTTTTTCTTGTTGTTGATATGTAGTTTTATTGTGGTCAGAAAAGATAGTTGATACGATTTCAGTTCTTTTAAGTTTGTTGAGACTTGTGTTGTGGCCTAACATACAGTCTATTCTGGAGAATGTTTCATGTGCTGATGATATGAATGTTTATTCTTCAGCTATTGGATGAAATGTTCTTTAATGTCTGTTTGGTCCATTTAATGTAATGTGTAGTTTAAATCCAATGTTTCTTTGTTGATTTTCTGTCCAGATGATCTGTCTAATGCCGATAGTAGGGTGTTGAAATCTCCAACACCAATTCATTCTTTAATTTTTGCTTTTCCCACAATGGGGAGACTTAACCAATGGGATCCCTCTTGGTGTCATGTTTGACATGGCCTACAAGCATTTGCAGTGGTGCTGGGTTCTAGGTGGATGTTATTGAAGTGGCTGTGGGACTAGTGTTCTAGCTTCTGGGTGTCATGGATGTATTGCAACACCTGGGTCTTGGGGTTTAGGTTTGCTGTCTGTGGCAGAGTTGGATATAGATTGCCCACACAGCCAAGATTTGTGAATTTGAGGCACCCCTTAGCAATGTGGGCCCAGAGTGCCAGGTTTTAGTTGTAATTCTACTTGTGCATGGCAGGGCACAGCACTGGCTTGACTCCAGGGAAGAGGTGTTCTGGAGGTTTGGGCCTAGGAGCAGGATACAGCTGCAGTTTGGCATCCCCAATCCAATAGAACTCAGGGGCAGGGCATGAAGCATCTTGTAGTAGTGACTCTAGACCATGAGATGGCGGGGCTTTGCAGTATCCCAGACTATGTGAGGTCAGGTACAGGGGCAGAATGTACCTGCCCCTGTAGAATGGTGAAGCACAGCTGTTGTTTGGTCCCTGGAGGGTGCAGGGAACAGTACAGCAATGACTCCCCTCCCCAGCGAGAGCAGTCTTTCAGCAGTGTATGCTCTAGGGGACGAGTTCACCTGCATGGAAGGCAGGATGCTAGTATTGTGTGGCCTGTAGGGCAAGGTGTCCAAGTTCAGACACCATTCTGTTTCTCTGGGATATGGGGTACTGCACCAACTCAGTCCTGGAATGCGCAGCTGCTCCACTTGCCAGGGCAGCAGTTTCCCAGGGGGTGATGTGCTGCTTCAGCTGAGGCCTGGGGAGAGTGACTGTTCTGGGTGACCCAGGTATCATTTTCCTGGAATGCAGGGAGGTGCTTCAGCTGAGGTACTGGGGTGTATAGCCACTCTGGATGGCCAAGGCACTATTTTGTTTCAGCTTAGTTACTGGGGAGGCATGACTGCTCTAGGTGACCAAGGTACCGTGTTTTCAAGATGAGGGTACTACCTCAGCTCTGGCCCATAGCAGTAGGGGGAAGGTTAGGTAGAGTCGCCCCATCTTTGCTTGTTTCTATGGGGAGGGGTCTAACAGTTGCTCTCAACTTAGCTTGGGGATATCCAGCCATAGATTTGGGATGGTTCTGTGATGCCTCAGCCACAGCGATGAAGGAATGCCATGTCTGCTCGCCCCCAGAGCAAGATACACTCCAGCCATAGTTCCACTTCCAAAATGGAGACATGCGATAGCCATGTGGGCCATAGGGGATGGGACATGGTGTCGGCTCCTTCTCTGGGGAAAGCACAGCTATGTGGACTCCAGGCAGCTCCCTCAGCTGGGTTTAAGTTCCTATGAGGACTGCATTGGCCTGAGTGTTGAGGCCTTCAACTGTCCAGGGTGTTAATGTGTGTTCCTGGGATCCTTTAGCTTAACTCCTTACTGTTGGGATAAGTCGCTCTGTCGCCCAGGCTGGAGTGCAGTGGCACAATCTCACTCTGTTACCCAGGCTGGAGTGTAGTGGCGCAATCTTGGCTCACTGCAAGCTCCGCCTCCTGGTTTCCAGCTGAGCCCAGTTGGGAGATGGGCCCGATGCTTCCTTCCATTCTCTACATGGCCAACTTTCTCTTCTCACCAGAGTTTGTATTGCTCCTTTGATGCACTCTGGCACTCTCCCTCAGTTATTTTTGTTAAAATGTAGTTGTCTTGGCCAGGCACGGTGGCTCACACCTGTAATCGCAGCACTTTGGGAGGCTGAGGCTGGTGGATCACGAGGTCAGGAGATCGAGACCATCCTGGTGAAACCCCGTCTCTGGTAAAAGTAGAAAAAAATTAGCTGGGTGTGGTGGCGGGCACCTGTAATCCCAGCTATTCAGGAGGCTGAGGCAGGAGAATAGTGTGAACCCGGTAGGGGGAGCTTACAGTGAGCCGAGATTGCGCCACTACATTCCAGCCTGGGCAACAGAGTGAGATTGTGCCATTGCACTCCAGCCTGGGCAACAGAGCGAGACTCCGTTTCAAAAAAAAAAAAAAAAAAAGTAGTTGTCTTATAATTGTTTTGGCTCCCTTTATGAGGGGGACAAGTGCTAGGGGCTTCTAATTGTACATCTTGCTTGGTAATCATTTCAAAATACATATTTTAAGAAAGTAAGAAAGACCTATGGAATGTAATAATGTTGAAATATTAGAGGAAAGACACGGATGTTCCAATTACTTGTCATAGTAATGATGTATTATTTTTATTACACTATTGCCTTTGATTTTCTAGATTTTTGCTTCTGTATTTATATGTGTGATTGGTCTATGATTTTCTTTTCTTGTCATATCCTTTACTAATTTGGGTCTAAATATTATTCTAGCTTCATAGCATGAATTGAATGACCTTCACATGATTTCTAGACTGAGAAAGTTAATGTAGAGATTAACCATTCTTTAAAGGTTTGATAAAACTTGACTTTTAAAATGTCTGGGCCTGCTATCTTTAGATAATGGGTTGGGTAGTAGGGTGGGTAGGGGAGAAAAACTTGATTACTTGGTTAATTCAGTTGCTTTAATGGTTTTTTTTATTTATCCAGGTGTCCTATTTCTTCTTGAGTAAATTTTAGTACTTTATATTTTCCTGGAAATGTTTGCATCCATATTATTTTTTAGATTTATTACTATAAGCTTATCATTGTATTTTTAAGGATATTTTAAATTTTCAGCTCTAATAGATGATTATGCTCACCCCTTTTACTCTAATACTGTTTTTGTGTTTTTTAAAATTTTTCTTCACATCAACTTTTTTGGAAGTTTTTCTGCTTTGACTTTATAAAGAACCAGTGTTTTTATTTTGCATATTCTTAATATTGTTTGTTTTCTATCTCATTAATTTTTTTCAGTTGTCATGAATGATAGTTTGTATTTTGTATTTTTACGTAACTCTGAAGTTTTGTTTTTATTTTTATTATACTTTAAGTTCTAGGGTTCATGTGCATAACGTGCAGCTTTGTTACATATGTATACATGTGACATGTTGGTGTGCTGCATCCATTAACTCATCATTTACATTAGGTATATCTCCTAATGCTATCCCTTCTCCCTCCCCCAACCCCATGACAGGCCCCGGTGTGTGATGTTCCCCACCCTGTGTCCAGGTGTTCTCATTGTTCAGTTCTCACCTGTGAGTGAGAACATACAGTGTTTGGTTTTCTGTCCTTATGATAGTTTGCTGAGAATGATGGTTTCCAGCTTCATCCATGTCCCTACAAAGGACATGAACTCATCCTTTTTTATGGCTGTGTAGTATTCCATGGTGTATGTGTGCCACATTTTCTTAATCCAGTCTATCATTGATGGACATTTGGGTTGGTTCCAAGTCTTTGCTATTGTGAATAGTGCCACAATAAACATACGTGTGCATGTGTCTTTATAGTAGCATGCTTTATAATCCGTTGGATATATACCCAGTAATGGGATGGCTGGGTCAAATGGTATTTCTAGTTCTAGATCCTTGAGGAATCGCCACACTGTCTTCCATAATGGTTGAATTAGTTTACAGTCCCACCAACAGTGTAAGAGTGTTCCTATTTCTCCACATCCTCTCCAGCACCTGTTGTTAACTGACTTTTTAATGATCGCCATTTTAACTGGTGTGAGATAGTATCTCATTGTGGTTTTGATTTGCATTTCTCTGATGGCCAGTGATAATGAGCCTTTTTTCATGTGTCTGTTGACTGCATAAATGTCTTCTTTTGAGAAGTGTCTGTTCATATCCTTTGCCCACTTTTTGATGGGGTTGTTTGATTTTTTCTTGTAAATTTGTTTAAGTTCTTTGTAGATTCTGGATATTAGTGATTTGTCAGATGGGTAGATTGTAGAAATTTTCTCCCATTCTGTAGATTGCCTGTTCACTCTGATGGTAGTTTCTTTTGCTGTGTAGAAGCTCTTTAGTTTAATTAGATCCCATTTGTCTATTTTGGCTTTTATTGCCATTGCTTTTGGTGTTTTAGTCATGAAGTCCTTGCCCATGCCTACGACCTGAATGGTATTGCCTAGGTTTTCTTCTAGGGTTTTTATGGTTTTAGGTCTAACATTTAAGTCTTTAATCCTTCTTGAATTAATTTTCGTATAAAGTGTAAGGAAGGGATCCAGTTTCAGCTTTCTATGTATAGCTAGCCAGTTTTCCTAGCACCATTTATTAAATAGGGAATCCTTTCCCCATTTCTTGTTTTTGTCAGGTTTGTCAAGGATCAGATGGTTGTAGATGTGTGGTATTATTTCT